>NC_000009.12:133555456-133869274 GCF_000001405.40 Homo sapiens
CTTGGTGTTTCTGGCCCCCTCGTCCAGGTCCCCTCCCCAGGGCAGCCCTTGCCCCCAGGGCTCGGATGTGCCCACGGTTGAGCCACCTGTCTCCTCTCCAGACCGCAACGTCACGGGGACTCCTCTCACCGGGGACAAGGATGACGAAGAGGTTGACACCCACTTCGCCTCCCAGGAGTTCTTCTCGGCTAACGCCATCTCTGACCAGCTGCTGGGCGCAGGCTCTGACTTGAAGGACTTCACCCTCAATGAGACTGTGAACAGCATCTTTGCACAGGGCGCCCCAAGGAGCTCCCTGGCCGAGAGCTTCTTCGTGGATTATGAGGAGAACGAGGGGGCTGGCCCTTACCTGCTCAACGGGTCCTACCTGGAGCTGAGCAGCGACAGGGTTGCCAACAGCTCCTCCGAGGCCCCATTCCCCAACGTTAGCACCAGCCTGCTCACCTCGGCCGGGAACAGGACTCACAAGGCCAGGTAGGAGGCACTTTCCTGAGCCCTGTCCAGGGCCCTCAGGGGGCAGGATGGGGCCGAGGCCAGGTAGAAAGTGAGGCCCCACTGGGGGGGTCTGGCCAGAAGGGCTGAGGTCCTAGAGGTAGAGGAGAGAGGGCCCCTTCTTCCCGGGGTTCTCCACTCGCTGCCCCGTGGATCTGAGCACAAAGTCAGAGGCCTGGGCTGCAGTGAGTTTTCCCCAAAAGTTATGTCCATGGATTAGGATCCAGGGCTGAGCCCCTATGTGTGCAGCTGATGGGGGGAAGGGAGGCAGGAAGCTAACAGCTCTGAGCATGCCTTGTGAGCCAGGGACAGAGCTCAGCATTTTATATGCATGGAAACATGTCATCGTCACAACCGCCCTTAGTGGTGGGGTTGCTATTTGCTATTGTGGGCTCAGAGAGAGCTAGCGGTGTATTCGAGGTCACAGAGCCTGAGAACCTGGGACCCCTTAGTTTTAAGCCTGGACAGTCATGGCACACACGCCTGTAGGAGGAGGCGGAGCTCCAGGCAGCTCCCCAAGTGCAGAGTGGCTCAGTCCCAAGCCTCAGCAAGGGCTGGAGAGGATCTAGTGGATTCCTCCATGAGGGGCAAGAGCCTGAAATCAGGGATGAAGAACAAGGCTGGCATTGCAGCTGGCAAGGGCCATGAGAGAGTCCACCTGGGGCCAGGCCTCCAGAGCCAAGGCCACAGCTGGGTCTACATGGGCAGCCATGTCTGGGGGCAGCCATGTCTGGGGACACCTGGGCAGTCACAGCCAGGGTTGTCTGGACAGTCACAGCTGGGGACGCCTGGGCAGTCACAGCTAGACCTGGGGAAGTCTGAGGTTGGGAGCTTCCCTGTGTCAGGGGCCAGCTGTGAGCAGGGTGACCCCAGACCTGTCGTGTCCCTACTGGAGCACAGTCCGTGGTGACAAGCCCCGCCTGCCCCCAGATAGAGGGTGGCCACCCTTGCAGGTCCCCACAGTTTCTCCCAGCAACTCACATGTGCCTGGGGGCTACTTTAAACAGGCAGTGAGTGGGGGTTGGAGGCAGGCACGGGCTCACTGGTGTTTGGTTTTGTTTTCTGAGGTCCAACCCAAGCCCTTTGACTTTAGACGCAAGCATGAACTGAACCCGGCCTGGGCTGGGAGTGCTGAGTGGGTCTTCCTTGGGGCTCAGGGACTGAATTTGATGGGAGATTCAGGGTTCACTCTCGAGGTGATGTGGTTTGGGGCCACCCTCCCACCCATCCAGCCCTGGGACCAGAGCAACAAAGCCAACCTCCCTGGTGAGCCAGGAGCCCCAGGGGATGCCTGCCGCTTTTCTCAAACTGTTTTCTGAGGCCACCGAGGTGCCTGGGGCTGCGGGGTGCAGGGAGGATGTCCTGAGCACTTCTGGCAGGCTCTGGGCGGAATCCTACTTTGCAGATGTGGACAGAGTGGGGCCTCGGAGCCTCCTCTGGCTGCCCCTCTTCCCACAGGGGTGGCACAGGGCTGTCTGCTCACCCTTTACCTTGGCATGCTCAAAGCCTTGGGTAGGTGGGGCCTGTGGCTGGTTCTCAGGACTCGGGCGGGGAGGGCCGGGCCTTGCTTTGGGTATAGTGTCTGAGTCTGAGAGGGGGTCCTGGGTAAAGGGCAGGAGGGACGGACCCAGACAGTGCCTGCCTGTGGGAACGGCACTACTCAAGGCTGCCAGTCTGTCTGTGTCTTCAGCGTGGGCCCTCTTCACCTCCCAGGGCAGTCCGGGGCATTCCCTGGTATTCCGTGTGTGAGGCCCACGGTAAGGCCTCCAGTAAGTAGAAGCTATTAGTAGAAAACTGAGCCTCCAAGTGGCAGCAGTGGGGGGTGCCTTTCAGGACCCACTGCCTGGGTCAGGGAGGCCAGCTCTCCGGCAGTCACGGCCCTCCAAATAGAATAGGTTTATCAGAGTGGCACCGAGGCCTCGCTGTGGAATTTGGCTTAAGGCATGGACACTGTGTGAGTTGAGCATCTCTGTCTTCCTCTGGGCCTCAGTTTCCCCATCTCTCACTGGGGGGCTTGTCAGGGGCTGCCCTTTGGGCCCACCAGGTCAAATATTCAGTGATCCTTAGGCCAGGGTCATGGCACAAGCTTACGGATCCTCAAGCCGCTTTGTAAAGAGTCTCTCCTGCCCCATCTTGGTTGACTCTTACCCTCCCCTCTTAGCCCCCCGCCCCAGGATATATTGAATTTCCAGGGCCTGTCAGGGGCCTCAAGGGTCGATCAACTAGGCTGTCAGCACTCAGAAAGGCCCTGACTGCTGAGATGCCGCTGCTCCCCCGGCCGGCCTGCCATCAAAGGATGCTGCCGCACAGGGACCAAAGATGGTGTGGAGAGATAAAGGGCAGAGGGAGGCGGCGGGGGAAACCACCAGGCCAAAATAGCCACGTCTCGGCCGAGTTGTCCAAACACAGGAAGTCGTGTCTGCTCAGAGAAGGCAAAATCAAAGGGGCAGCCCAGAAAGGAAAGGCTATTTTCATCTTTCCAGAAAAGCTTCAAACAATCAAGGGAGGGGCCCCTGTCACCAGACTCCGACTTTGGGAACAAGCTTCTGAGACACAGAGACGCGGAGTCCCTCTCCGCAGCCTTGGGGGGAGAGAAGAACAGAGCACTTTCTGGCTTGTTTATAAACAAACACGGTGGCTTCAGAGCTTCTCCTGCCTGGGGAGCCCGTGAGCCTGTGTCTGGCCGGGCATCTGGGCGAAGGACCCTGAGGAGTGACAGGTGGTCTGGTGGTGACTCCACAGCCGTCACCAGCCCCAGTCTAGCAGCTCTGACTTTCACAGCTGAGAGGGGCAGTGACTTCCTTCCAGATGGAGGAGAGCGACGGTTTGGTGCTTCAGCGATTTCCTTGGTGTTCCGCTTCCCTGTGCTACTTCCAAGAACGGAACCTGCTAGGCGTTGCATTGTTGTGCAAATATATGCAGGGTTATGTTCAAGAGTTGCATCTGCTATGCCCCACACGTGCTGCTGCGAAGAGTGTGTGGGCAGCCCCTCCAGAAATACCTTTGGTGCTTAAAATCCAAAGGGTTATTTTGAACCGGGCCCGCTCTCTCTTGAGTCAGGCATGAGTCATGCTGCCTGCTGGCTCAGAGCATGTAATTAGATAAAGATGGCGGAGCGTCTCCATGGGTGGGGTGGAGGGGCATGGGTTGGATCTTTTCATCTCTTTTTGTTCTTGGGGAGAATTTAAAGCTGTTGAAAGTAGGTGGGGAACTGGTCAGCACAGTTTAGTGTTTTCTGAATCGAACATTAAGGACTGGTCTTCCGGGTTCTCCGTTCCCTGAAAGGACTTACTTATCCTGATCTGGGTGCTCTGAGTGGCCCCCATTGGGGCAGTTTTCCAGGTTTCCAGGGAACTTTTGTTCTGAGATGACAGGGTCTTGGGAAACCCCCCACCCACCCCCATTTTTTTTTTTTTTTTGAGACGGAGTCACTCTGTTGCTCAGGAGTGCAGTGGTGTGATCTCGGCTCACTGCAAGCTCTGCCTCCCAGGTTCATGCCATTCTCTTGCCTCAGCCTCCTGAGTAGCTGGGACTACAGGCGCCCGCCACCACACCCGGTGAATTTTTTTTTTTTTTTGTATTTTTAGTAGAGACGGGGTTTCACCATGTCAGCCAGGATGGTCTCGATCTCCTGACCTCGTGATCCACCCGCCTCGGCCTCCCAAAGTGCTGGGATTACAGGCAAGAGTCACTGCGCCTGGCCCCCACCCCCATTTTTAAAGCTTCCTCTAAGTTCTGAAAGAGGGAGGAGAAGGCACTCTTCCCTTCCCCTTGAGCCCCAGGATGGGACAGACTCTCCTGGCTTGAAGCTCCCAGGTGAAGGAGGCTTTGAAGAAACAGTGGGACCAGCCCCCAGCCCGCAGCCCTTCCTGGGCCTTGGTCCCCATGCCTTCTCCCTTCACTCCTCTTCTCCCTCCCTGAGTTTAGGGAGCCACACCAGTGAACTCACTGCTGAAGCTCCTGTGGGTAGATCATTCCTGGGGCCTCAGATGTGTGGTCAAGGCAGCGTTCATCCCCACAAATACTGCCTGGCTGTGGGATCCTCCCATTCCAGTCCAAGCAAAACAGAAGAGCAATGCTCACCCGCTTGCCTAACACATTGTAAACTCCCCATTCAATCCAAACCCATGTCTGTATCACGGAGTCAATCTGAAAGCCTTTCTGAATATAATGCTCTAAGCCTGACCACCCCCAGGTGACTGAAGGTCCTGAAGAAGGACCTGTGACCTGGCCCACGTTTCAGCCCAGTGAAGTATGGCGGCTTGGGGTCATCTCTAGCCAGCCCCTCTGGGCCCAGAGGAAAGTGGAGTTGGGCAATGCCACCTGCTGCACTGTCCAGTTTAAAAAGGAAGTCGAGGCTCGAAGGACCTGCTGTCCACCGCGCCGGCTTGCCATCGCCCCTTCTCTGGCTCAGGGGCGGCGGGACTCCATGGTGGCGTCCCAGAGCAGATGCCCGGGCTGTGGAGCTGCTGCCGCCTCTGCTTCCCTCCTCCCCTGCCGAGTCCAGAATGAGCCTGCACATTGGATGTGGAGGTTGGGCCCAGGCACACCTACTGGTTCAAAGAAGCAAACAGTCCTAACAATAGTTGGCTTTGGCTGCATAGGCTCCAGCCAAGAATCATAGCTGGTGGCTGGCTGGGACCCAGCGTGCCTCCCCCGACCCCAGCAGGTCCGTGCAGCCATGGCCTGCCTGAATTGCACTGTAGGCTCGGCCCCTGCCAGCAGCCGAGCTTTTTAATTTTGATAATTGGAGGCTGGATGCCTAGTGTCCCCCATTCCATCAGAGTCCCAGCTGGAGGAGGGGGTGGGAGAGAATTCTGGAACATTCTTAGCACATAAGACACCTTCTGAGGTCCCCTCCCCGGTGGGAAGAAGGAACCCACTAGCTGATGTGAGAAGGTAATATTGAGAAGCCTGCGTGTGTGCAGGGAGCAACTACAGTGCTGGGGGCCCCAAATTCTCAGGCCACCCCTCCCCTCCGGAAGGAGCTCGGGCAGCTCCCATGCAGTTGAGATGGAAAACAATGCCAATCAATCCTAAAATGTGCCCCTCTGCGGGCGCCTCATCCGTTCCACTTCAGACAGTGGGAACTCTGACCGTAGCAGGTGGAGGGTCGGCCCGGGGCTCAGGACAGGTGTGTGCTTCAGGCGAACATACCCTCCGAAGAAAACTCCCTCGCCTGAAAAGCCGGAGCCTGCCGGTGGGGCCTGGAGCGTCTCATCACCTTCCCTGCTTGGTCTCGCTTTCAGGACCAGGCCCAAGGCGCGCAAGCAAGGCGTGAGTCCCGCGGACATGTACCGGTGGAAGCTCTCGTCCCACGAGCCCTGCAGTGCCACCTGCACCACAGGTACTGGTCACGGGTGCCAAGGGGCAGCAACTGCCCTGAACCCATTTCCATGGACATGGGCTGGGGCTGTGGGGCCCACCCACTAGCTTGCAGCCCCCAAACTGCCCTCGGGGTGCTTGTCCGTGGCCTCCTGACTTGGGGGCAGTGTGGCGTGATAGGAGTTTGGGTGTCTGGTGAGGCCACCCTCATTCTCACAGTGTGCTAGACCATGGTCAGGTCCAGGCCCCTGGGGGTCATCCGGGCTACCACCCATTGGTGGTAGCCCTTGTCTGTTGCCAGTGATACCATGTTTTGTTAGGGCAAACATCCTTTGGGTTAAAAGTAAGAAATCTTAGGTAGCAGAGATTTTACTTTTGCTTCCAGCAAACATAGGAAGGGAGTCATAGGCCCCTGTGATCTGTGACGAAGGGAAGTAGGCAAATTCTAGGACCTCATCAGCAGGGGAGAAGTTAGGAGGGGAAAAAAGACCCTCCTCGGTGGTGCCTGGACAGACAGATGTGTGTGGTTAGTAAGAGTTGAGCTGGGATTTGAACCCACAGCTGTCTGGTTGCACGGCCACCATCGCCCTGAGACGCTGGCCACAGCCGCTAGAGCTGGAGCTGCCTCTGCTGCCCACTCTAGTACCCTCCCCTGGGGGATGCCGCGAGGTCTGATGTCAAACCCAGGATCAGGATACAGGGCCGTTGATGGGAGAAAATATGGCAGGGAGACCCCAGTGCCGGCTGTGAGGTCACATTTTATCTATTCTTGGGGCTTCATGTTTGGATGTAGAGGATACCCAGCTGGCCCTCAAAAGGTTTGATGCTCCTGGTCCCGCCCCAGTGCCACCCATTTGCCAGGGCATTTGATGCCCTTGCAGTCTCTGGCCAGTGAGGATTCCACACAGCTGGGCAGTCTGAGCTTGGCCGCACCCTCTGCAGCCCTGCTGGCATCTCAGGAGATGGGCCCGAGAGAGGGAGGGGCTGGGGCGGCCCTGCAGGCTCTGCTCACACTGGCCTTGCCTCTCTGGGACTGAAGAAAGGGCTCTGCCTCCTGTTACAAGAGCCCCCAAACAGGGCATAGCCATGGGGCATGCTGTGTTCGCCCCTGCGCCTGGCATCCTGGAGGGAAAAAGCAAGTGCTGTGGGCGGCGTGGCGGGCACCCGGCTCGGCCAGGCTCGCACCGCCGTGGGCGGCGTGGCGGGCACCCGGCTCGGCCAGGCTCGCACCGCCGTGGGCGGCGTGGCGGGCACCCGGCTGGGCCCGGCTCGCACCGCCGTGGGCGGCGTGGCGGGCACCCTGCTGGGCCCGGCTCGCACCGCCGTGGGCGGCGTGGCGGGCACCCGGCTGGGCCCGGTTCGCACCGCCGTGGGCGGCGTGGCGGGCACCGGCTTGGCCAGGCTCGCACCGCCGTGGGCGGCGTGGTGGGCACCCGACTTGGCCAGGCTCGCACCGCCGTGGGCGGCGTGGTGGGCACCGGCTTGGCCAGGCTCGCACCGCTGTGGGCGGCGTGGTGGGCACCGGCTTGGCCAGGCTCGCACCGCTGTGGGCGGCGTGGTGGGCACCCGGCTTGGCCAGGCTCGCACCGCTGTGGGAGGCGTGGTGGGCACCCGGCTTGGCCAGGCTTGCACCGCTGTGGGCGGCGTGGTGGGCACCGGCTTGGCCAGGCTCGCACCGCTGTGGGCGGCGTGGTGGGCACCTGGCTTGGCCAGGCTCGCACCGCTGTGGGCGGCGTGGTGGGCACCGGCTTGGCCAGGCTTGCACCGCCTGGTTGACCACACCATGGGCCCTGGGCAAATTGCCAAAGCCTTCCGAGCCACTGTTTTCCACAGGTGAACTGGGACGCCTGCTTATCTCAAAGGTGGGTTGTGGGGATCCACATGAAACAAGGAATAGCCTCTCATGGTCAGAGGTCAATGGATGCTGCCGTTCTGAGGGTGGCTGCCACCACCTGATGCAGGGTGCGGCTTCCACCATACCCAGGAGCAGCTGGCCTTGGAAGTGAGCCATGTGACCTGCCTTCCGGGCAGACCCCTAGCGGAGCTGAGCATGGTGGTGGGGTGTCAGCAGGGTGTCTGCTTTGCCAAGTCCTTTGCGGACCTGCCCTGAGTTCCTCCACTCTTCCTGGCCAGGGGACTCCAAGCGTGTGGGCGTTGTCAGTAAGTGTCAAGCCTGTGGGCGTTGTCACTAAGTGTCTGCAAACATCTGTGATTCCTCCCAGACACATCGCTGGCTGGAGAGGGGACGTCGCTCGAGACGTCTGCAGGGTGAGGCAGCCTCGCTGGCAAGGGGCCTGATGGGCAGCCCTGCGTGGAAGATGTCCCCAGGGAGGACACAGCACTGTCTCCCAACACCCAGAGAATGGCAGGGAGGGGGCTGGACTGGGTCTGTGCAGCGTGGCCCAAGGTGCAGTGGGGCAAAGGACAACAGGAAATCAGAAAGACAGGTTTTGGCTTTGGAAGAAGGAAACTCTGCTTTACAGGAGGTTGTTCAGAAATGGAAATGAGCCACCCTGAGAGACAGAGAGAGAGAGAGAGAAAGGGGGAGAGAGAGAGAGAGAGAGAGAGAGGGAGAGAGAGAGAGAGAGAGGGAGAGAGAGAGAGAGAGAGAGGGAGAGAGAGAGAGAAGGGGAGAGAGAGAGAGGGAGAGAGAGAGAGAGAGAGGGAGAGAGAGAGAGAGAGAGGGAGAGAGAGAGGGAGAGAGAGAGAGAGAGGGAGAGAGAGAGAGAAGGGAGAGAGAGAGAGAGAGAGAAAGGGGGAGAGAGACAGAGAGAGAGAAAGGGGGAGAGAGACAGAGAGAAAGGGAGAGAGAGAGAGAGGGAGAGAGAGAGAGAGAGAAAAAGGGGGAGAGAGAGAGAGAGAGAGAGAAAGGGGGAGAGAGACAGAGAGAAAGGGAGAGAGAGAGAGAGGGAGAGAGAGAGAGAGGGAGAGAGAGAGAGGGAGAGGGAGAGAGAGGGAGAGAGAGAGAGAAAGAGGGAGAGAGAGAGGGAGAGAGAGAGAAAGAGGGAGAGAGAGAGGGAGAGAGAGGGAGAGAGAGAGAAAGAGAGAGGGAGAGAGAGAAAGAGAGAGAAAGAGAGAGGGAGAGAGAGAGGGAGAGAGAGGGAGAGAGAGGGAGAGAGAGAGGGAGAGAGAGAGGGAGAGAGAGAGGGAGAGAGAGAGGGAGAGAGAGAGGGAGAGAGAGGGAGAGAGGGAGAGAGAGAGAGGGAGAGAGAGAGGGAGACAGAGAGGGAGAGAGAGAGGGAGAGGGAGAGAGAGAGAGACAGAGAGGGAGAGAGGGAGAGGGAGAGAGAGAGGGAGAGGGAGAGAGAAGGAGAGAGAGAGGGGGAGAGAGAGGGAGAGAGAGAGAGAGAGGGAGAGAGAGAGAGAGGGAGAGAGGGAGAGAGGGAGAGAGAGAGGGAGAGGGAGAGAGAGAGGGAGAGGGAGAGAGAGAGAAGGAGAGAGAGAGAGGGTGAGAGAGAGAGAGAGAAAGGGAGGGCAGGAGGGAGGGAGAGTTCCCTGTCACTGTGGGAGGTGCTGAATGGCACTGGGCAGAAATAACAGAGTCAGGGTCCACCCTTTGCATAGGTTGTGTCCGTGCGGATGTCCCATGGATGGTCATTGGCCCACCCTCCATCCTGTGCCTCGCAAGAACCCAGGCACAGGGCAGTTCTATCAGTGGGGCAGATCAGCCTGCCCTGAGCTTTGGCCGCGGTGGGGAAGCTTGTTTTTAGATTTTTCTTCGAAGACACTCTTTTGGAGCCATAGCAACAGAGGAGCGTGAGTTTGGCCTCGGCTCAGGTCATAGGTGGAAGTTTCTGCTGCCCTTCGGCGCTCCAGGGCACCGTGGTGAGGACAGTGGATCCTGCGGCCCCCAGGCTTCATCCTCCCCTTTCTTTTGTTTCAAGGAGGGGCTCCGTGGCTCAGGGGGTTTGAAAAGCACCGTTTTCGAGATGGGTGTCATGAAGAGGGTGCCCAGAAAAAACGTCCTGGCATTTGATTCTCACAGGCTCTCTGGAAGGTTCCCATTTCGGGAAGGAGCATGCTGAGGCCTGGAGTCTGGTCACGGTCACGTCACCCCAGGGAGGCACTGAGCTGGGACTTGGATTCCAGTCTCTCTTGACCAAGGCCTGCCGCGTTTCCACTCCGTGACGAGGAGCGAATGAATAACCAGGCACTTGGCGATGGTCTGCAAGTCCCCAGCCCCGCACCTCCCTGGGCCCCAGAGCGGGTGTCTCTGAGGCTTGGAACATTCCAAGCAGACCTGGCCGGGAAGCCAGCCTCCCCCTCAGAGAAGGCTAAAGGCTGCACGGCCCAGCTCTGGCGGGAGAGGAACCGTGATTGCAGCC
Organism: Homo sapiens; assembly: GCF_000001405.40. Classification (NCBI taxonomy): domain Eukaryota; kingdom Metazoa; phylum Chordata; class Mammalia; order Primates; family Hominidae; genus Homo; species Homo sapiens. The sequence continues at coordinate 133,565,599 of NC_000009.12, forward strand.
TGGCTCGTCCTTTACGGAAAAAAGAAAAAATCCCCTTGTCGGCTGCTTCCCAGGCTGTTTCGTTCCATCCAGCGCTGGGGCTTGGAGAGGCAGGAGCCGCTGGCCTGCAGACACACGCCGCCGGGCGGCTGGGTTCTCTGGATATGGGGAAACCGATTTCCTTCTGGGGGAACTGGCAGCTGCAGCCAAGACCGTTCCATGATGCCCGTCATCCCGGAAGGCTGGGTCTGTCTCCCGTGGCCACACACACACACACACACACACACACACACACACAGCCACAGCAGAAGCAGCAAACCCTAACCCCACCCCAAGGCCGTTCCCACTGCTGCCGGCTCTCCCAGAATCATCCTGCTCCTGGGCAGGGAGCTGGGCCTGTGTGGCAGTTCGGTACCAGGCAAGGGTGCAGGGGCGAGGACGAAAGAAGCAGAAGGTGGAGATGTGGTCAAGGAAGTGGCACTGCTAGGTGAGGGCTGCCTGTCACCCACTGTCCCCCAGTGGGATTACAGAGTACGGGGCACCAACAAAGACAGGCACACAGTGATGATTAAAGAAAGTTCAGGCCTGGCGCGGTGGCTCACGCATGTAATCCCAGCACTTTGGGAGGCCAAGGCGGGCGGATCACCTGAGGTCAGAAGTTCAAGACCAGCCTGGCCAACATGGTGAAACCCAATTTCCATAAAAATACAAAAATTAGCCGGGTGTGGTGGCACATGCCTGTAATCCCAGCTACTCGGGAGGCTGAGGCAGGAGAATTGCTTGAACCCAGGAGGGGGAGGTTGCAGTGAGCTGAGATTGCACCATTGCACTACAGCCTGGGCCACGGAGTGAGGCTCCATCTCAAAAAAAGAAAGTTCAAGAGGATGCTTGCTAAGGACTGGGGCATGCCACAGAGGGCAGGGCGCGCCCGAACCCCCACCATGACCTCTGAGGAGGCTGACGGGGCTGGAGCCGTCAGATGTCACTCCCGCCTGCCTGTCCACCCAGGGATGGGTGGTTGCTGAACGCCTGGCGATGGGGGACACCTGACTGTGTTTGCCTCTGCACCTCCACGGGGGCCAGCTGGAGCAGACTCAAAGCCCGGACTCCGTGACATGGGAACTGGGAGCCCAGCTGGGTTGGGTGGGGCGGGGTGGGGGTGCAAAGAGAAGAGCTCAGACCCGCACAGCTCAGACCCACAGTGCTGCCCTCATGCCACAGTTGCACAAGCTGTGACTGATCCCCAAGCCAGAAAGCTGAGCTGAGAGGTCAGGTGACTTGCCCCAAGTCCTGAGGCCTGTCTGCTGGGCTCCAAGGTGCCGGCATGGCTCACAGACCCACCCCTGTCCCCAACCCAGGGGTCATGTCTGCGTACGCCATGTGTGTCCGCTATGATGGCGTCGAGGTGGATGACAGCTACTGTGACGCCCTGACCCGTCCCGAGCCTGTCCACGAGTTCTGCGCTGGGAGGGAGTGCCAGCCCAGGTACCTGCCACCAGGGGCCCTGGGCAGGGGGTCGGCAGGGGGCGTGAGGGGCTCTGCCCAAAGGAGCAGTCAGACTTACCCCCTGCCCCGTAGAGGTTCTTCGTGTGCAGGGCCGTGGGGGCTCTTCGAGGAGGGGCATACAGACCTCACCCCTCAGAGACCTTCTGGGTCTTCCCAGGAGTTGCAATTTAATCTGTCACTGTGCCTCGTAGACAGTAGGTGCTCAATTAATGCTTGCCACCGCAGATTTAGAAACCATTCTCAACATTATATTACAGCGGTATCTTTGCCCCACCAGGCCCACTTGGCACATCTAGGATTTTTATAAACTCAAGGGATTATTCCCAAGATTCCATGCCTATTGGCTGTCCCTTGGATGTGGGTGGAGGCCTATTTTCTTGACCTTTGGGCCTCGTCTCCTGCCTTGTGGATGCAGTCAGTCTGAGCTGAGTGCATCCTACACCTAGTGACAAGTGGGGTCCCCAGATGAGCCTGAGGGTGCCGGCCTCCCCCGACAAGGATCACACACTCCTCGGAGGCTGAGCCCTCCTGCTCCCCGCACACGGCCACACTGCCTCTTCTTTTCTGGACTCCTCCATCTGGGGCCTCCCACTTCCTGCACGTTTGCTCCTTTCTGGGAAGGGCAGAATGCCCAAGGTCCCCAGAATGCTGCTAAGGCTGGCCCGGGGGTGGGGTCCAGCAGGCCCTGTCCTTCCCCTCAGAGCCCATCAGCTTTGGACCTCTTATTCCAAGTCTATCTGCCTGGAAGACTTCCGGGTCTCACTCATAACCCCTCCCAGCTCAAGCTAAGGGGAAGGAGAGGTCTTTCCCCAGCACGCTGGCCATGCCCCCTTTCTGGACACAGATCCAGAAATGTGCCTTCTGCTCACTTCCACCCTTGCCAGAATCCTGTGGGCGCACAGCCACCTGTGTGACACAGCAGGGCACGAAGGGGCAGGAAGGCCGAGCCCACGCTCAGGGCACCCGCCAACCACCTTGCTAAGGTGCTCCCTGAAGACCTCCGGGGCCGTCATGGCCCAGCCTGCACCCTTGAGCCTCGACACCCTCCTGTCTGGCTTAGCTTGTTGTGTGCGGTTTTGGACCACATAGGGGAGGAAGGGAGGAGCCGCGTTGTCTCTGGGGGTGTGGGTTGCATGGGGTCCCGGCTGCCATGGGGGGGATCATTGAAGGCCATCCGCTCCCGGGGCAGGTGGGAGACGAGCAGCTGGAGCGAGTGTTCGCGCACCTGCGGAGAGGGCTACCAGTTCCGCGTCGTGCGCTGCTGGAAGATGCTCTCGCCCGGCTTCGACAGCTCCGTGTACAGCGACCTGTGCGAGGCAGCCGAGGCCGTGCGGCCCGAGGAACGCAAGACCTGCCGGAACCCCGCCTGCGGGCCCCAGTGGGAGATGTCGGAGTGGTCCGAGGTGAGTGCCTGCGGGAGCAAGCCGGGGGTCGGGAAGAGCTGGGGAGCTGGGCTTGGGAGATGGAGGTGGCTACACCTGTGTCACACCCCCCCTGCCCCCTCCCCCTGCCGCCCCAGTGCACTGCCAAGTGTGGGGAGCGCAGTGTGGTGACCAGGGACATCCGCTGCTCGGAGGATGAGAAGCTGTGTGACCCCAACACCAGGCCTGTAGGGGAGAAGAACTGCACGGGCCCGCCCTGTGACCGGCAGTGGACCGTCTCCGACTGGGGACCGGTGAGGCCTGCACTGAGGGGTGGCTGGGCGTGCGGCTGGTGAGGGGACCCAGAGCTTTGCCTTGATGTGCCTCAGTTTCCATTTTTTTCCGAGGCAAGGGTGTGAGGTCAAGAATGTCCAACCAGCCTTCTCCCATGTTATTATAGGAATCAAAACTTCTCTCCAAACACGTGGCCAGCATCACCTTCCCTCTATCACCTGTTTATCTCTCTGTATCTCTCTCTGCCTTTGTCTCCCTGTGTGTGTCTGTGTCTCTGTTCCTCTGTTGGTCTGTCTCTGTCTCCCCGTCTCTGTTTGTCTCCGAGTCTCTCTGTCTGTCTCCCCATCTCTGTCTCTCTGTGTCTGTCTTTGTCTCTTTCCCTGTCTCTGTCTCTCTCATCGAGAGAGATGCTCAGATGCTAGCTGGGGTCGCCTCTGGGTGGTGGGTGCACAGATGATCTTTTTAAGTGTGCTTTTCTCTGTGTGCTTTTCATCAAGCATGCATTATTTCTGTAATTAGAATAGAAAATGTTATTTAAAAAGTGGTTACCATGGCAACCGCTTCGACACTGCCTGGGAGCCACTCCTCTCCCTTGGGACTGACATCCAGGGCCCCTCCTGGTGTGGCTGCCTCTCACTGGATGTCCCCTGCCTGTCCTCTCCCCTGCAGTGCAGTGGAAGCTGCGGGCAAGGCCGCACCATCAGGCACGTGTACTGCAAGACCAGCGACGGACGGGTAGTACCTGAGTCCCAGTGCCAGATGGAGACCAAGCCTCTGGCCATCCACCCCTGTGGGGACAAAAACTGTCCCGCCCACTGGCTGGCCCAGGACTGGGAGCGGGTGAGTGCCCCAGAGCCCGCGGAAGGGCCTCCTGGTATCTGGAGAGCATTTGGCCAGAGAGGAGAGCCAGATGGCTGGGACCACAGATGGGTGAAAAAGAGGAATTCATTGCAAATTATGAAGGGACAATTCCCTAAAAATTAATTTAGAATACAAAAGGCTTAAAAGGTAGGAAAACACCTTACAAGTCCCCAAATCTCAATTTTGCATGGCTCAGTGGTACGTGCAGAATTGGCATTGCCCCCAGCCTGGGCCCCCAAGTCCCTGGGACGCAGAAAGCTAGGGACAGGGGTTGTTTTGGCTGCCTGCTCCTGGCCCAGGGGCCTTTGCGACCTCTGATCGTGACCAGTGTGTCTTCCGCACCCACCTGTCATCGTCACCAACTTGCCATTTCAGACGAGTTGCTCTCCACAAATTGCTTTCAACCAGCAGCTCCCGGCAGGTCACTAAACCGGATAATCTCGAGCCAAATTGTTTTCTGCTAAATTGATTTTGGCCAAATCATCACTGGCCAGATTGTCATTAGCCAATTTGTTTCAAAACAGATGGTTATGTGCTAAATTGCTTTTGATCAAATCCATCTGGGGCCAAATGGTTATCGAACAAAGAGTTTCCAGCCAGTTTGTTATGCACTGGAGCATTCTCACCCAATTGCTATTGACCAGCCCGTTGTCACCAGAGTCGCCGTGGGCCCTGTGTGTAGGGTCCTGCTGGGCCCTGGCGCTGACCCGCTCCCTCTGCCCCGGCCTCAGTGCAACACCACCTGCGGGCGCGGGGTCAAGAAGCGGCTGGTGCTCTGCATGGAGCTGGCCAACGGGAAGCCGCAGACGCGCAGTGGCCCCGAGTGCGGGCTCGCCAAGAAGCCTCCCGAGGAGAGCACGTGTTTCGAGAGGCCCTGCTTCAAGTGGTACACCAGCCCCTGGTCAGAGGTGAGCTCCCAGCCGGCCCCTCTGAGGTTGCCTGAGGCCAGACCTGAATGTCGATCCCGCCCCTCCCGCCTCAAGCCTCCTTAAGTGCTTCCTGCTCCTCCCTCCCTGACAGCCTCTGTGAGGGCTTTCCTTCCCGGGAAAGCTTCTCAACTCCACCACGTCAGCTGGTGCGAGAGCCAGCACCTCCAGGAAGCCTTCTCTGATCTTGTCCCTGGGATCCCTACGGCACTCGTCCTGGGCCTTTTTGGGCCCGGGAACTCCGGCCTCGAATTGTGGCCTCTAAGTTGCATGTTTGGCAGCCCATGTGCCGGACACCGCGGGACAGACAGACCCCAGGTGGGCGGGGGGAGCAGATTGGGCTGAGGCAGACACAGGCTTGGCCCTCTGGGAGCCACAGCCAAGGCAGCCGCTTGGAATTTAGGGAGACAGTAATAGACATGCACCCCCATGTCAGGACACCGGCGGGGCCAGAGGGAAGGGCAGTACGTCTCCTGCACGGGTCTGGCCCCTCCGAGATTCTTTGACTCTTGGGCCCCCAGAATGCCCCAGCGTCAGGATGTGAGGCAGGACTATGCTGAGATCGCGGTTCTCTTTGTAGAGGGGAGGAGAGCCCTCCCACCCTGAGGCCCTGAGGCACGTGTGGCAACCCTCACCCAGTTCTTTGCCTGAAGGGTCTCCTCTCTCCCAATAGTGCCATGAGGAGAGGTTCTTTTCCCCATTCCTCAGAGGTTCAGGGAGCTCTCTGGCCCACTCGGGGTCCCACAGTTACTGGGGGCTGTAGCAGACATTGGAGGCCAGGCCTGTCCATGGCACTAGAGTGAAACCCAGGTGGGGTGTGGCATCTGCAAGGGAAGGGGGGCCTGAACCAGCTCATCCCAAGGGGCCCTGGGCAGGGAGCCCCGAGGTGGGTGGGCAGCCCTGGTTTCACAGAGGGGGTGGCAAACTGGGTGCCCCCTCGCCCCCAGTTGTCTTGCAGAGCAAACAGGTTGCTTTCACCTCTCCTGCTGTTTTCCCCTTCTGCTGCACTTCCTGTGGGGCCTCCGGGTGACTCCAGAGCCTCGCCATGTGCCAGTGGGTGCCCCTCTGCCTTCTGGGCCCCACGGAGGCAGCCCTGTCTAGACTCCAGCTTGAGTAACTCACATCAGCTGTGACACATCAGCCATCCGTGCCCCTTTCACAGCAGCGCCAGCCCTGGCCCCAGACCCAGCCGCCTCACACCTGGCAATGCCATGAGCTTCTGAGAGGGGGACCTGGGGGTGTCCAGAGGGTATCTGGGAATCACTGGGCAGGTGCTTCCATAGCCAGGCTGTTTACCTGGGGTCTCCAGCTACCTCTGCCCTCAGTTTCCTGATGGGCCAACTCTGAATACCCAGGCGACAAAATGGGGGTGTCAGACGGAACTCAGAGCCTGGAACGTTCATGGTGAAGTGCCCAGGTGTGTATCAGGCCCTGGCGCCCGAGGGCTCCAAGTCTTGGTTGCTGTGGCGGGTGGATGCAAGATCCTAAACCTTATGAGTTCAAGGCAGAGAGTCCAAGAGTCTGTGAGGAGCGAGCTGGGGACCCCAGTGCGGCCCTGCTCAGAGATTGGGGTCCAGGCCCCGGGCCCTTGCCAGGTCCCAGGCTCCTCGTGCACGCTTGGTGGTGTCTGGCCTCCACCCTGCCCCGCCACCCCCCACCCCCCACCCCGCCCCAGGGCCTCTGCCTGCCCTGTAGCACACATGCTTGTTCAGGAGGGAGAACACACACTCACTCATTCCCTGTTGCCCACCAAAGGACCCCCGAGTGAGGAGGGGAAAGGCTGAGGGTGGGCCTGGGGCTTCCCAGGGGAGGCCTGGGCAGAGCCAGGGCCTGAAGGGTGAGCCGGCTTTTGCCGGGAGTCAGCTGGAGAGACCACGGCGTGCCGGGCCCTGAAGCCTCCTTCTGGAAAGGCTAAGCCCGGTGGGAGGGAGAGTGGGAAGGGGCAGGGAGGCTGACTGGGGTTCCAGGGCCCCAGGGAGCCAGCCCAGGTCTGTAGTTTGGGAAGAGCACTAGCTTCAGATGGGGGGGCCACTGTGGGGCCAGGAAACACGGACCCACTAGGTGCAGGTACCTTGCTGGGTGATGAGCCATGGCACGGGGGGAGCCATGAAGCGATGAAGCGGGGACCCCAGAAGGACAGCCTGGGGTGCTGGGGAGGAGCATCCCCCTAGCCCTGATGAGGAGGTGGCAGGGCCAGACGAGGTGCAGCTGGCACAGACGGCTGGTGGGCGCGTGGACTCCTTCTTCCTGGTGGCTGCCCCCCGATGCCGGTGCATAGCGGCGGCTCAGTCAGTGTTTGTTGCCCCAGCTGCCCAGTCCCATCCACTCCCCAGGGGCAGAGGAGCTGGCACCAGGGCTGGCCGGGAATGTGCTGCTCTCCAGAGGCACGTCCAGAGGCTCCTCAGGGCCCTGCCAAAGGCTGATTGTCCTCACGCCGTCAGCGCCAAGCCAGCCTCTCCTCGCCTGCAGACGGTGCCAGCCCCCACCCCCTGGCTCGGAGCAGGCAGGCAGGCAGCAGTCTTTCTGCCAAGTCTTAATCGGTCTTCCTTGCTCCTTTGCAAACAGAAGTGGAGAGTGGGTCCCAGGGCCAGGGCCTCCCACCCCACCCATCTCAGAGGACAGAGGGCTCAGGTCCCAGACGTGCCTGGATGATGTGGGGTCACCCACATTGGGGGGAGTGTGAGGGAGCCACCGCCTGTGGGATCTTGGCAGGAGGACAGCAGGGTGACTGGGGCCAGCAGATGTCTCTGGTGTTCTGGGGAGCTCAGCGGGGTTTTCCAAGGGGAACATCTGGACGGGGAGCCACTGGAGGGGGTGGTGACTTCGCGAGATGCATTTGATCGGCCCACAACAAACAGTCTGCACCACAGACCCAGGAAAGCTGGGGCCAGAGGACCCTCAGGGAGATGGGAGAGGAGGGACCACCCCTCACTGTGCATCTGGGGAGACTGAGGCAGCCCTGCGTGGGGAGAGAATCAGATCCTCCTGACGGCCAGCTAGTGCCTGGACCCCCTGGGAAATGAGAGAGGAGGGACCACCCCTCACTGTGGATCTGGGGAGACTGAGGCAGCCCTGGGTGGGAGACAATCAGAGCCTCCCGAATGCCAGCCAGTGCCCTTTTGTCGGCATCTCAACTCAGCCTTGGAGCCGCAGGTCTAGTTTCAAATGGGCTTCCACGGGTCCTGTGTCAGTTGGGACTCATGGCCGCCTGGGAAGGGTGGGGTGGGGAAGGGGGAGTGTGCAGGTTCCCCGCCCCCTGCCCAGGCCCCTGCCCCATCAGGAGGCTTTCCCCATGCCTTCTGTCTCTCCCACACCAGTGCACCAAGACCTGCGGGGTGGGCGTGAGGATGCGAGACGTCAAGTGCTACCAGGGGACCGACATCGTCCGTGGTTGCGATCCGTTGGTGAAGCCCGTTGGCAGACAGGCCTGTGATCTGCAGCCCTGCCCCACGGAGCCCCCAGGTGAGGCGCGGGGAGGCCGAGGGTGGCTCTGGGAATTCCCAGGGGAGGCGAGGACAGAGTCAGGGCCTGAGGGGTGAGCAGACATTGCTCACCTTGATGGCGAGCCTGGGAACCAGCTTGAGAGACCAAGCTGTGCAGGGAGTGGGGGCTCCCTCCCGGCATGGCCGAGCCCCACTGGGAGGGGAGAGAGGGAAGGGGAATGGGGGAGGCCTGACTGGGGCTCCATGGCCCCAGGGAGCCATGCTGAGACCTGTACTTTGGGAAAAGGGTCAGCTTCAGATGGCAGGGCCACTGTGGGGCCAAGACCTGAATCCAGGATGACTCAGCTGGAGCGGCCAGGGGCTGGCACACAGGGGGCAGGGAGGGGAGCAGCTGAAGCAGGGCCTGGGCACCTGGAGGAGGGACAGGGTGCCAGGTGCAGGGCACGTGATGAGTTATGCTTTGGATACATTGAGTGGTGGACGGGGGGCCCCTGTGGAACCCTTGGGGATGCTTAGGCCTCTGGGTGTGACATCTGTAGCTCCTTTAGGCATCACTCCTCTTGGGACACAGATCAAATCACCTGGCATGATCTGGGACAGCGACATCTTGGGGACAGAGATGGGCCAGGAAGGAGGGGGCAGAGAGCTAGAGATGGAGACCCACCACGGGGTGGGAGGCCCACTGCCCCTGGAAAACGGCACGTGGGGGTCCCTGGGGTTTTCGCCCCTTGGCCACCTCCTGAAACTGCCCTGCTTCGCTCTGTGTTCCTTCTCCAGATGACAGCTGCCAGGACCAGCCAGGCACCAACTGTGCCCTGGCCATCAAAGTGAACCTCTGCGGGCACTGGTACTACAGCAAGGCGTGCTGCCGCTCCTGCAGGCCCCCCCACTCCTAGGCCCGGCAGCTGCAGCCCCTTCCAGATGAAGACCAAGCGCCCCTCCTGGGGCTGCTGCAGCTTCTGGGGCCTCCACAGACCCCCCTCCTGCGGGGCACGCTGGCCTAAGAGACGTGGCACTGAGCCTCGGCTGTCGAGAGGGGACTTCCCACGGCCCGTGGACCTTTGTGCTCCTGGGGCAGAGCCTCCGGCACCCAGTGGCCTCCCCCAGACAGAGCCACCCCTGCCGTGGGAACCTGTCCGTGTTCCTGCGTGGATCCTGTGTTTGTGGCTCCCACTCCCCAGCCCCCCAGCAGCCCCCAGCCGAGGGGCCCAGGGCCCACAGCCAGCGGTGGAGGTGTCTTGCTCCGGGCCCGTAGCCCACGCCCTCTCTGGGTGGCAGGGCCTTCTGAAGGAAACTTGCAGGCGAGCCCAACGTGGTGGGGGGCCTTCCTCCCTCAGAGGCCATGGGGTGAGAGGGGCTCAGGCAGCCAAGGAGGCCCAGGCGTGCTCCCTCTTATGGAGCCCCTCCCATGGAGCTCTCTTCCCGCCGCACTTTCTACCCCGGGCAGAGGCGCTTGCCCACGGGACGTTTGGGGATGGACCTCGGCCCCCGCCCCTGCAGTCAGCGTCAGTGCTCATCTACGTTAATAAAGTGGTCCTATTTATGGCGGCATCATGGGGTCTCAGTTGCCTCTGGCTGGAGAAGTGGGTGGCCTGGGGATTGGAGGGCCCAGGCCTGGCTGTGTGGGGTCCCTCCAGCTCACTGAGGCCTCAGGGGCAGGGGTGGGCCGTGGGGGACCACAGCACCTGCTCTGAGGAGAAAGACAGACGCAGATAAAAGGCAACGAGAGGCGTGGGGAGTGTGCAGGGAGGGCGTCTGGGGACACTGGGACTCAGGCGCTGGAGTAGGAGTGGACATCTCGAGCCCATCAGCAACTGGTACAGGACCTGTGGGGGCAGGGGGCAGGGACCTTGGCTAAGGTGTAGGGCACCCACCTCCAAGTGCGTGGGCAAGAACAGAGGAGATGAGGCAGGTGTTGGGGGCGCGGGGCTGGGCCCACCTTGAGCCTCAGGAAACAGCACCGTCACTGCCGCTCCTGGAGCTCATGGAGGGCTTCCTGACCCGGACTTGTGGGTGCAGGAACGCAGGGGCTTCTGGGGAGGGGCTGCTTGGTTGACCCAGCAGCAGGAGTGGCTTTTCCCAGACAAGAGGGCAGCAAAGAGCACTCAGGAGAGGAAAAGTGACACAGCTGGAGGACGCTGCATGGGAGGAAGGACGGGGCTGTACCGCCCGGAGAGGCCCCAGGAGGTGTCTCTGAGCACGCAGGCAGTCGGGAGGTGAGTGGCTGCCGGGCTGCTTCCTCGATGTGAGGCCAGCTTGTTCTCAGACTGGGAGCCACAGCAGCGTCCATCACAGCTTTAGGGGGGCTTCTGAAGGACTTGGGGCTCTGGGGAAACTAAGGCAGCACCCCCCCCCCCAGTGTGTTCTTGCCTCTGAGTGTGCCTGCACGCGTGTGCACTGAGGCGCTGCAATCAGGATGGTCCTTTCAATCCCTAAAGTCCAGGAATTAAGAGGCCCCTGGGATGGACTTGCTCAAGGTCACCAGCTTGGGCCGGACAGAACCGAGTCCTGAGACCCCGGGGTCTGAGGCCTCTCTGCCCACCTCACCCTTTGCCCGCCCTCACCTCGCTGTTCTTCTCTCCTCCTGTGTCCCCCAACCCACATCTTCCTGTCTTACTGTTTCCTCCCGGCTTCTCCTTTCTGCCAACATTTATTATACACTTACTGTATGCCAGGTTCTGTGCCCAGCACCTCCTCGGTGCTGCCTGGATTTATCTTCCAAAGGTCCCCACGATATAGGCATCGCGATTACCCCATTGTGTGGAGGCTAAAACTGAGGCCCAGAGATGCTCTGTCACTTGTCCCAGGGGACCCAGCCTGTCCCCCCCACAACCCTCTGTCCAGGGGTTCAGAGTCCACTCTGGTAGTTCTCAATGCTGGAAGATGGATAGCCACCGGGAAACTCAAAATCAAACGTGGCCCACTGCTGTGCCCCCAAGCCAGAGAGGAGCTCTCGGCCCCGCCGGGCAGAGCCCTGGCCTGACTGGCTGCATCCGGAAGGAGAAGCTGACTCTGCCTCCTGCGGGGTGGGAGGAAGCCCCTCCCAGAAGGTTGAAGAGCGTGGGTGTGGACGGCCTGGACACCCGGGAGGACGGAAGACGCTGCACGAGAGTGTGGGAGATGTTTTATTGGCTTTCACTTTCCTCAGGGAGCCAGCGGCTCCCCCAGCAGGTCCCCACGGTGGAGCCGAGTGAGCTGGGAGGGATGGGTGCTTACTTCGTTTCAAAGAGATCTACATATCTACAGAGAGGATGGAGACCAGAAAGGAATTGGGAAATGGAATCATGAGGGCTGGGCCCTCATCCCCACCCCACCCAGCCCACCCCCCACGCCAACGCATCAGAAACAGACTTCACAGGATGCACAGAGGAAGCCAGAGGTGTGGGCGGGCCCGGGGGGCCGGGGCTGCGAGGGACCTCAAGGGCGAATGCCACTGGCCTGTCCAAACGAGGCAGGAGAGAAAGTAAGAGGAGGAAAACAATTGAGAACATAACGATTGTGACTTCGTCAGCCGTTCCCCCGACGCCTCTGGAAACTGGCCATTTCGTTTTTGAGTAAGGGCAAGAAGTGTCCTGCTCAAGCCACCCCTCCGCTCAGGGAAGGTCACTGCCCGGCCAAGCCTTGTCTTTGAGGGCGGTGCCTTCCCTGGGCAGAGAGGGGCTGCCCCGGCCCTGGGGCTCCATGGCAGGGCACAAAAGGAGAGGCAGAGCCCCAGAGAGGGAAGGGGGCTCCTGGGGCCAGGCTGCTGAGAGGAAATAATTGCCTCTTTCTGGGTGAGGAAGAGCTGCCTTCCTGATGGCTGGTGTCCTGGGATGTGGGGCATTTCTCTGGGGTAGCCATTGACGTCATTTCCTTAGCAGCAGGAGAGCGGGTGAGAATTCCCAGGAGACCTCAGCCTGGGTGGGCGCTTGGTGGAAAGTGGGCTCAGATGAGGTCTTCAGATGGCAGCAGTAGGCTCTGGCTGCTTGGGGTCCACCAGGAGCTGGGCCAGGCCTCCTAGGTCCTGCTGAGAAGCAGGTAGGGGAGGTGACCTGCAACTCTGTCTCCCTTGGGGATCTCAGTTCCTGTTGAGACCCACAGCCTGAAGACCTCTGTCCTCAGGGTCTCTCCTCATCACACAAGATGGGGAGACTGAGGCCCAGGGGTGGGAAGGGCCAGCCAAGTCTCACGGGGAACTCGGGGGTTTTCAACCCCTGGGCCATGGCTCTGCCCCTGACGAGCCCCGGGCTGCCTCCGTTCACTGCCGCTTGCTGGCCCTGTTTCTGGCTGAGCACTGGGTCTATACATTTCCACGTTGCCTCTCCCACGGCAGGGGGACTGCGACATGGCCTCTCCCTCTCCCCGTGCCTCCCTCTGCCACCAAAAAGCTGGTCAGGGCGGAGCATCCCAAGGGCCCTGATGCCCCTGAAAGTCTCCCTTCTAGGGGGCAGCTGGTCCATCTTCAGGGAGCTCAGCACGTGTCTCAGCCTAGGCAGACACTTGGCCCTTGAACCCGGAAGAGTGTGTGTGTGAGAGAGAGGGAGAGACGGGTAGGGGAGAGAGAGGGAAAAATGGAGAGAAAGAGGCTGGAGTTCAAGGTGGAGGAGCAGAATCCTTGGTCTGCAATTGCCAGGGAGGGCCTTGCTGCAGGGCCCTGGGCCTCACTGAGGTCATCCCTTCCTTGAGCAGGTGAGAAGGGTGAGACCCAGGGAGGGGGTGACACATGGAGACCTCCTGGGAAGGCCAGGTTGTTGGGTCTGAGACAGAATCATCAGGAGTAACGGTGGCCTCTGTGCCTGAGAGCCCTGGTGCATGCCCAGCCGGCTGTATGGTCACCTGGTCCTTCTAGCCCCAGGCCCCAGCTGTGCCTCCCCCCAGGACACATTTGTGTTCAATGAGCCTTATCCCTGCCACGAGCCTGGGGGCTCCCCAAGCCTGGGCCTCCCCTGAGGACAGGGATTCCAGGAGGGCTCAGCCAAGCCCCACTTGGGGCCTGGGGCCAGGTGGGTGTGCCAAAGGAATCCCCCCATTGTCTCAGGACCTTCAAGGCCAGGATCCCGGGGGCGGGCCCAGGTCACACGTCGGTGCTGATGCTGCGGCTCCTGGCGAAGGCCTCCCGCATGGCTGAGAGGCGGTTGGGGTTGAGCGCCTGCAGGCCCCCGAAGCCCCCCGGGGGCAGCTCCACGTCCTCCTGGCTCACGCTCTTGTAGAGCACGCGCTCCCCGCCGTTCAGCACGTCCTCTTCCTCCTCCGGCGGCTCCTGCAGGAAGAAGGTGGGGGGCTCGCAGTGGGAGCAGCTGCGGCAGAGGGCGCGGGCCTGCGGGGACTTCTGGCTGAAGGAGGTGGAGGCGGTGGGGTAGAGCGCCGGCCCGTTGGTCAGCACCAGGTTGCGGTTGGAGTGCAGCGGGGGCAGGTGCGAGTGAACGGCGAAGTCTGGTTCCTCCTCGTCCTCCTCCGACTCGTCCTTCTTGCAGCAGTAGTACTGCGGGCAGAGGGACGGTGACCATGCGGCCGCCCGCTCCCACCCCAGAACCGACATGTGGGAAAGGCTACCCCTGACTGGGGAGGGGAGATAGGCACGGTGGGAGTGGGGTGGCCCAAGCCCAGGCCTGACACCTCAGCTGTTTAACCAGTGCTATGGGTCTCACTCAGGCCAGGCGCAGTGCTGAGCACTTCACAACGATCCACTCATCTCTTCCGCCCAGCAACGTGCAGGTGTGACTGTTATCTCCATTTTGCAGGTGGGGAGACTGAGGCGTGGAGGGGTTCGCAGCCCCACATCAGCAGAGCCGGGGGTCACAGGCACTGGCAGCTGTGTTGCCTCGCCCTGCCCCGATGGCTCCCCCTCATCTCTCAGGGAGACATGGAGACTCTGGATGGCCCTGGAGTGCAGGTGGGAAGGATTGCTCACTGTGACACTCCTTTTGGGCAGCTGGTGCCCTTGGCTAAGTCCCTTCCCGTCTCTGAGCCTCTTTATAAGCTCTGGGTGAGGGGAGTCAGGCGCATCTTACTGAGCCCCATGGTAGGGTCCTGCTGCCTTCTGCTGTGTGTCTTCTCTGCCACAGGGCTCTTCCCCACTTCCCGGGCCGTGACCCTTGTGACCTTCAGGCGGGGCTCCCTCCCGAGGTAGGGGCACCCTCTGGGCCTCCCTGCCCTGTCCCCTTCCCCGCCGCCCGGGAATACCTGGAGCCGGCAGTAGCACAGAACAGCGATGATGCAGAGCAAAATCACAGTCGCCAAGATGCCCCCGGTGATGACCACGGTCCCGGCTGTCATCCGCCCCCTTCTCCATCAACAGCCTGCAACACACGCCGCCAGCTTTAGAGCATCACGCTTCCTCACCACAAAAGTCACTCGTGCTATTCTAGAGAACTGAGAAGACAAGCTGAGGGGAAAAAAGCACCCCAGGATGTGCCTGTGAGAGGCAGGGGCTCTGCCGGGGACGGGGTGCAGCAGGAGCCCAGGTCCTGCTCTGCCTCAGCTGGCCTCTGTCCCTGCCCCTCTCCCAGCCTCAGCTTCCACATCCGTAGAAGGTGGATGCTAATAGCACAGGGTTTTGTGACACTTTTACAAGCGTGTCTCTCCATGCTTAGTGTAGCATGCTGTCAATGAATGGCGCCCTTCCAGCCTGGCTCTACAAGCTTGCACGTTTTTAAATTTACCCAAATGCAGTCAGGCCGAACATATGGTTTTGTAACCTGCTTCCCTGCATTTTCATCTCACACAGTCACCATTATTCTGCCATATCCTTAAATTTTCTTCTGCAACATAGTCTCTAACCCGATTCCATTGTTTCATGTAACTGACTCCTTTTCTTTAAAATGCTTAATTGTGGTAAAGCACACATAAAATGTACCATCTTCACCATTTGTACGTGTGCGGCTTAGTAGCATGAATTATATTTCACACTGTTGGGCAACTAATCTCCAGAATTTTTCATCTTGCAAAACTGAAAACCAATTCCTGCCTGACGTTTGGGCTTCTTACATTAAAGAAATATTTTTAGCAATGTTTTAATAAGCGTCTTTGTAGCTAAGTAATGGGAACCACCTGAACCTGCTTCAGTGGCTTTCAGGATACATTCTTAGAAGTGGGATTTCCAGGCCTAGGGACATGCCCTTTGCAAACTCCTTCTTGTGGAAAATGTCCATCAAACACAACGCAGGGAGGCTGGAGTGATGCTGTCAGTGGCTGCTGCATTCAGCTCATCCCTGTCCTGGGCTGTGCTGATAAACCAGCTCTCAAAGCACCCGGCTGGGAGCATTTGCTGATTTTTGTGGTGTAGATTTTCTTACCATGGCCAGTTTCAGTTCAAGCAAGGTTTGACAAGCGGCTTACAAAATTCCTAAATTCTTCACAATCACCTCTCACAGAGCAGTGGGAGCTGGCGCCACTTCCCTTCCTCAATTTCCCAAGCCTCATTTTTATTTTTTTTTCTTGCTGGGGTATGGGGTGGAGGAAGAGATTGGAGTATTTTAAAGGAAATCACAGAGCATATCACTTTACCCATAAATACTCCAGTGCAGCATCTGACGGAGGAGGATTTTAAAAAAATTACCCAGCCTACGTTTAGCTTTCTCCTGTCGTCTCTGAAATGCCTTTTTTACGGTTGGTTAGTTCAAATCAGGATGTACTTGCTTTTGGCTCCTTTTGCTCTAGAACAGCTCAAAACCCATTCACGCCCCGCACCCCCATGTTGTTTATTGGAGAAACTGGGTTGTTTATCTGACAGAATTTTCCAGGCACTGGAGCTGGCCGGGATTCCTCGCATGGCATTGAACATGCTCCTTTATCAGTGTTTCTCCTCTAAACTGGCTTCCTGTTGCATCACTCCCAGGGGCCTGGTGTCTGCTGTCCCCCTCATCTTGACGTCACAATCAGCTAATGACTGCAGCTGCTCTCGGCCAGTTCTTCCATTGCCAGATTCCGGGGGGTCTCCCAGCCCATTGCTGCAGCATCCTGTGCGTGACCTGGATCTGTTACTTCACTAGGAGTTACAAAGTAGTGACTTTCCAAATGTTATCCTTCTTTCCACGTTTATGAGCTCCAGTTCTTCTTGAAAAAGCTCTAAAGCACATGCCTTTATCATCTGTGTGGTTACCCTAGCATGCGGCCTGCAGAGGGAAGGCTCAGAGGTTCCATTCCTCCCTTTATCAGGGATCAGAATGAGCTGGTGCCCTGAGGTTTGTGGCTGTGTGTGTGCCGAGAGGACGGAGAACAGGCCAGCCCAGATCCACACCTCTCAGTGAACCAAAAGTGACCCTGCCCCCTTTGCAGGCCCCGCGTGCCTACTGGTCCCAGCCTGTTGTCTGCCCCAGCTTGCCTTTCTACGTGGAAACTTGCCCAGTGCAATCTCACTGATTTTTGAAAATATATTTGATGCGTTTCAGTCCACTGCAGTCATGATTCTTTTTGATGTTCAAATGATCCCACTAGGGAGCAAACCGAGGCCTGGAGAGAAATGACCCGCCCAGGCCCCAGCACCAGTAAGATGAGGGATCTGGGTCAGGTCAGGGCTGGATCCGCTGCTACCATCCACCTTGGGGCCCCTGCCACCCTACCCCGACTGCTGAACCCCATGTCTCCTCCACGTGAATGCCTTGAATGCCACAGCTCCTTTGGGGAAGCACACACTGTGCTGATAGCAGGTTTGGGGGTGCTGGCCCAGCCATGGCCCTCTTCTTTGTGCCCTGAGCCAAGAGGCTGGTGGCCACTTCTGAGCCCTCTGCTGCTGTCCTTTCGGCCACAGTTTATTGGGTTTGGGATGGACGTGCACCCCAGGCTGGGCCAGCCGGCCTCTCTCCTGGGAAATGGAATTAAGGCCTGAGACACTGGCCGGTCCCTGCTGGTCGCTTGACCTTGGGTAGAGACATGAGTGCTCAGGCTGTGGCCAGGCTGTAGCCACGGGTGGGGTTTTCAGCCACATGTTGGAGAGTCAGAAGGCGCTGGTCCCCGGAGGGAGCGAGGAAGGCCACAGCTGCCGGAGAGATTGCTGTTGTGGTCCTGACTCAGGTGCCGATCCCTCCCCGACACCTGCAGAGTGACTCCTGCTGTGTGTATGTCACCTACTGTGTGTATGTCACCTGGAGGGCATTTTTGCTATTTGCACCCAGGTAATTATGGCCCCACTTCATCAATGAGGGCACTCACACAGCTTGGGAGGGGTTGAGGGAGGTGGAGGCTCGTGCCCGAGTGTTGTCTGTGGTCATGCAGGGATTAAAATTCAGCACCACCCTCCACTACGGGCCATGGCTGAGGGCCCACTGCTAGGGCTTACTGATAGCAATGGGGGCCACTGCTTTCCCATAGGGAAGCATGGGCCTGGGTGGAGGGGCTCCCACTGCTGTCAGGCTGAGACTGCAGGGAGGATGGAGACTGTAGGTGGCCATGGCTGGGCTGAGGTGCTCCCTCAGGGACAGGTACTGGGGAGCCATACAGGACACCCAGGCTAAACCCCCAAGTGCCAGCCTGGCTTTGCCTCTGGTTAGCTGCAAGAATGGGCCTTCAGTGCCTCCATTCCTCTGCCTCAGTTCCCTCCTCTATAAAATGGGAGAACCCCAGGGGTTCTGTGGGACAGCAGCTGCACCATGCTCAGTGCTGTGCTGATGTTAGGACCGTGTCCCTCCCTGGGTCTGAGTCCTTCATCGGGTCCCTGAGGGAGCTGGCCCCGCTCGCCGCAAAGCTCTCTCTCAGGTCTGAGATGCAGCCGGTCCCTGGCTCCGCCTGGCTGCAGCTCCTCTGGGCCCAGGTCTCCTCCAGCGGAGAGCAGCCTGGCGGCGTGACGGGAAGGGTGCCGGCTCAGGCCAGGTGCCCAGGGCTGTCAGCAGCCACCCTCCAACACCCAGGCTGGTCCAGCTGGAGCCTCTCAGCCTCGCTCTGCAGATACACGCCTGCCGAGGAGCAGCAACGCCCGAGACGGCGCCAGGTCCCAGGGCCAGGCATGGCCGACAGACACACACTCCGCTGGCAGCTCCACCAGCGCCCAGCCTGACATCAGACCACAGTTCACTCCGAGCAGCTCCCAAAAACACGGCCTCCCTGGGCCTCCACCCTCCTGCCTCCCCTCTGCTCTAGCTGTGCCCCACCCTCTGGGATGCCCATCCCCCCCCCGGACCTACCACGCCATCAAAGCCCAGCACGTGCCCTCCTCTCCCAGGAAGCCTTCCTGAACTTTAATACACACCACAGAACTTCAAAACTTCAAACGCCAGAGCTGAGAGGGACCAGGTCCCACCCCTTCATTTAATGGGGGAAGAATATGGACCACCTGCTGCCCTCCCTGAGTGCTTACCTTCAGCCTCCTCCCTGGGGACCCCAGGACTCTACTCAGCTGTGGCCCAGGTGATACGAGTCTGCGGGGCCTCTGTCCTGCTCTACTCTTGCGGGTGACCTTGGGTCAGAGGCCTCTCCCTGGGTTCAGTTTTCTTATCTGTACAATGGGTGTGGCAGGGTTTAGACGCTGATTCCTCCCAACTCTGGGGGACTTGGATTTTTAATTGGTCCTGCCAGGAATCCAGATGATTTAGACACCCAACAAAGTCAGGATTATGAAAATGTAAACAAACATCAAGTGATAAGGCGAAAAAGCCAGATG
Organism: Homo sapiens; assembly: GCF_000001405.40. Lineage (NCBI taxonomy): Eukaryota > Metazoa > Chordata > Mammalia > Primates > Hominidae > Homo > Homo sapiens. Next base: position 133,584,542 of record NC_000009.12, read on the forward strand.
ACACCCTCCAAGGGTAGGCAGAGAACGGGAAGGGCTACAGACACTTTGGCTCCCAAGGATACTTGTGCTCTGAGAAAGCTGAGTGCCTGAGAGAACAGGGGAGGACTTGGCTGCTCAGGGTGGTAACGGATGGGGGAGGAACCGAGGGAAACTTCCTGGAGGAGGAAGCTTCTGAGCCGGGCTGTGAAGGATGGGCTGGGAGAAGAAGGAGAGGGCCTGTTGGTGCTGGGAACAGCACAGGCCAAGCCTCGGAGGCAGAGCCATGCGGGTCAGGCCCAGCAACAGCCTGGCAGAGGCTACTCTGCCGCCTGCTTGTGACTCGAGCCCCACCCCTCTTCCAGCTCCCTGAAGCCTCCGCACTGCCAGCCAAGGCAATTTGGCGAGAATAGCGCTGAATTGTTTATCTGCCCCCTGGGACCATAAATGGTTTTAAAGCTTTATAAATGGCTTTGCTTCCCTGTTCCCACCCCGGGTTTTTACAGGGACAGGTTGTGAGATGGGGCTCCCCTGTGCGTCCCCCACCCCAGTCCACAGAGTCTGTGGCAAGGGGGCCTGGGCGGGCAACAGTCCCCTTCTGAGGGCCCCATCTCGTCTCTGTAGCCGGCAGGGAGAGCCAGCTGCGTTTACAAGCTTCAGTTGTCTCCTGCGGCACCGGCACCGAGGAATGAATGGCGTGGAGCTGGGGGTGGGGCAGGAAACACCTGGCAGCAGAGCCAGACACGGGCCTCCACCTGCCTCCCCCGGGAGCCCCCTCCCCACACCCACCTTTCCCTGGCAGGAGACCCCCTGCTAACCACCATCTGGGCCACACGTCCCGTGCTGAATTTCAGACTCTGCTAGTTTTCTGTCCCTCTTGCCACATCCCCCTCACTTGCCGTAAAGCCCACGGGAACGGACCCCTCCAGAGCTTATTTATTTTGTGCCCCAGCCCCAGCCCCCGCCACTGCCTTGCATGGTACAGGGCCCAGGCGACGCTTAATGAAGGCTTCTGTCTGCCTCGTTCACCTGAGATGCCCAGCGCTCGTGGTAGGAGCCAGGGAGAAGCCAAGGCCTACATCCTCGGCACTGGCCGTGCCCTCTGGCTCATCCAGCCCCGCGCCTTCCAAACCAACCGGGCCCCAGGACGGGGAGCCTGGTAAACACACAGACGTCCCGACGGCAGTGCAGCTGCACGGGCCCTGCAATCTGATGGCTTCACAAGCGGCCCCTCTAACCAGGTGAGGCGGGCGCCCTCCACTTCCAGATGGGGAAACCAAGGCCAGGGCAGAGAGGGCCAACCCTGGGGGCCCAGGGCAGAGCTGGACCTGGAACCCAGGCTTGTTGCCTCACGGTCAGACTCCTCCCCATGCCGGCGTCTCGTCGAGGGCTTATGGAGACTCAGAGCGCCTTTTCTCCACAAACACATCTGTCTGGTTACAAAGGCGCTCCCATTACCTGGAAGCCCAAGGGCCCCGGCGTCCTCGATCGGAGGAGAGCAGCCCGCAGAGTTCCTGTCTAGACCTCCTGCACATTTGTTCCTAATTTCATGCTCCGCGGGCTCCCAGATGCCTGCGTTCAGTAATAAACAGACGAGGAAGTGCTCGGCTGCCCTGTGCTGCCGCGGTTGGTCTCCGAGATGTTATCCAGAGCCCGGCTGGGGGTGGGCTGGCAGAAGGGAGTCTGCGGGGCCTGGAGGGCAGTTCCCAACAGCACCTGGAATGTCTGCCTTCCCAGCTCTATCCCCAGCTCAGCTGCGGGGGGAAGAGGGGGCAGTGAATCAGGCCCCTGCCCACCACGGGTTCTGAGGGGCTTGCGGTCTGTCTAGGAGGCAGAAAATGCCCACAGCAGGGGGACTGGTGCTGCCGGGCTTGGCACAGAGTGGGGAGCTGGTGTCTGGAAAACTCGTTCGTGCCCAGGGTTTGCCCCCGTGGTTGCCTGGATTCCTTGAGGGGCCCCCAGAAAGAGCACAGGGACCATGGCATTTTGCTGGCCACTTCTGGGGTTTCACAGATTTCTAGAAGCTCCCCCCAGACCCCAGCTGGAGAGCCCCCTGGGGTCAGTACCATGGAGGGGCTCTTAGGGTCTGTGGTTCACTGCCCAGCAGAAGCAGGGCACACAGTGTGTGTTTGGCACAAAAGTGCAGATTGTGGTGCCCAGGGGTCTCTGTGCTCTTAAAGAATGGAAGCTGTTTCCACGTTGGGCCAGCCGGAGCTGCTGGGCAGTTGGGTAGGAGTAAGGCAGGGGTGGGGTGTGATGGGGAGCAGTGGGTCCCTGCCTTTCTCAGGACTGCCACCCAACCATGTCAGGGGTTGTAAGAACCAGCATGGCCTCAGCCAGGCTTTGCGGGACTCTGTGCATTCATCTCGTCTCACCCTGGGACCCCCCAGCGTAGGCGGCTTTCCCAGGTGGTGGCGTGAACTGAGGTAAGAGTGGTTCGGCCACTGTCCAGAGCCCACTCCCTAGGCCATCGGGGAAGCAGGGGGTCTGACACATCTCTGCAAGGAGATGACTGACCCATATTTTCTAGGGAGTAAACTGAGGCCAGAAGAGTGAGATGATCCACTGAGCAATGGAAAAGCCGACCGGACAGATGCCTATCCTTGCTCCTCAAGGAGTCTTGCTGAAACTCAAAGCCCATCCCTGTCTGGAGTCCAAGCCACAGAGGCCACTCTCAAGACCAGTTTCAGCTGACCGGCGACCAGGGCGACCCAGGGCTGGAGCCCTGCCTGGCCCACTACTGGCATGGTGCAGAGCTGGGAAGGGGAGTCGAGGGGTGTTGTGGACCAGGAGGAGAGGAGCTGGAGCCAACGCCAAGGCTGTGGATGGCTGGGAAGCCCTGGAGCCATAAGCAGGAAGCACGAAGCTGAAAGGACTAGGTGATTGTCCCCCCCTGGCCTGGTCCCCACCAGGAAGTCACTGTCTGCCAACCTCAGGAACCGTAGGGCAGGACAGGGAGTGTCAGGATCAGGCCTCCTGGCCTCCATCATGGGGCTGTGCCAAAGCCTCCTGGGGGCTCCCTGGTCCTCAGGGGTCACTGCTTCCTCTGACCCAGTGGGCAGGGTCTAGCCTTCAGTGCAGTCAGAGGCTGGGTCAGGCGGAGCTGAGATAGCCCCCACCAGGCAGGGTGTGGGAGGAGAGGGGACCCCGGCTGAGGGCTGCCTGGTTGCTCCCTGGGCCTCCTGGAGATGAGTGGCTTGCGTCCCCGACGGGTGTGGCTGGGACTCTCAGGCTGGAGCTTTGGGTGGTCTGAGGGAGGCGGGGCACTCAGACCATCACCCCAAGAGTCAGGCCTGCCTCAAACCTCACCTTCTGCCCAGTCTAACTGACCCCACTTTCTCAGGCTGGGGTCCCTGAAGCTCTTTCCTGGGATCTCCCTGGGAGCCCCTGGAGCAGATAGGGAAGGGACAGAGAAAAGAGAAAAAGGTGATGGGCGAACGGGGGCGCGAACGGGGGGCGAGCCTGGGAGGGGAGGGGAGGGGAGGGTGGGAGCCCAGTGCTCACCAGGACCTCACTGCTGCTATCTGCCCAGGAAGCCAGGAGCAGCCACAGAGGCAAAGGTGAGAAGTCCCCGCACCCTGAGCTGTGAGGCTGGGCAGTGGGGAAGCCAGTAGCACTCCCTGCTTTGGCACTAGGGAATTGCAGACCCTGTTCAAAAATCACTGACCAGTCCCAGCCCCTTTCTGCTGAGACCGAGTCGGGGATCGTGGGAGATGGGGGAACCACTGGCCCTGTCTGGGGCAGAGCAGCAGGCAGTGCCATGGGGGTCTCAGATAGATCATGCTGGTGGGAGGCCTGGCCTGTGGGGCCCTTCTGTCAGGAAGGCTACCACGCTACTTAAGGACCTTGAACAGAAAGATTTGGGGAAGAACTTGCAAAAATAAAGCTTGAGTTGTGGCCGCTGCTGTCAGGCCTGAAGTTGCCACCTTTGGCTCCAGGTCCTGCTTGCCCAGAAGAGGGCACACCTGGGCTGCATGGCCCAAGGAGGTTGGATCCCAACTCTGGGGTGGGGGTGGGCTCAATGGTACAGAAGGATCTAGCATGTTGAGGGATTAGCATGCTGAGGGATCTAGCATGTTGAGGGATCTAGGATGCTGAAGGATCTAGCATGTTGAGGGATCTAGCAGGTTGAAGGATCTAGCATGCTGAGGGATCTAGCATACTGAGAGATCTAGCATGCTGAGGGATCTAGCATGCTGCTGACCCACTCATTGTGCAGTTGGGTGGCTGTGCTCCCCAGAGAGGGGACCTTGCCCAGGGTCACCGGGCACATCTGCTGCAGAGTGAGACACAGGCCAGTCACCCTGAATGGTCGTGGGCGCCAAGTTGTTGGTAGAGGAGATGGGAGAAGGGAAAAGGACTGGGTTTCTGGATGCTGAGCTCAGCAGCCTCTCCCAGAAACCCCTGCTCTCCTGTTCTGACCACCTCGTGGTCTGAAATATTTATGCACATCCCTGAAGAAGCTCGTGGTTCAGGCCCCGTCTCTCTGTCAGGCCCTACAACTGTTGACATTGATGATTTCAATACAGCAGAGAAACCTGCTTTTCAACAAGTAGAATGCTCAGCAATACCCCCGGAAAATACCCCCTGGGAAATCCCGTGAGCTGGGGCTCCTGCCCGTGCCATCCTGTGTTGCCCCACTGGGGTTCCTGAACCGTAAGTCTGAACAGGTTCCTGCCTCACTCAAACACCCTGCATGGCTCCCTATACCTCTTAATAATAATAAGCACAGGATCCTGTGCCAAGCACCACTATCTCTGTGCCAGGAGGGCATGGCACCCTTCACCAATGTCTCCTTCAATTGCCGGGACAGCCAAGGCAAAGATTATTATTATGCCCATTTTACAGACAAGGAAACAAGAGAGCCAAGGAGTCTAGCATGGGGAGAGAAAAGCACAAGGTCACATGGTGAGGGGTGAGGGCTCCAGGGGTGAACATGGTGTGCCACATCAAATCTGATGTATCTCCTTTTCCTTCCATCCCCCACCCTCAGCTTGCCTGTAGGGACGGGGTAAACTCACCGCCTTCCCTGCATCAGACCTAAGCCCCATGAAGGCAAGAACCTGGTTTCCCACTGCAGTCCTCCGGCCACCAGGGGGCGACACAGCGCGCACACACACAGTAGGGCGGCATTGGTGCTGATTTCAATGCAGTGGGGGCCGCGGCCCACACTTGCACCGCAGGCCCTGAGTGAGCTGGGGTCTTGCCCTCGTGACCCCCACCCTCACCTAGCTGATCCCCAGTGTTTCCCAGGGGGCGGGAACAGCAGCACAGAGCTGTAGGCCAGGCCAGGGCTTCAGGCCGCCAGGAAAAGGCAGATGAGATGCACCAAGAACATTCTGGGCTGCAGTTTCCCGATCTCCCAGCCGTGGGTCAGGAAATGGGGGGTGGGAGGGTAGGGCCTGAAAACCCCGGGCAAGTCCCAGCTCAGCTGCCGACGGGGCTGGCTTTTTGTCTCCCTTAAAAATACCAATGTGCAGAAGTTGGGTTCGTAAAACCCTCTCTGCTGCTGGACTTAAGTTCCCTTCCCTTCCCTTCCCTTCCCTTCCCCTTCCCTTCCCCTTCCCCTTCCCTTCCCCTTCCCCTTCCCTTCCCCTCCCCTTCCCCTCCCCTTCCCCTCCCCTTCCCCTCCCCTTCCCCTCCCCTTCCCCTCCCCTTCTTTCCTTTCCTTTCCTTCTTTCCTTTCCTTTCCTTCCCTCTCTCCTTCCTTCCTTCTCTCTCCTTCCTTCCTTCTCTCTCTCCTTCCTTCCTTTTTTCTTTTCTTTTCGTTCTCTTCCTCGAACTGAGCCCAGCTCCTGGTCCCAGTTCAGGGCCTGGAAGGCGGACGGGAGGGAGGGCCAGGCCAGGACTTGCTGGAACGACCAGAGCTCTCGTTTAGTAAACAAATAACTTAGTCCCGTGCTGGGCTGGGGGCTCCCCGGTGCTTCAGTGAACCCTATAGGCACAGCCGGCGCAGGCACTTTGAGCATCCTCATGCAAAGATGAGGAAACGGAGGCACAAAGAGGGAGGAAGCACAGGCTTGATGCACTTCCAGGCCTTTACCCACCAAAATGGCCCAGCACCTTGAGATAATGTTCGAGAAAACTCCTGGATGCTCAGTAAAGCCCTCGCTGACTCAGCCTTACGGACAGGAGCAGGTGGACTCTCTGCTCAGTGGGGACACGCCTGGAGTCCCAGGAGAGCCCCGAGAGCCAGTAGACACATGGAAGGCACCCCAGACCCCAGCCAGCAGCGTGGCCCGGAAACTCTGCCCCCAGCCAGGAATTCCAGCCCTTACCAAGGTCTCCTCTGCCTGAGGGGCCGCTGGGTGTCAAGGGGCCGACAGAACAGCATTCTCGGTCAGGACATGGGACACATGGGGCCAGGTTGAGAAAGAACCCTGGATACTACCATTGCCCTTTGTGAAGGAAGCTTCTGGGGATCCTGAGAGAGGTACCAGCTCTGAAGCTCCTGGCCCTGCCCCCTGCGTTGGCAGAAAGCCTCTCTCCTTGGGTCCCTCAGCAGGCAGGCAGGCTCTGGATAGGGCAGGGCCCAGCTACTGGGGCATCCTGGTCTGTCTTCCAAGGCCCAAGCCCGGACCACCCCACTCATGAGCAGCTGCCTCCCTTCTGGGTCTACCTTGCACTGCCATGACCACCCTCTGCCAAGCAGCTGGCCTCCTGGGGCCAGGGCAGCCTCTTCCGCAGTGGCAGGCACCTGCTATGCCCTGGCACTGGGCCCCTGTCTCCCAGCCCTCTCCATCCTGGGTCCATCACAGCAGGCTTTGTATTTACTTAGGCCAGGAACCAGGTGCTGTTCCGGATGGGGGAGACACCCAGGCCCAGCCTCAGGGCACTGGCCACCTGGGTGTCCTGTGGGGGTGGTAACTGTGGCGGAGATGACACCCACATTTTCCTGTTGGGGCCGTGCACACACAAGCTCATCCTGCCCCTCCTCCTGGCTTGTGTCCCTGCAGGGGACCCTGCCTGGCCTTCTCCACAGCCAATGTGAGCCCTCCCTGGTCCAGTCCTCCCTGGTGCCCCCATAGCACCCGTCCCTCACATTGGGCTTACACCAGCATCCCCCGAATGCACTGAAACCTGGCTGCGGGCGCTACCCTGCAGCTTCGGACTCAGGGGGGCGGAGAACATGCCTTTCTCCCAAGTGCCCAGGGGATGCTGATGCAGCGGGCGCGGGGAGCACACTGGGGGAGCACACTGGGAGAACCACTGTCCCGAAGGATGGCCCCCAAAGCAGGTCTGGCCCAGCAGGGGCTCCTCTGAGTGAGTCCTCACTCCTTGGGACCAACCTGACCCTCACCCTAGGCCTGTCCGTGTGGCCTCTGCCTCAGGACGGGGACCGCTCTGGGGATGCACCTGCTGGCCTCAGGGGTTGTCCCTTGGCCTGGGAGACCCCTGGCACCCCCGCTGTCCTCTCCTTTCCAGGTGACTGGCTCCTTCTGGCCCTTTAAGATGGTGCCGGGCCTCGCCTTCTCCAGGAAGCCTGCGTGACCTCCCTAGTGCTCGCGGCCTGGCCCACCCTGCTTGTTTTCATTTTCCTTGTTTTTCTGGAGCTGCTCCCTTGGCCAGCCTCCCCAGGACACTGTGACCTCGTGTCCAGCTCCACGAGGGTGGGCCCTCAGCCTCACCTTGATGCACAGGCCTGGTAAACAGTGGGTGCTCCATAAATGCCTGTGGGCCGAGTCACTGGCTGAGGCGGAGCCCCTGGGAACCAAGCACCCTGGGAGGGCTGAGGTGGTGCCGTGCCCCTGTGGGATTTCTTGTCTACAGGAATCACGACTGCAACTCCAGGGAGCAGAGATGCATCCCCCTCTGCCATCGGGGAAGTTTTGGGAAAGTCAACCTGAGCTCAGAATTGAGCTTGCCCCTGGGCGGCCTGAGAGGGAGGCCGAGGGTGTGTCCAGCAGCCACTAATGTCCACCCCACTGGTCAGGTGGACTGGCAGCCTGGAGCCATAGAAGAGTGCCTTCCCTCTTCCAGGAAGGTGCCCACGCTGGCTGTGCTGAGGGGCTCACACAAGAAGGGCGAAGGGGTGGGGAGGCTGCGCCAGTGAACATTGCCCTCTCCGGCCAAGGGCCTGCCCTCTGCCAACTCGCAGCCACTCTCCTTGCCTTTCAGCCACCACCCTGGTCCTGCAGCCTTGCAGATAACTACCAGTCTGTGTCTCCCCCAGGCCAGTGACTTCTTTACTTAAAGCACCATCAGCATCAACTGGGAGCTTGTTAAAATGCAGAGTTCCAAGTCCCACCCAGGCCGGCGGGGGGGTCAGAAACTCTGGGGGTGAGGTCCAGCAAGCCCCCGAGAGGATTCTGACCGATGCTGCTGGAGAGCAACAGGCTGACCCCGGGCTGCACACTCGAATCACCTGGGGCAGTTACACCTGCCCCAGACCTGGCAGCATCCCAGGCCACTGACAGGACAAGCTCTAGGGGTGGGCTCACGAACCAATACTTGCACAGCTTTGCTGGTGGTGCCAATGTGCAGCCCAGGCCGAGGCCCTCTGAGTTAGGAACACGGAACGCGTGTGAGTGCCGTGTGCGCCTGTGCGGTGCGGGTCAGCAGGAAGCAGAGCCGCCCTCTCATCAGTCTTTACAGGGACCTGGGTCATGCTGGGACCTGATGAAGGTTTCCCCCCCTGTATCGCTGTGCCCATTCTGCAGATGAGCAAACATCAGGGAACTGATTTGCCAAGGCAATGCAGCCAGCAGGAGGCAGACTCTCCCATGTCAGCATCTCTTCTTGCTCAGCCAACCAAGCAAAGTGATGCCTGGAGTTGGCTGTTTCCTCCTGTATCTCATCTCCAGAAAATCCTGCCCATTTAGTTCCCTGAGTAGCTCCAGAGTCCAGCATCTGTCCACCACTGCCATCCATACCCTCTGCCACCCCCAGCCCAGGCCACCTCCACTGGCCCCTCTGCCAGCCGAGGTCATACACCTGCTCCCAGGCCCTCACCTCCATGCCCCTGCTCCAGTGTGCTTATACCTGTTGCTATCACCTCTCCCTCCCAGCCCCGGACACCTCTGATGCTGTGTCCATATCTGCCTGGGAGTCAGAAAGGCTTAGGCAGGAATCCAGACTCTCCCCATTAGCATCAGGGCGACCATGGCCTCAGTCTTGTCTCTGAAACAGGAGAATTATGACAATCTCCAGCTTTCCTCCCTCCTTTCCATGGCATCTGCTGAGAGTCAGCTGTGTGCCAAGCACAGCCCGGTGCTGGGGCCAGGGTCCCTGCCTCATCCTGGCCCAGGGAGACAGGCTGTCGGCAGGCTAGATTCGCACCCCGGCCCCGAACCTCAGACACTGCCCAGGGGCTGGCAGGGCCAGTGGCTTTGATGGCGCCTCACTGGCCTCTCCTTGGAATTTCCCTTCCTAAGTCTGGGCTGGGAGCTCCAGGGCAGGCCCGTCTCAGCCACATCCACTCCCCCTCTGCCACCCCCAGATCCATGGGGCTGGCTCTCAGTGAGAGGAGATGACAGGGGTGGACCGTGTGGAGCAGGTTCTGGGGCTGCGGGGACATTTCTGTGACTGTGCCAACTGGTAGGACTTCAATTATGTTTTAACGAGACAAGATCAGCTTGTGTAGACCACACTGAGGTTTGGTTTCCTATCCCAGTGGCCACGTCCAGAGCTGTGCTCTCGGAATAGTGCCAAGGTTTCCTTTACAGCGCATTTGTTTCCCGTAAGGCATCCCCATCAGTCCATCCAAGGAATCTCTCTGGAACACAGCTCCTGATCTAGGTCCCGAACATCTGATGTCCTGGGTCCTCCAAGGTTGCTCCTGATTTACATTTCTGGCCTCACCTGCACTGCCCCAATGCCCTTTAGACTTGTCTGGGTAAGAGGTTGTTCCTCTGGCCTCCCAGCCACCAACTTTGCATTTTCTTGCTTCTGGGCCTTTGCTAGTGTCATTCCCAGGACCTCGAACTCCCCTCCAGCTCTGCGTACTGAGATTCCTGGCCATCTGTCTCCATGCTCCTGGAGCAAGCCTTTCCTGATTCCCACCCCTGAAGATGGCTCCCTCTTCTGGGCTCTAGTAGCACCCTCTGTCTGCACCACATGTTTGGCATTTATAGTTTATTAATAATTCAGCAGCAAATATTCTTTCAGCTCTTACTGCATCCTGGGCCCAGCTTTGGGTCCCTGCTTTTGTGGAGTTTTCAGTCCTGTGGGGGGACATGAATGTGCACTGGTGATTTCGGGAGTGCAGAGAGGAAGAATGGGGAGTGTTAACAGGGGTGGCAGCCAGGAGAAGTGACCCTGAGTGAGGGGCCCAGATGCTGAAACCTGAGGATGAGTAGCGAGAAGATGGGAAAGAGCACCCTGGGCAGGAAATGGCACTTGCAAAGGCCCAGAGGCAGGCAGGGCAAGGCAGGACCTGGAGAAGCCCATCTTGCTTGGAGTATAAGAGCAGGAGGGGGACAAGACAAGAGGGGCGAGGTCAGCAGAGACCCCGCAGGCAGCAGGGCGTTGGTGCCTGAGCCAGCCTTCCTGGAGCCCTGTCCCTGCCTTCCCTGTCACAGCTTGGTGCTGCTCCTTCCTCTCCAAAACACTTTCCAGGTCAGTCTTCCTCACATTTTAACGTGCATCGAGTAGCCTGGGGAGCGGGGCTGCAGGACTGTGCATTTGTTTTTGTTTGTTATGTTTTTGAGACGGAGTCTCCCTCTGTCACCCAGGCTGGAGTGCAATGGCACGATCTCAGCTCATTGCAACCTCTGCCTCCCAGGTTCAAGTGATTCTCCTGCCTCAACCTGCCAAGTAGCTGGGACTACAGGTGCATGCCAGCACACCCGGCTAATTTTTGTGGTTTTAGTAGAGACGAGGTTTTGCCATGTTGGCCAGGCTGTCCTCCAACTCTTGACCTCAAGTGATGATCCTCCTGCCTCGGCCTCCCAAAGTGCTGGGATTACAGGCGTGAGCCACTGCACCCGGCCAGGACTGTGCATTTTTAACAAGCATCTGGTGCTGCTGGTGCGGCATCCTCGGACCACACTTTGAGGACAAGGGGCTGTAGCCCTTGGCTTCTGGGGCATTGTGCTCTCCCCGATCTCCCCCTCCCTCCTTGGCTGGCTTCTCCTACTCTCCTGACCTCTAAGTGTGAAGGGGCCCAGGGTCAGGCCTCAGGTTCCCCTTCCTTCCCCATGTCCACCCGTTCCCATTCCACCCTTCCCACAGTGGCTTCCCCCACTTTACAGCTTCCAGGCCACATATCAAAAATATCCCCTGCTCCATGGTTGCTCTCCACCCCCTTAACCTGCCTGGTTTGTACCTTTACCCCATACTTGGCATATTATATGTTCATTTACTGTCTGTTTCTTCCCTCTGGAATTTGAGTTGCTGAGGACAGGGGCTCGGTCTCTTTATTCTGGTGCCTGGAATGGTGTCCTGGGCCCATGGTGGGCACCTGGTGACTCTCAGCCGAATGAGAAGTGAATGTGTTCAGGGCAAGGGTCAGAAGGGGGCTGGCCAGGAGAGTAACTGGACTGGTTCTGCTTTTGGTAGTGGCTCTGTGGCTGCGGGTGCAAGGCAGGCATGGTGGGGTGGGTGTGGAGGCAGAGTGGGAGGAAGCCGTTCAGAGGCTGTCATGGTCATCAAGAGGGAGGAGGTGGTGGGCTGGAGAGAAGGGGATGGGGGGATGAGTGGGAGGGAGCACCAATAGGGCTTGTTGGTGGTTTGATGGGGAGCAGGGAGGAGTCCTGGGAAACCAGAGGCTTCTGGCCCGGGCGGCTGTGCGGGGAGCCCCCGAGTTTGCCATGCTCCTGTCTGGGAGCAGCACGGTGGCTGCCACTTGAATCTGGGCTGTGCATCACCTTGGCTAAGTTTCTTCGTTCCTCCATGTTTCAGTTTGATAAAATGGAGATGACAGTAGAAGTCTCCCCATAACTGGTGGGCGGGGGCGGGGGTGGCTCACCCTTGTCGTGCAAAGCAGCATTAGCCAGAGTTTCAGCCAAGATGGGGTAATGGGGCCCAGGCTTGCCCTCCTGCTTGAAGGTGACACCAGTGATGAAGGAAAGCACTCCTCAAGCCATGGGGGAGAGACAAGGAGGGCCCTGTGGTGGCCCCAGCTCCCTCCAGCTGGAATCCCAGGCTATGGTGCAGGGAGCTCAGGTGCAGCCCGCTGCTCTCCCTGAGTTGCAGAGAGAGATGATAGCCCAAGGAGGCCAAAGTAGCCGGAGGTCACAGGACACAGAACTGGGGAGGAGCCTGCTGCTCCGTGGGGGACCGTGGAGCCACAGGGCTCTGCAGAGGGTCCCCCATGAGTAGCTGGCTGAACAGTGACTCAAATGTGAGCAAAACTACCTGAGGCCAGAGAAAGAACTAGCTGATAGGATTCCAGGGAACAATATTTGAAGCTCTCACAGGTCCAGAAATAGTTCCTCTTCCCACCAATCAGGGAAGGTTCTAATTCATGAAGCACTGGGTAGAGCTGCTCTAGACTTGCCTAACAAAGCTTAAAAGCAAGGCCTGAAAGGATCAAACTATTTCCCAATAACTGAGCTGCATCCCAGAACAGACATCACAAATATGTATTGCAATATAACAATGAAGTGGAATTCAAAATATCTGGCATCCAGTAACAAATTACCTGGCATGGAAAGAAGCAGAAAAATACAAACCACAGTGAACAGAAAATCAATTCATTGGAACTAACCCCGAAGTGGCACAGATGATAGAATTAGGAGACAAGGGTATTAAAATAGTTATTAACTGTAGCTTATATGTTCAAAACACCAGAGGAAAACTTGAGCATATGAAGTAGAGACATAGAAGATAGGAAAAAGAACCAACCGAACTTCTAGAGATGAAAACATGACAATGCCTAAGATGAAAAATGCAGTGGATGGAATTAACCTCAGACTAGATATTACAGAAGAAAACATTAGTGAACTTGCAGAGAGCAATAGAAGGGATCCAAAGTGAAATAGAGAGAAAAACATCAATAAACGAAAAAAACAAACAGAACTCAGTGAGGTGTGGAGAAGTTCAAGGGGTCTAATATACGTATAACTGGAATCTCCAAAGAAGTTGGAGCTGGTGCAAAAAACAATTAGAATAAATAAATATTGGCTGAAAAATTTCCAAATTGGATGATATTATAAACCCACAGATCCAAAAAGCTCAACAAACCACAAACACAAGAAACAAGAAGAAAACAACACCAGGGAACATTATAATCAAATTGCTTAAAACCAGCAACGAAGGGAAAAATCTAAACACAGAGCCAAGGGCTGCATGACCTACAAGGGCTCGAAGGTAAGAATGACAGCAGACTCCTTGCTGGAGACAATGAGAGCCAGGAGACAATGGAGTGGTGCCTTTCGAGTGCTAAAAAAAAAGAAGGCCGTCAACCTGGAACGTGCAATCCAGAAAAAGAAAAAAAACCCTTCCAAAATGAAGGGGAGATGAAGAGCAGCATTTACACTGTCTCCTCTTCTAGACTTGTCCAGGGGACAGGGCTCAAAGCTCAGCTCCTTCTCAGACACACAGGTCTGGACCTACCACTGTGGATTCTGATTTTCTCACTGGGTTTGGGTCCCAACCTGAGCCATGGTGACAACATCTAAGTGGCCAGTCTGGGGCTCCCTGCTCAGCCTTCAATCTCACAAAACCCAGCTTCGAGGCCTCCCTGGGAGCCAGGCGGCGGGAGGTATTTTGCTCCTGGGGGACTGGGTGGAGTCGGGCTTGTCTTGTTAGAGGCAGGGTTGAGGAGACAGCAGCTCCTCAGGGGCTCTCCCCCTGGGGACCCCAGTCCCTTGGGCCCAGGCCCTTCTGAGCGAGCATGGGGTGGAACAAGGCACAGGGTGGGGTGTGAGGCATGTTCTGCACACCAACCCTGAACCGTATGCATCCTTACCCATCAACACAGGAGTGTGAAACAAAAGAGAAGTGCATTTGAAAAAAAAAAAACAACAAACCAAAAAATATATAATGTCTATTTTAGCTGTTCACAAGGTTACAGGCAGTTTCCATGGCTACAGCTGTGTGCTGCGTGTGCTGGGGTGAGGAGGTGGGGCTCTTCTTAACCCAACAGTTGGGGCACTTAGATAATTTCGGCCCAGGAGCCAGGCACCCGCTGCTGGTGGGAGAGAGGGAGGGAGGGAGGGAGGGAGAGAGGGACCGCTTTCCCAGGACTGTGATGTCAGTGGTGAATTAGAATAACGCACTCATGCTCCTTGGCACACTGTAGTTTTGGCTGAGTTTTTGGGTCTATATCTCCCCAGAGAGAGCAGCCTGAGAGTTAGAGACAGGAGTCCTCATCTTATTTCACAGGTGGAGCACTGGGGACAGGGACCTGAGGCACCAGCAAACAGGTGGCAAATGAACACCTGAGCTGCTGGTTCATGTGCCTGTCCCCCAGGGCTCCTTTCAGTGGCCCCTCTCAGGCTGCTCAGAACAAAGGTGGCCTGAGATCCCTGCCCTCATCAGGGAGAGCCCAGGGCAGATGGAGGGGAAGGATGCCAGCCTGCCCCTGCTGGATGCAGGCAGCACCCCCTCCCCCAGGGGCCCTCCCCCCTTCCCTGTGAGTGGCCCTTGCACCCCTGCCCTGGGGGCACCTTCCACCTGGCCTGAGCGCCACACTTTCAGCTTTGTCTCCCACCCTCCTCCTGTCCTGCCTCTGGGCTCCAGCCATTCTCGCCTTTAAATGCCTCACCTGCACAGAGTTCGCCTCTGCCTCCTGGCCTTTGCACACACTGCTCCATCGACTCGGAACTGCCATCCACTCCTTGCATGGTCAGGTCAGGCTGCTGCTCAGCTCTCAGCTCAGACGTGACTTCAGGGAAGCTTTGCTGCTCGCCCAGGCCTCCTCTGGGCTCCCCTTCCCAGCACATGGTGCTGCATTGTGCCACAAAGGGAACCTGGGTCCCGGGACCCCACTGCAAGCCCGACAGCAGCTGAAGCCTGTGTCTGTGTGTTTGCATCTGTGTGTGTCTGTGTATCTGTGTCTGTGGGTATCTGTGTCTATGTGTGTCAATGTGTAAGGGGTGTGTGTATGTGTGCATGCATATGTATGTGTCTGTGTGCATGTGTTGAGTGTGTGCATGTGTTTCTGTGTATGCATGTATGTGTCCGTGTGCATGTGTGAATGTGTGTGTGCATGTATCTGCATGCATGTATGTGTAAGTGTGCATGTGTTAGTTGTGTCTGTGTATATGTGTGCATATGTGTCAGTGTGCATGTGTATCTGTGCATGTGTGAGCATGTGCATGTGTGTCTGTGTGCATGTGTGTGGTCTGTATGCATGTACAAGTGTGTTTTTGTCTGTGCGTGTGTGTGCATGTGATCTGTGTGCATGTGTGTATATGTGCATGAATGTGTGTCTGTGTACGAGTGTGTGTGCATGTGTGTGCTAGTGTGTCTGTGTGCATGCATATGCATGTGCAAGTGTGGGTGTGGTCTGTGTGCATGTGTGTGAGTGTGGTCTATGTGCATATGTGTGTGCGTGTGTGCATGTGTGTGTGTCTGTGTGCATATGCGAATGTGTGTGTGTGGCCTGTGTGCATTTGTGTGCATGTATGTGTGGTCTGTGTGGATGTGTGTGAGTTTGTGTGTGCATGTGTGTGTGTCTGTGTGCATGTGTGCCTCTGAATGTGTGTGGTCTATGTGTATGTGTGTCTGTGTGCGTGTGTGAATGTATGTGTGCATGAGTGTGAGTCTGTGTGCATGTGTATGTGGGAATGTGGTCTGTGTGAGTGTGTGTGTGTGGGGGGGAATGTGGTCTGTGTGCATGTGTGTGAGTGTGGTCTGTGTGTGTGTGTGTGTGTGTGTGTGTGTGTGTGTGTAGTGCTGAGAGTGGATGAAGAGCAGCATGCAGGTGCAAAGGTAGAGTCCAGCAGCCTGGCCCATCCCAAAGAGACTGGCTGGCCCACACGGCAGCCGGGGCAGGGGCGTGTGCCACAGTACCCCTGTTTCCCTGTGGTGCCACCCACTCTCAGTTTAGTGGAGCCCAGGTCACCTGGCACTTACGAGGGAAGCCCCAGATGGCCCCTGCAGCTGGGCCTCTAGATTCCTGCAGTTCATTTAAAGCTGGGCCCAGCTTGTTCCCTGGAGCTTTCGATGGGGTCTGCAGTGGGATGGGGTGGGAGCAGGGGTAAAACCAGAGGGTAAAAGGATGGGTGGAAGCCCAAGACTCGTGGGGCTTGAGGAGAGGTTGGTCTAAGCTCCTGGAGTCGCAGGCTCCCAGAATCTTAAAGCCACATTTTAGAGTCTTAAAAATCAGAACATGCAACCAGTGGCTGCTCAGAATCTGAGACTCCTTTCCTCTTCGATTCGGAAGGGACTTTGGAAGATAACTAGTGTAATCGCAAGCTCAGTGAACAATCACAGACGCTCCCTAACCCCCTTTCCCCTCGCAAATAACAATTCATCCAAGGCCATTAACTCAACTCTCCCTTGGTAGGGGGTAGGGGGGGAGCTTCATTGCCTCGAGTTCCTGGCTGAACTCCAGACATTTTGCTCTTCCCTGACATCAGCCCAAGTTCTCTCCCAAGTACCAGCCATGAGGACCCCTGGGAGGGCCCTACCCGCCTGCAAGCTCTCTGGGAGCAGGGCCTCAGAGGGCAGCAGAGCCTGTGAGCTGACAACCCTTCTTCCATCCCTCACTCTACTCACTCCTCCTGGAGCCCTGAACACCCACTGCCCCATACTAGGCACAGGGGTTACAAAGATCCACTGGGCCCCCTTCCTGAGCCTCTGAGCTCTCTGGGCAGGGCGCGCCTTTGGAGCCGACTCAGTGATTCTATTATAACTTGTGCAGGTAACTCTGCTGCCCTGAGCAGTCTTTGACCAAGGCTTCAGCAAAGACCCTGCCTGGAGCAATTTTTTAACATTAATTCTCCTTTTTAAATAGATTGGGCTCAGCCATTTTTAAACGAGTGGAGGTGTGCTGTTGAAAGGGTCTGTCTTGCAGGTGAGAGGATTTTTTAGAAACTGGTCATGCTGTCAATACAAATAGCAGCATTAACCACAGGGGCCTGGCCAGGCGAGACCCACTCTCTCTGGAGTTCCCTTCCGATTACTGAAACCCCCATAACTGGAGAATTTCGGGTGCCACATGGGTCAGACGCAGCTACCCCCCGGACTGCTCCTACACGCTGGCTTGCTTCCCATTTCTGGAACACTGCAAGTCCCTTCTTCCCTGAGGATGTTTTGCTGGTTTTGAATGTTTTGAGTGAAGACCCTGATGGGAAACCAGACGCCATCTCTGTCCCTAATCATGGGGTGTCTTGGTCTGGGGGAGCCACAGCCACACAAAACCACCAGCCATCTGACCACCATGGCGTCAGGGCGCGTCTCAGAAGGCTTGACTAAAGCTGGGACCTGGCACTGGCCAGGAGGTCCTTCAGGCAGCGAGGGGGGTAGGTGGGAGGAGCCTCAGGGAGGAAGGGACTCTGAGGGTTCGAGAAACAGGCAGTAGCCAGCACACAGGAGTGCTGCAGGGAGGACCAGCAGGGAAGCTGGGGGCTGGCAGGGTCTGTCCTGGGTGGGGCTCCACGGGCCGCACCGGGGCTGGGTTCTATCCTCAGCTGGGAATGGTTTTAAGCAGGGTTTGAACCCTGCCCCCCGCCCCCCCAAACACACACACACAGAGCTTTAGCATTGCCGCAGGGGCCACTTGGCAGGCCCTGCCTCCAGCCATGCCCAAGACCCGCCATATAACAACAAGTTCCATCTGCCACACTTCTACCTGGGTCTGGGATCTCCGGTGGATGACGACGGATGAGTTCTCATCACCCTGCAAGTGGGAAAGAGCCAGGCCCATGTTCATAGACCAGGAAACTAGGGCACAGAGAGGTTTAGTAATGTGCCTACGCTTACCAGCTGGAAGAGTTCGAATCCGGGTGGGATTGAGCTGTGGGGTCCCACGCTTGCGACTGTTCAGAGCATCTGGCTGGTTCTGTGGACGTCCCTCCCTGCTCCTCCCTCCCCCTGCTTCCCTCCACCAATGCTAACCCCTCCTCTTCTGGCAGCTGGGCAATGATGAGCGCTCCCAGGAAGAGAAGGGCCAGCAGCGAACAGGACGGCTCAGCCCAGGGGTGACAGAAAAGACCACACGAGTGATTGTTCAAGACTCTGTGTTGGAAAACAGTTTTTTTTTTTAAATAGAGATCTGTTCAGTAATTAGAGGGAACTCTCATGTGGGAAGTTCCATGAAGGTAAAATTAAAGTTGACTACATTTTTAATTTTGTAAATGGGTTCACACCAAGGCAGGAGGCTTCTGCATAATGAGTCTTTAACCAAACAAACTCTAAACACAAGTAAATACCAGAAGCTCACAGTCGACAATGTTGCAGAGAAGCTGATATTTTTCTAGTAAAATATTGGACGCTTTTTTCTGCCTTCCTTTGAACCAGAATCGAATCATTATATCCCAGAATCAGCCCTCTTAAAGCAGTGGCTAGTTTTGAACCGTTGAGAAGGGAGACCTGAGATAGGATTCTGGCCCTAAATGTGGGCCCTCCTTTCAGCTGAGTCTGCTGGACTCCAGGGCGGAGGGGGGGCCAGCCCAAGAGGTTGGCCCAGGGAGAAAGGGCACCTGGGGTGGGCAGGTGCTCGCCTTCGGATTGGGAAAATGAACATCTTTATGTTGCCTTAGGAAAGTTCCCTAATGAATCAAGTGAGACTGCAATTGCCAACGCCAACTGGAGGACTTGAAAACAGGATGTAAACATGACATTTCAAACACAAAGGTGAGGCCCTTGACAAATGCTACAGAGAAACCACTGATGCACCCAGGCGCCTCCTCCCCTACTGCTGTGGGTCCAATGCATACCCAGCGCATCCCACCGCAGCCGGCCTTTTCCTCCAGGGCCTCAGATCGCTCTTGGCAAAATAATCAGAGCTAACGCTAGGGGGATGTGTTGGTAGGAACCGCAGAGGGTCTGCACGGCTGGTGAACCAAGTGGAGACCAGGGGGTGAGAGGTGGCCTACAGCACGTGGGAAAAGCAACCCCAGCCACAATCCAGCTTGGAAAGCTAAAAGCCAATGAGATGACAGGGAAGTGGCCCAGCCTGTTCTCTCCCACCCGCAAAGGGAGAAGAGGAAATTCAGGGGCATCTTTAGCGGGGCCACTGCTCATTAGCCAAAGTTGACAGACTAGTCCTCCTGCCTCCTGGTGATGATAGGAGCCCGCATGTCTGTGCCACACCAGCTCCTTCCTGCTCCATGCTAATCCTTCAGGGCTTAGCTCAAGCACCACCTCCAGGAAGCCTTCCCTGCCTGCTCCAGCCCAGGGTGTACATTCCTTTGAATCTGGGGCACCTGCTACCTTGCACCCATCTTCTAATCCATGGACAGCTGCTTTTGCATTGCTATTTCTTTTCTTTTCTTTTTTTGGGGGAGGGGGCAGAGTCTCACTCTGTCACCCAGGCTGTAGTGCAGTGGTGTGATCTTGGCTCACTGTAACCTCCGCCTTCCAGGTTCAAGCAATTCTCATGCCTCAGCCTCCCGAGTAGCTGGGATTACAGGCGCATGCCACCACGCCCGGCTCTCTTTTTTGTATTTTTATTAGAGATGGGGTTTCACCATGTTGGCCAGGCTGGTCTCAAACTCCTGACCTCAAGTAATCCGCCTGCCTTAGCCTCCCAAAGTGCTGGGATTATAGGCATGGGCCACTGCGCCTGGCCTATTTATTTCTATTCACACTGCACATCCCTCATCCAACTATGAAATCCTTCCCTGGAGTGATTACTTGAGTGAACAAGTATATAAAATGAACACACACAAAAAATAAAACCTGTGGATGGCCTACATGACTGTTTACTGATATGGGTCCAGGTAAATCAATGACAGACTAGGGTGTCGACATGCAGACACAACCAAGACCTGTTAAGTCAAAAGGACAGGGAACAACACACACAGACTGGTCTCTCGGTGGTGCCCAGTGTGGCTGACACACACGTCACTGACACAGCCGAGCACTGGGGGGCAGGCCACACCCAGGAAACCGGGGGCTTTTACTTTGTAAAAAACCAGCCAACCAACCAACCAACAAAAGCTGAATAGCTTGGTTTTTCTCTTACTGCAAGCATGTATTTCTTTTATTCAAACACCCTTTAATATATGAAGTTAAATATATAAGGAGCATGAAGGAGACAGTCACCCTTGCTTTATGCAAATAGAACCTCTTTTCTGCCGTGGTGGGCGGTGAGTCTCAAACTCCACGGAACACAGGAATCACCTGGGGGCCGGTTACAACAGGTCTGGGGGCCTGGGAACCTGCATTTCTCACGGGTTCCTAGGGATGCTGCTGCTGCTGCTGCTGGTCCCCGAACCCCATCTGGAGTAGCACGATTTCAGATTGATGTCTATAAGGTAGTGCAGCCAGATACAGCAAATGCAAATTAGGATGATTTCAAAAGAGAGAGGACGGTTCTCCAGAGACCCGGGACCTGCCAGCAGGCCCAGCTCCCAGACAGGGCCAGCCTGTTGCACACAGAAACTGTGGACCTCCTCGTGAGGAACGGAGATGGAGGTGGCGATGATCCTGCCTGTGTGTGAACACTGAGGTCAGGAGCCAAGGCTGCCCCACGATGTGGGGTTTGCCTGCTTGCCAGGTGCAGACCGAGGCCTGTGGGCCCCGAGGCCACCTTACGGCAGAGCCAGGAAGTGAGCACGGGTCGGGGCTGCGTGGGGTGGAGCTGGCCTGGAAGAGGTTTTCGCTAGGGCTCTTCTCCCAGTCTGCTGGCTGGGAGGTAAGCTGGCACATCAGAGGCGGATGTAATGATTGCCATTTTATGAATGAAGAACCTGGGGCCCAGAGAGGCTGAGTAACCTCACGAGGGACGCATAGCTTGGATGGAAACACGGCTCTGCTGAGCTACAGAAGCTGTGCTCTTGTCCACTCAGCCACACTGCCACCCTCAGTAGCCAGGGAATGTGGTGGACGAGGTGGCAGCCCTGGGAGCCTGGTTTGTTTTGGGGTCTCTGTCCCAGTCCCTGCCCAGCCTCCACCGGAGCTCCCTAGCTGGTGCAGCCTTCTTCCACCTCTGCCACCTGGGAAAACTGAGCTCAAGGGCAGAGGTGACTAGCTCGGTCCGGCAGGGACCCACTCCCACAGGCACGGACGGCTCCCCGAGGGCTGAGAGCGCCCAGAGCACAGGCGGTAACATCCAGCCCAGTGGGATGATGGCTCTGACACTGAGCTGCTGCTGAAACAACAGTCCTCCCCCAGGGCCCCGGGGCCGCAACCTCACTGCCTACGTGCGGCCCATCCCGAGCGTCCGGCGCTGCCTGAGCCTGACTTAAGGGAGTGGTATAGGAGTGACATTTGGGCAGTCTCAGGCCGTCTCCCATCACCCCAACACAAACATCCAGCCCTCAACATGCTTGTCACTTGCCCTCTTCTTACCACCCTGGTCCAGGCCTCCATCATTTCCCTTCCTCCCCAGCTTCCTGCCTGCAGGGCCCCCTCTCCAAGTCATTCCCCATGGTGCAGCCAGAGAGGGTCCCTAAAGGGCAGAGCGAACCATGTCCCTCCGGGCTCCCAGAGCCTGGTTCCTGTGGACTGCGGCGGAAAGCCCAACCACTGAGCAGGGCTTACAAGCCTGGCGGAACCGGACCCCACCTGACTCTCCAGCCTCCTCCTTCACTGATGAGGCCCGAGGGAAGGAGGAGGCACAGTCTCCATTTTCCAGCCCAAGACCTTCAGGCCCAGGGTTCCACAGCCAGAAAGCAGCAAAGCTGGGCTTTCAACTCTACCTCCACCAGCCCACTTCACCCCAGGGGCAACAGGATTCCTTCCCCTCTCCAGCAACCCCCAGCAAGCGGGGATTGGGCCAAGGCCTGCGGGAGGATTCAGCAACGGAGGGAGGGAGCTGGCAAACACTGAGGCCTCGGAACTCATCAAATCCCCTCTGGAGCAGATCCAGAAAGACTGAGACACTGCAAGAAGTACCAGTGCCAAGTGTGGCAGCAGCTGGCAGAGAAGCCCCCCAGCCCCACCCTGGCCTCTGTAGGGTGGTCCCCAGGACCACATGCTCTTGGCATCCAAAAGCCTTTTGGCCAGGCTCACGGTTGCCCCGGTGTCCCATGTGCCAGCAGGGAAGGCAGGAGCACCCTCATTTTTGCAGATGGGGATGCGGAATGATGCACCCGTGGTCTGGCCTGGAAACCACTCTCTCTGCCACACAAATTGCCATTTTACCAACACACAGATCAGGACTTGCTACTCTGAAGAGGGAAGTGGCGGTAGGGCCAGGAGCGGAGTGGAGGACAGAACAAGGGCTCGGCTGCTGCTCTGCCTCCCCTCCTGCCCCGAGAGTTTAGAGTCAGAGGTAATTGACTGAGATGTAATACATCTCTCCCCTCCCGAGTGCTGTAATTATTCCTCGCTGGAGCCCGCTGCCATGAGGCTGCAGAGGCAGGCCCACGTGGCAGGAGCCAGAGGTCTCACTGCAGGAGTGGGTCTCCATGCTGTGAAGCCTCACCCAGAACCAGCACCAGAAAAGTCAGGAATATAGAGCCAGCCCCTAAATATACAAAACGGGGGTGATCATGTGAGTAGGGAGTAGGGTTGGCACGGACTGGGGGCTTGGACTCAGGTCAGTCCGAAGATTTCAAAACTGCTCTGCACTCCCTCAATACCATGGCAAAAAGGGAGGAACTGCACTCCTCCCAGCTTTCCTACTCCATCCGGGGCTTAGATGAACAGAGCTGTAATGGCTCAGAGGGGGGACATGAAATGATCCACCCCACAATTTTGTACATGGGAGACTGAGGTCTAGAGAGGAAAGTGACTTGCCCAAGGTCACCCAAAAAGGTGGACAGAACTCGAGTCCCGACTTCTCCATCTGTGCCCACCTTTCCCCAGGTGCCCTTGCTCATGTTTGCTGATGGTACTGGCATGACAGACGTGTGTTGGGGACTCCAGCCTCAAGGGTAGGAGGAGCTCTGTGGGGCTCCTTGCCCTACCTGCTGGAGAGGCGAGGGTGGAGAAGCTGCAACACCTCTGTGTGCCAGGATTCTGAGTGGTGTCAGCACGTCCTGAGAGTCCAGCAATGCACCCTGGAGCTCCCACTCCCTCCCCATGCAAGTGGGGCACTGAGGCTGGGAGAGCCTGTGCATCCTTCCCAGACCCCCAGATCCTTCGGGAGCCATTTCCAAGCTTTCCGGCTGAGTCTAGACAAGCCGGCCCCATTGGAAACTCAGCTGATAGGGAAACCAAAACCCAGCTGGATCCAGGATACAAAGACTGCCCTGTGGGTCTTTTCATAGCATCGTGCAGATGCTCAACAAACTGCCAGCAAGTGCAAGACCGAATGAACAAAACCCCACATTTCCTGGGCCCCCGAGCCTTAGGGTGAGATTTTTTCACAAGCTGCCAGCACCTAAGCTGTTTAGGAAGCTTGCAGTCAGTGCACCAAGAGTTAAAACCAGCCCTTGCCCAGCCCAGGAAGTGCTGGTTCTCACCTGCTCAGGTGGGTAGAGCCCTGGTCACCTCCACTTCACTCTCAATTCTATAAGAGGGAGAAGGTGGGAAGATGGGCAAAGGTGCTTTCCCAGCAACCCTGAACTTTTTGGGGGTTGGTAATTACTGCTCTCCCCAGAAGCCCTGAAGAGCGTGAGTTGGCAGGGGCTGAGGGAAATGCAAGGGAGAAGGCTGGCAGGGTGGCCCGCTGGCTCTCCTGAGCTCCTGCTTACTGGGGAAGGTGCTAGGACGAATGCTGGGGCTCAGGCCTCAAGGATACTCCCCTTACCCTGCAGAAGGTTCCATGAACTTGACCCTTGAGTTTCTTGTCTCAGAGCCATCGGGGTTGCTACGGGACACACACTGGCAGGACCACTTGTGCCCAGGCAGTCCGTGGCTGCGGGAGGACAGGACACGAGTGGGGTGAGACAGTGGAGCCCTGAGGACCCATGTTGAATATCTCTTGGGTTTTTGGTGTGTAGAGTCTTTTCTTTTCTGGCTGAGGAAACCTAGTGTCAGTTAGGCAACCCCCCACCTGTCAATGAAGCAGAGATTCCTAACAGACAAAGGTGTGAGGTGGTGGTGACAGAGGCCGGCGTGTTTGAGGCCATCTCCACCACTTCCCCACTCTGTGATCGTGGGCAAGAGACCAAACCTCTCGGAGACTCAGTTTCTGCATCTGTGAAATGGGGCCAATGCCCCTTTCTCGTGGGTGTTGGGTGAATGGGATGGGATGAAAATGCAGCACCGACTCTGGAAGAAGGCAAAGCTCAGCAAATGAAAAAGTCTTAGCTCCTGGCAGGGAGAGAAGGCGGCCAGGTTTCCAGAGGGCTCTTCTGGGAAACTTTCCCTCCCCACTGCCCCCTGCCCCCAGGCCACTGTTCCGAGGGAAATGAAGCCCCCCTTCCTAAAGTGGGTCCCCCACCTCTCCCTTAGGCCCTCGTGCCCACCTGGGTCTCAGTCTCCTCCTCGGGGATGCGCTTTGAGGGTGGAAGCCAGGGGATGGGTGACGCCAGCTGGGTCAGGGGACCTGGTGCGAGGCAGCCGGGGCAGGCTGCAGTGGGCACTCTGGACGAGTGGGCACCTAGCTGGAGCTTTCCAGCCTGCGTCTTCTGCCCCACACCCCGTGACCCGCGGCCCGCTCGGCCCTTACCTTGAAGCATGGGAACCGCGCTGCCCCGGCCGCGAGGACTTGGGCGCACGTGACGGGGCGGGCGGGCGTCCGACCCGGGCAGGGCGCAGCTAGCGGCGGCCGCTCATGCCCAGGCCACGGCGGTGGCGCCTGGTGTGGCTGGGCGGGCGAGGCGGGCGCTGAGAAGCCCGGGAGGCCCCCGGGGAGGCGACTGCGTGCCCAGGCGGGCACCCCTGCCAGCTCCGCGCTGCGGCCGCGACTCCGGACGCCCCGGCTGGCTCCCTGCGAGCTGCACGCGCGGCTCCAGCCTGGTCCCGAGCGCAGGGCGCGCGCTGGCGGGGAGGGCGCGCGCCCGAGCCTGGCGGGGAGCGCGCGTCACCGGCCCGCGCGCGCAGTCGTCGGGGGATGCCGGGAGCGGCCTGGGGAGCTGTCCCTGGTGCTGACGGCTCGTCCGCTCTCGCCCGGGACGCGCGACCTCCTGGAGGCCTGGGGGTGCCCCCACCCTGGCCGGCGCCCTGCGGTGCTCCCTCCGCTCTCCGCCTGTTCTCGGGGCGTTCCGGCTTCCACAACGTTGGGATCTGGAGTCAGGCCGAAGCTGCTGCTTATCCGCAGTAGGGCAAGTCCCTTATCCTGGTTGAGCGGCTGGTTCTTATCTTTAAAATGGGGAGTTAACACCAGCACCTTTAGGGTTGGTCTGAGAATGAAATCCGATGATGTTTCGAGGCCCGGCACACCATAAGTACTTAATAAATGCTCGCCTTTGTTACTATTTATTTCCCTTCTCTGAGTTAGCAACCCCGGAGCAACTGAGAGGAGGAGCAAGGCTTACGCTGCTCCTGGTGAGTGGCTGTTTGGGGCATGGCGGCTGCCTTTGGATCTCTCCCACATCCACGGGGAAGGGGAGCAGATCCCTTCTCCCTGACCCCAAAGCACAGAGCTAAGACCAATGGCTAGACGTTAAAGCAAGGCAGATTTGGGCTGGATACGAGGGAGACCTTTCTGACCCAAGGCTCCTACTCCTGAGAGGAGTGCCCCAGGAGGCATTTCCCTGTTTCTGCAGGTCCTCGAGCTGAGCCTGCGGTCGCAGGGACCCTGAACGGAGAGAAATCTGGTGTTAAGAATGTTAGGAAGGCTTTTGTGTTAGAACATGTACAGCACTCAGAGCTGTGCCTGGTGGGAAAGCACCATATAAATGTGTGCTTTTTTTTTTTTTTTTTTTTTTTTTTTGAGCCATATCACTCTGTCACCCGGGCTGGAGTGCAGTGGCGTGATCTCAGCTCACTGCAACCTCCACTTCCTGGGTTCAAGTGATTCTCCTGCCTCAGCCTCCCGAGTAGCTGGGACTACAGGCATGCGTCACGACACCCAGGTTGTTCTTTTTGTATTTTTAGTAGAGACGGAGTTTTGTCATGTTGGCCAGGCTGGTCTCGAACTCCTGACCTCAAGTGATCTGCCCGCCTCGGCCTCCCAAAGTGTTGGGATTACAGGTGTGAGCTGCCACGCCTGGCCTTAAATGTGTGCTTTCATTATGATCAACCTTTAAGTTCTCTATAAAAAAACTCCATCCTGGTAGTAACCATAACCTTGCTTCATTCTAGACATGAGAATACTGAGGACAAACAGAAGAGTAAAGTGCTTGGAGTCCATTTCCCTTTTACAGATGGGCTGAGCACAGATGGGTGAGCAACTTGCCCATGGACAAGAGAGTGAGTGTTCACACCATACAGACATGCTCCAAATGTCCAGCCTGCTGCCTCCCCTGCTGGGGCCCCTGGCAAGGGCCCCTGCTGAGTTTCTCCAGGCTGATCAGGTCACTTTGACCATAGAGAGTTTTCTTATAGCAAACCAGGCTAGTCCTCCTTCCTCTTAACTAATGGGAAAAGCTGGTCCCTGCCCCCTGTGAGTATCTTGTTCTCTTCCAAGCAGGATAATTAAACATCACCTGCTTCATTTCCCAAGGGACCAGGGGCTGTGTTTGATTCATTAATTAACTGCGAGTAGTACCTGCTCCCACCAGGCACTTGTCTCATGATAAACATCACTCATTATGTGCTTAATGCGTGCTAGACACAAGGCTAAACACAGTGCGAGCATTGCCTCATTTAGTCTTCTCAGCGATCCGATGAGATATGGATACTGTCATTACCCTGACTTTGCAGGTGAAAACTTTAGGCTCAACAGCAGCAGACCTGAGGCGGATCGGCCTGATTCCCAAGCCATTGCTCCTAATCCCCTTCTTCTAGAACTTCTACATCCTTCCCAACCAGCCCCACCTAGAAAGAAGGATGGTAAACACGGATAGAAATTCCTTATAAGGAGAGAGAGAGAAAGGCAGAAAGAGAGAGAGCCAGGAGGAAGAGACAAACCAGCCAGCCAATCGATGTCCTAGGAGTTGACACAGGAATCCTTTAAATCATCACTTTTAGTCAAAAACTCCATTATGACAACTGAGCAACTTGTTTTTTATTTGAGAGTTGCAAGTGTGTGCCAAGAATTTTAAAAGCAACATCACTGCCAAGCCCTGTCTTTACCAACCAGCTCAATGCCCTTCCACTTCTCCCCATGCTGACTTTTTACTCAAACTCTGCAGAATCCTGCAGCTATAGATCTGAGCAGCTGGAAACCTCTGTGGAACCAGCTCAGACTCTGTAGCTCTTGGCCTCTTGACATGCTGGTTTCTTTCCCATGCTGTGGAGAGAGATGTGTTCCTGATGCCCGTGATGACGAAACCTTATTTAAAATGGAGCCCATTTTATTTGAAAGAGGTCTGAATATTACCCACAATATGTACAGTAGATGCCTGCATTGCCCTCGCTTTACAGATGGTAACAAAGGGGTGAAGTGACTTGGCCAAGGTCACACAGCCAGCAAAGAGGTGACTACACTGAATAGATTTCATTTGGATCGCAATGCCAGATGGTCACCACCAAACTCATTATTTATGTGCAAAAGCATGCCCTGATTTTAAGCAAAAACCAATTTCAGAAAATAAAAATGGGTGAGGGGAGAGAAAGACAAGGAAGAGTCTCTGGTCTGACTTTATAAAAACAATTCATCATCAGGATTCCCTAAATAGCAAGTTCTCCTGGTGCGTGCAAAAAAAAGGATCCTAGTTACACGCAGTTCTTTTAGGTTGGCCAAAAACAGGCCCGGGGGTGGGAGGAGTGACATTCTGCCGCCGGACTGGTTCTCCATCCACTACAATAAGCTGTTTAGTCGCGTGGCAACCTCAGCCAACGGCAGCTACTCTGTCCCCACCACCAGCATCATTCCACAACAGAGCTTCGTGGATATAACTCAAATTCAACAGATGGCCAAGTTGGTTGAACACCTCCCAACACATTGGTTCATGGGTGGCAGTTTACAAAGGTTCATTTTCCACTTAGGGCAAATGGGGCTTGCGTAAGATCAGCCTGACACTATACAAGCAGGACCTCTGTGCGCATCCGTTTCTTGGAGTCGAGTTGGATAGCCTCATTGCTCAAAGACTTACAGCCTCATGAAGAAGAGGCATCAGGCTTTCTTTCTCTCTGAGGATCTATATGTGCACAAGAGGTGCTCATTGGCTGGATATAGAGGAAAAAACAAAACCAGCGGTGGCGGGGAAACCCTGACATTCCAATCACACCTGCACCCCCATGCACAGTCCCCTGCACACTCGAATGGAGGGAACGACGTTCTTGGGAACAAAGGATGTGAGCAGCTGCTGTTGATGGCTGAGTCTCATTCTACAGAGGCAGAAAGAACAAAGTGCTCGAGGAATAAAGTTTCTGCCAGGATGTGGAGAGTAATGAGAATGATGGCCAAGAGCTTCTCCTATTCCCTTTCTGGGAACCCTCTGGAAGGGAGGAGCTCGCCATCTCCAGACATGTCTGAGCAGAGGCTGGCTGTCCACTTGCAGCACAGCTGGCACCCGGGGACCCCTCGGTGTTAGAAGTCTGTGAGATTCCAGAAGGGGCAGCTGCTCACTGGTCTGTGTGGGTGCCCCCTGGCCCCCAGCACCGACCTCCATTCAGCTGCTCGATGGATCTCAGGGCACTGAAAGGGGGTCCACGTCCGGTTTTCCAAGCTCCTCCTCATATTGGTGCCAGGCCAAACTATTGAAGTGGTTGCTGTTTCCACATATTTATGGAAATTACCTGGGCCTTGCCGCAGTTACTAGATTAACCTTTGTTTGGTCGTTGAATTGTTTCCTCTTCTTAGCCTGCAGCCATAAGACGTTCTGCAGTTGATTGACTGAGCCCAGCAACAGCCCCTTTGATCCGTTTTCACTGAACCTGTGTCCACTCAACTCCAGATGATCTGTGCAGGTCAAGATCAAGCCCATTTAGAGAAGAGATGAACTTTTTAAAAAGAAACTATTGAGAGATGGGTAACTGCAAGTCACTGTGATTACTCTGTGATGCCGAATAGGCAGAGTGTGCCTCGCATCCTGGGTCTGTTAGATTGGACGTCTTTTAGATGGGACCAGGAGAATGACGAGGTACCAAAGTGTGCAAGAGAAGGTGAGAGGGTCGGGCAGCAGAGTGTGCCAGCGGACAGAGTGGGAGGCGTGCGCGGGCTCAGGTGTGCAGCGTGTGGGGTGTTTCCATTGCCCTGGTTTGAAAAGACAGCCTCATCTGTGTGAAAAGAAATTACCGGTGGTTTTTAATTACTGCAACATTTTAAAACATTGTGACAGCAAGCTTGATGTGTTCGTTCTTTAAGAATCATCGCAGATGATGGATGAGGAGGAGATGGGGCTGAGAGGCGCTCGGGGACCCGTCAAGGGGTCTCTCCCGGCTCCCTCTGTGAATCACGGATCATCTTGACAAATCCTGCTGCAGAGTGAGAAGAAGTGAGACAGGAGTTATGGAGGATTTATTGTTTCAGAGCCTTCCTCCATTGCAGGGATTTTTTACTCCAGAGAAACATTAACAGAGAGTACTCCTAATCTGGGTTTTACTTTCTCAGCCAAAGCACTTCTTCACAGCTTGAGCAAATAAATGCAGGCCATGCCTACATTCGTTCATTCATTCCCTCACATACTGTGGGCGCAGAGACAGAGGAAAGAGTCCTCGTCATCATGAGCTCAGAGGGAGGTGAGAGTTTCAAAGGTTGATGGGACAGGGCCTCCTGAGGCAGGCAGAGGCAGGACAGGGACCACCCGGCTGATAGCTAGCATGTGTCTTGTGCTTATTACTGTTGAACTGTGCTGACAGCCCTGGGAGACAGGCACGATTCATTCATTTTACCGGATTTACAGTAAAGAACCCGAGACAGAGAAAGTGAATGACCTGCCCAAGGCTGCCCGAGGCCAGGACCCATCTGACTCCGAAGTCCACCCAGACCATGTCCTATGCCTGGGGTGTGACCCTTAGTCTATTACACTAGAAAATAAGAAATGAAAATCGGAGATTGCCTATCTGGACTAGGGGAACCTAATATTGAAGCAATTTTCCCATAACTTTTCTGCTTCTATTAGCAAGGGTTGCAGAGGTTGCTGAATGCTGTTCATTTTAATAGAAGGATGAAAAGAGAACACCCACGGTGACTGACACAGGCCAGCGTCAGGACATGACAATAAAATGTCATGCCAGACTGACATGCCAGCCTTTCATTTCAGCCGTGCAGAGCAGTTCCTCCCCTCAGGACAGTCTCTGGAGCACCCGTGGGGCAGCTCTGCCACCCAAGGACTCACCTCACAGACACAGTCTCCTCTTGGGCACAAAGAATAAAAACTTGGACTTAACCATTGCTCTCCTGTCAGACTCTATCCAAGCCACCAGTCCCAAAGCCTGCCTAACAATGGCAGATTTGGATGGGGGTGAGGAGGAGGAGGGCGTGGGAGCAGAGAAAGGAGAATGGCAGGGGTAATCGTGGGGAAGCAGAAGCAGGTGGTTGTGGCAAAGCGAGGACATGAGGCCAGTGCTGTGTCACCCAGGGGCGGTGGGAGCCACAGGAGGCCAGGCCCCTTCTGCCCTGGCCTGGATGCCACCTCCCTCCTCATCTGGCTGGCTTGGGGAAGCAGAAAGAGCATCAGCTATGGGTCTTTGCAGGAGCAGATGAACCCTGCTGCCGGGTTAGTCTCCCGCTGTGAAACGGGAGAGGGGCCTGGCCCTGTTACAATCTGCCGCAGACTTGGGGAAGGGGAGCGGGGCACAGTCTCGTCTGTTTGGTCACTCATTCCCTGCCTCTCTGCACTGGAATGGCACATCCACAAGGGCAGGGGCTTCGTGCCTCTTGTTCTCTGCTGTCTCCCAGCACCAGTCACAGCAGCTGTTTGTTGAATGAATGAAAGATGTTCACGTGAGAAAGCGTCTGCCTGCCGCTCTGCGGAGCCAGAGGCAGCGTCCCTTGCAAACACAGCTGGCCCGAGATTGGCAGTCACCCAGACGAGAGGTGGCAGGCAGCAGAGCCTCCCCCTGCTCTGGAAACCCCACACTGAGACCACCGGCCATCGTGATTGGACGGAGGGGGAATCTGAGGCAGCCAGAGGCAAGCGACCGGCCAGGGGTGCAGAGATAATGAATAGCTCAGTGGTGAGCGCTGGCCCAGAGCCTCCTTCCCTGCACCGCTGGCTCCCTAGAGAAGGGGCAGAGCTCGACTCAGCCAATCTGCCCTGAGGACACTTGGACCCTGGCACGAGGCCCTAGGCTGAAGAGGGAGGCCTCTAGCCTCCAGCCTCCCTCTCTGCACCCTCCCCATTCCCCGCCCCGGTGCATCGACCCTTGTCTTGAGCACCCTCAGCCAGGGCAGCCTTCCCCTGCACAAGCCCCTTGGCTGCTCCTCTTCACCCTCAGGATGGCGTCCACCCCGCGGCCACCGTTTGAGTCCCCACAACCGCCCCCAGGCTTGTTACTCCAGCTATACCCAGACTGGCTGTTTCCAAATGCTCACTCCTCACTGCCTTTAGCAGGCTGGTCCCTCTGCCAGAGGTGCCCTTCCTATCTGTCTCCATCCCACAAACTCCTACACACCCTGCAAGGCACAGCTCAAATGTTGCAGCTTCTGGGAGACCGGGAGGGTCAAAGGCAGCATATAATGCGTTGATCAAAGTTCTAATGCTGGTTTCTCTGCAACTGTTTGTTTAAATCTATTTGAACATGAGCCTCTTAACCCTAGGGGCCAAGTCAGACTGACTCACACATTTATTGAGCACCTACTGTGTGCAGGCTCAGCACTGGGTGCTGGGATGCAGGAATGAACAGGGCAGGAACTGTCTTGCCCTCTGAGGGTGGATGGCCTAGTGGAGCTGCCGCCATCTCCTCCAGGTCAGGTGCACAACTGGGGGGGAGGTCCAGATTTGGGGCCTGGGGATGTAGATCTGGGGGTGCCCATACAGCTCAGCTCCTCTGTCCCAAGGCAGTGCTGTGGGAATATATGGGTCTGGAGTCCGGCAGAATGGGGCTCCATCCTGGCCCCCTGATTTCTAGATAGATGAACACAGCCCTTCTCTCAGCCTCTCTGAGCCTCAGTTTCTCCATGTGTGGTGTGGAGCCGTGCAGTATGGTGGTGAGCATGACCATCTGGCGTCTTGACCTGGCATGATGCTCCACAGGCCAGAGCTGGAGAAAAAGCCTGTGCCTGTCCCAGCAGCAGCGGCTGCCCTCTGCTTTTGTCCCTCAAATCTCACACCCCTGCTGTTGTACCACAAATCCCTCCTCTTCCTCCTGGTGCTCCCAACTCCAGCCACCAGGTGCTGGTCTTGGGAGTCCCCATCTCACCAACTTCATCCCAAAGAGCTCAGTGGTGGGTGGGCGAGAGGGGGACGTGGGAGGGGCCTTGGCCAGACAGTCTCCATGGCCCTGATGGAGCTGGGAGGCTGAGCTGCCCACAGTGGTGCAGGCTGGCCTCCACCCTCGGGCCCCTGCTGTGGCGCCCACCTCCTGATGGCCCTGTGGACTCTCTGGGGAGCCCCTCTGAGGATCCACCCTGCAGGTCATCCCTCCTTCCCTGGTTAGGAAGGGCTCTGCCTTCTTGGTCTTTCCCTTGGCAACGCTCTGGCTTTGGGGGCTGGGGGTGAGAGCAGTGGGTGCCTGAGGCTTTGGGGAGAACATCTGGAGGGAAATCAGCATGCGCAGGCCGCAGGGAGGCTGCTTTGCGGGGTGGTCGAGTGCCTCCAAAGCAAGCCAGCTGATGCCCGTCCCTGCCACTGAGCTGCTCCCAGCATCACAGCAGGCAGCATGGCAGGCACGGGGACAGCCAGCCAGGACACATCCAGCCCTCACCACGGAGCCTTCCAGCCCCTTCCCTCCATGCCTTCCTTGGTCTCATGGCTGACCACTGTCACCCTGAAATGGGGTCAGAGCTCAGCACATTACAGGAGGGGAGTGAGCGCTCTCTCTATTAGAGCTTCTGGTACCCCTCAAGGGCCCCGTTCTGAAAGCCCTGGGGTGCCGCCCGCCTCTGCAGGGGGAAATGGTGCTCGGACACCGTCCTCGTTAGGAAAGTCACAGTCACACACGAGGAACCCTGCCCTTCCTGATGCCGGCTTGGCCTCTCTCAGCTTGCGTTTGCTTTGTTTTGTTTTGATGAAAAGTTGGGGTAGGAATACCACCACCAAACAAATAGCACATGTCCTGTGTCCTCTGGAACCCTGTCACATTTGGGAACTGTAGTTTTCCCCTTGGAGTAGCTGGGGAGGGCTCCCTGCTGCCCCATGCCCCTCCATTGGAGGCCCTCTGTCTGGAAAGCCTCATGTCTGTGTGTGGTGGGCAGGGCTGGGTTTCAGGGGCTCGGGCCAGAGTGGACTTTTCTGGGGTTGAATAGCCTCCCCACCCCAGAAACACGCCCTGCCTCCTTTCTGTGTGATGGCTTGCAGCTCACAAGAGTGGGTGGAAAGCTGTGGGAATGTGTCCGTGAGCCACGTAGGCAATAAATGAATGGTGGTTGGTTTTTGCCCAGGAATCTGTCTGGTACGGATGTCACCAACCATCTCCTGGGACTTCCAGCCTCCTCCTGGGCATGGCCAATGGGAGGGAGGGAGGAAGGTGTGGGGCTGTCTGCACCCCTGGCTCCCTCTCTGTGGGGCCGTGTGTAGTAGGGTTGGATCTCTTGACCCAGGTCTCTCCTTCTGGGGTCAGAAACTTCTCCTTCCTCATCCCTTCAGACACAGGAGTGTGCTAACAACACCGGTTATCCACCTTCACCGATGCCTTTCCTTCCCTGGCCCCTCCTTGTAAACAACCTCACTTATTAAACCCTCTTGGGTGTCTTTGTTTGAATGACCCATCAGTTTCCTCCTGGGACCCTCCTCCCACCCACGTGGGGCAGGGACCTTCTCCCCAAATCCTCACCATCCCAGATGTTACCAATCTGTACAATTCCTTCCAACCCACTGGGTAGAAAATGACCTCTTAAGGGTTGACTTGGCGTTTGCTGCCGGCAGGTAAGAGTGCTTTCACATACCTCAGTTTGCCCATTTTCCCCCATTCCTGTGTCTCTGTGTCTTCACAGTCTTCATAGATGCTCTAATTCTTTTTTTGAGATGGAGTTTTGCTCTTGTTGCCCAGGATGGAGTGCAATGGTGCAGTCTCTGGTCACTACAACCTCTGCCTCCCAGGTTCAAGAGATTCTTCTGCCTCGGCCTCCTGAGTAGCTGGTATTACAGGCATCTGCTACCATGCCCAGCTAATTTTTTGTATCTTTTTTTGGTAGAGATGGGGTTTCACCATGTTGGCCAGGCTGGTCTCGAACTCCTGACCTCAGGTGATCCACCCACCTCAGCCTCCCAAAGTGCTAGGATTTACAGGCGTGAGCCACTGTGCCTGGCCAATGCTCTGATTTGTATGTTTGGTTTTCAACCCATCTAGAATTTTTGTGGGTATGATGTGAGCTAGAGGTTTAACTGTTTTTGTCTTTTTTTTTTTTGACACATGAATAACCCATTGTCACTCCCCTCCCTATTGAGGTGCAACCTGCATTCAACCACACATCGCATTCCTCCCCGCGGACTCCGTGTCTGGCCCTGGCCACCCTACCCTTCGATTCATCTGTCCATTCACTGATGCATGACCGATGCGGCTACCACAGTTCTATGGAGCACTTGTTATCTAGAAGGTCGAGATCCCAGTCCATGTTCTTTTACCTTTGGGGGCTTTAATTAAGACTGGATTGAACGCTAGATGACTTTTAAAAAATTCAACCCTTTCGGAAGTGGAGCAGAGTGGCAGAGGCTCTGGGACCAGACTACCTGGGTTTGAATCCCAGCTCTGCCACTCCCTAGCTGTGTGATGTTGGACAAGTTGCTTGACTTCACTGTCTCTCAGCTTCATTACCTGTAATATAGAGTAATAATAACACCGATGCTACTTGCAGGGTTGACAGAGTGAATAAGCTAAGATATATAGAGTGCATATTAAATCAGACATCATTTCTTTTAAGATAAATCATTATTGTATTTACTACTTGGAAGGAAAACAATGCTGCCAGTTAAGCTGAGATATGCCCTTGATTGTAAAATGTATCTGTTTCAGGGATGTTTCAGTGCAGAAGGTGTATACCTTAGAATCCACACAGCGGGATCTTACTTTTACCACGTTACAGGGTCTTCCCATTAAGGATTGGGATTTTTATCTTTATTTATTTAGAATTTCTATTTTTTTAACCCTCAGCAAAACTTTGTAGAGTTCTTCATATAAAGTTTTTAGTGTCTTTAATAATTTTTAGGAAGGCAAAAGAGTCCTAAAGCCACAAAATTTGAGAACCACAGGTCTGTATTAACAGAGGGTTGGGAAACTCCTGATCATCTTGACAGATGCTGGGAAAGCAGCTAATCAAAGTCAGCACCACTGATGATTTAAAGACACGGGGAGAAACTCAGTAGCCCACTGACGGGGATTGAACAGCACCTACCGCAGGCATCCCGCAGGTGGGAAACTCAAGGAGCATTTACAGGAAGCAGTTGAGCCCTGCCTCCCAGCCACCACATCAGCCACAGCAAGGGAGGGCTGGTGAACCCACGAGACAGAAGCGGAAATGAAAGACAAGAATATTGAACCAGAGGAGGCAGTTCTGTGACTGCTCACTAACACTTGGAAAATTCCACTCGGTAAACTCAAGCAAACCCAGTGAAGATTTATTAGCACAATTACGAGTTTAGCAAGTTGGCCAGATACACAATAAACATTTTTTTTAAGTCAAAGTTTTTGCTCCCATTACCATAACCCAATTAGACAGTTGATGAAAATATGGTTCCGTTAGAGAAGCACAGAAGGGGCTTAATGGAATCTGTGATTTAAAAATATTAGGCAAATACAGCAAATAAACACATGGAAGATCGGGGAGGTGAGCAGATGAATATTGCTCATCATCATTCTCTATATTTTTCTTATGTTTGAAATATTTCATAAAACAAAGAAGGCAGTAGGGTAATTCCTCCCACCCCATTGGATGCCTGGAACCTAGGATAGGGCTAAGCCCTATAGATACTAAGCTTGGAGAAGAATTTCTTCTTCCTCCTTCACTTTTTTTTTTTTTTTTTTTTTTTTTTTTGATGGAGTCTCGCTCTGTCACCCAGGCTGGAGTGCAGTGGTGTGATCTCAGCTCGCTGCAACCTCTGCCTCCCTGGTTCAAGTGATTCTCCTGCCTCAGCCTTCTAAGTAGCTGGGGCTACAGGCACACGCCACCACGCCCAGCTAATTTTTTGTATTTTTAGTAGAGATGGGGTTTCACCATGTTGGCCAGGCTGGTCTCAAACTCCTGGCCTCAAGCGATCCACCCGCCTCAGCCTCCCAAAGTGCTGGGATTATAGGCATGAGCCACTGCACCCGGCCCTCCTTCACTATTTCATAGCTAACAGATATGTTCTTACTGTACATCTTAGTAGCCTCACCATATGATTCTTTTCTTTCCTTATTAAGAACTTTCACCTTTTCATGTAAAGACAGCACTTTATGGCTTCTTTTTGGCATCCACATTGCCAGCCTCACTGCTCTTGTCGATTGGGACCATTACTGAGTAAAATAAGGGGTATATGAACATGAGCACTGCACTATGGGCAGTTGTTCTTGTCACCAAGACAGCTACTAAGCAACTAACAAGCCAGCAGCGCAGACAGTGTGGAGATGCTGGGCATGTCCAGGATGTGATAGAGAGGGACATTGCAAGGTTTCATCACGCCACTCAGAATGGCACACAGTCTAAAACTTATGAATTGTTCATTTCTAGAATTTTCCATGTAATATCTTTAGATCCCTGTTGACCTCGGGTAACTGAAACCTCAGAAAGTGAAACTGTGGGTAAGGGAGTCTACTATGATAGTGACACAATTCTTTAGACTTAACTCTATGTTTTAAAGGTTTGTGTTAACCTCTCCCTTATGTCCTCTGTCCCTAGGCTTCCTCTTCCTTGGGTTAAGATTTTGGTTTTTGTTTTTGTTCTTTTTTTGAGACAGAGTCTCTCTCTGTCGCCCAGGCTGGAGTGCAGTGGCGTGATCTCGGCTCACTGCAAGCTCTGCCTCCTGGGTTCACACTATTCTCCTGCCTCAGCCTCCCAAGTAGCTGGGACTACAGGTGCCCACCACCACACCCAGCTAATTTTTTGTATTTTTTTTTTTTTTAGTTGAGACGGGGTTTCACCATGTTGGCCAGGATGGTCTCGATCTCCTGACTTTGTGATCCGCCCACCTCGGCCCCCCAAAGTGCTGGGATTACAGGCATGAGCCACCGCGCCCGGCCAAGATTTCTGTTTTTTTAGAATATACCCTTGAGTAATTCTTTCAGAAAGGAAGATAGCAATAAAATTTCAGAACTATTGCATGTTTGAATGTTTTCTTTCGCTCTCAAACTAGAATGCTGGGTTTGGAATGGCAGATTCCACAACGTTTCCTCTCACAAGTTTGCAGGAGAGATCCGTGGTCTCCTGTCACCCGATGCTGCTGCTATGAAGGGTGACAGGGTCTCGTTCCTCTTCCTCCATGGAGACCCTCTCTGCTCGCCCTCATTCTCATTCCCGGTTTGGCCCTCAGGCTCTTGCTCTCCTGCTCTCTCTGGAAGCATCAGAGCCCTCGCTCTGTTTTTGGTTAATGGGAAACAGCCGCACTGTGTCTATTGTGGGCCTGTTTGCATTTGGTCTGTGCAGCACCTGGCAGGTTCATTGACTCTGAAGACTGACATCCTTCTGTGGCTCTGGGATGTCTAACCACTTTCTTTCTTCCCTCTTGGTGGCTCCATACCTTGGAGATGTCCACTCCCCGGGCTGGGGACCCGAAGCTCCCCCAGATCTCCTACCTTTCCCCTCTCATTTCCTCCACTTTGCCCTTTAAGCTGAGTTCCTCGAGCAGCGCCCGCCTGATCTTCCTGCTTACTAATTTGCTCCTCAGCTGTCTCTTTCTGCTTTTCAGCCTGTCTATTTTAAATTTCCATGATCTCTAATTAGTTCTTTTATATAAAAGCCCATTCTTGCTTCATGAATAGATAACCTCTCTTATCTCTCTAAGGATAGTAATTATACTTATTTTTAAAAGGCTTCTTCTGTTGACTCAATCTATGCTGCTTCTCTGGGCATCAGAGTTTCTGTTTCTGAGATGATGTCTCTCTTTTGTGGGATTGTTTTTCCTACACGCTTGGTCCTGCAGGCAGTGTGCCTATGTCTGTCTGCACTTAAGAGTCCCTGCTCATCTGCCACTGCTGTGTCTGCTCCTGTGCCTCTGATGGAAGATGGGGAGGAATATGCAACCAACTGAGCGGCAGGGAGTCACTCCCTTGGGTTGGGAGTTCCTATCTTTCATTGAGGTCAGTAGCTCTCTGGCCACTGCCCTGCTACAGTGACTACTCTGCTCAGCCTAAGGGCTCAGAGGCTCCCTGTTGCCCACCATTGCGGGGAGGAGCAGATATTCAAGTTGCTGGTCCCAATGCAACAACTCAACTCATCACCCTGACTGTCGTCCACCCACCCTGGCCATGACGGTGGAGCTGCAGGCTATCTCTGCTGCCATCTTAGAACACCTTCTGGGGTGTGGTTTCCTCCAATGTTGTTTCTTTGCGTCTTTCTGTGATTTGTACGTAAGTCTGATCCACTAAAAAGACTTTTAGTTGATCTTCTTTTTTTACAATCAATCTTTTTGTAATTTTTTTCTTTTAAAATATTTTTCTGCAACTGTGGGATTTTGATGGGGGTTGGGGATATACTTAGTTTGCCGTTTGACTGAAGGCCAAGAATATCATTGAACACACTCCGAAGGGCGTGTTCACCTGGATGCCCAAGGGAACCTTCTTCAGGACAGGTGAGGCACTGGCAGGTCCTCTGGGTGGAGCACCCACCACCAAGAGGTAGCATTCTTTCATTTGAATGATGCTTTTGGGTTGAGACTAAAACTTGGATCTGCTTGACATTCTGAGACCACACAACAGAAGATAATCAGGATGCTTGATATGGTTTGGCTCTGTGGCCCCACCCAAATCTCATCTCAAATTGTAATCCCCATAATCCCCGTGTGTCCAGGGTGGGACTTGGTGGGAGGTGACTGGATCATGGGGGCAGTTACCCCATACTGTTCTTGTAATAGTGAGCGAGTTCTCCCAAGATCTTATGGTTTTATAAAGGGCTCTTCCCCCTTCACTTGTTCACTCTCTCTCACCTGCCGACATGTAAGACATGCCTTTGCTTTAGTCTCGCCATCCACCATGATTGTAAGTTTCCTGAGCCCTCTCCAGCCACGTGGAACTGTGAATCAATTAAATCTCTTTCCTTTATAAATTACCCAGTCTCAGGTGTGTCTTTATAGCAGTATGAGAACAGACTAATACAATGCTTAAGCCACAAACATAGTGGAAAACTCCCAGGCCTTTCTCTGAGCTGGGGATATGACATCCTCTCTCTGACTGGAGCCTCCAGTTCACCTGGAGCTCCCCTTTGCCCCTCAAGATGCTGGCCTTGTAGCTCCGGTCTGTACAAATGTGGGAAAGGCTGGTTGATATTTTGGTTAGGCTGGGCGTGGTGGCTCACACCTGTCATCCCAGTGCTTTGGGAGGCTGAGGTGGGAGGATTACTTGAAGCCTGGAGTTTGAGTCAGCCTGAGCAACATAGTGAGACCCTATCTCTATAAAAAAAAAATTTTTGGAAAATTAGCCAGCCACAGTGGCTCACACCTGTCATCCCAGCTACTTGGGAGGCTCAGGCAGGAGGATTGCTTGAGCCCAGGAGGTCGAGGCTGCAGTGAGCTTTGATCACACCATTGTACTCCAGCCCAGACAATGGAGAAAGACTTTGTTTTAATCCATCAATCAGTCAATAGACTCCCTCCTATTCCATATTGACGTACTGTTAATGGCAACAGATGATTTCTGCCAAAGGGGTGACAACATCAACCAGACTAGACAAAGAGATTGGCCCTAGGAATTCCACAAGAGGTGACCATTTACAAGAACCTGGAATGGACCAAGAACTCTTAGCAATGACCACACAGTGACTGTATTAGTCTGTTCTCCCACTGATATAAAGAATTACCTGGAACTGGGTAGTTTATAAAGAATAGAGGTTTAATTGACTCACAGTTCCACAGGTTGTACAGGAGCAATGGCTGAGGAGGCCTCAGGAAACTTACAATCATGGTGGAAGGTGAAGAAGGGGAAGCAGGAACATCTTCATGTGGCAACAGGAGAGAGAGAGTGAAGGAGGTTAGTGCTACACACTTTTAAACAACCAGATCTCATGAGAACTCACTCACTATCATGAGAACAGCAAGGGGGAAATCCACCCCCATGATCCAATCACCTCCCACCAGGTCCCTCCCCTAACACTGAGGATTATAATTCAACATGAGATTTGGGTGGGGGCACAGAGCCAAACCATATAATTCCACCCCTGGCCCCTCCAAAGTCTCATGTCTTTCTCACATTTCAAAACCAATCATGCCTTCCTAACAGTCCCCCAAAGTCTTAACTCATTCCAGCATTAACTTAAATTTCAAGTCCAAAGTCTCATCTGAGACACGTCAAGTCCCTCTGCCTATGAGCCTGTAAAATAAAAAACAAGCTAGCTACTTCCATGATACAATGGGGGTACAGGCATTGGGCAAATGCTCCCATTCCAAAAGGGAGAAATTGACCAAAACAAAGGGGCTATAGGCCCCATACAAGTCCAAAACCCAGCGTGGCAGTCATTAAATCTTAAAGCTCCAAAATAATCTCCTTTGACTCCATGTCTCACATCCAAACAACACTGATGCAAGGGGTGCACTCCCAAGGCTTTGGAATATTTCAATCAATCAATCAGTCAATAGACTCCCTCCTATACCATATTGATGTACTGTTAATGGCAACAGATGATTTCTGCCACAGGGGTGACAACATCAACCAGACTAGACAAAGAGATTGGCACTAGGAATTCCACAAGAGGTGACCATTTATAAGAACCTGGAATGGACCTCCATCCCTGTGATTCTGCAGGGCAAAGCCCCCACAGCTGCTTTCACAGGATGGCATTGAGTGCCTGCAGCTTTTCCAGGTGCATGGTGCAGGCTGTCAGTGGATCTACCATTCTGGGGTCTGGAGGATGATGGCCCCCTTCTCACAGCTCCAGTAGGCAGTGCCCCTGTGGGGAGTCTGTGTGGGGGCTCCAAACCCACAATTCCCCTCTGCACTGCCCTAGGAGAGGGTCTCCATGAGGGCTCTGCTTTTGCAGCAGACTTCTTCCTGGACATCCAGATATTTCCATACATCCTCTGAAATCTAGGCAAAGGTTCCTAAGCCTCAACTCCTGCCTTCTTTGCACCCATAGTCTCAACACCACATGGAAGCCACCAAGGCTTGGGGCTTGCACCCTCTGAAGCAATGGCCAAGTTGTACCTCAGTCCCTTTTAGCCACAGCTGGAACTGGAGCAGCGAGGATGCAGGGCACCACGTCCAGAGGCTGCACAGAGCAGCAGGGCCCTGGGCCTGGCCCACTAAATTATGTTTCCCTCCTAGGCTTCCAGGCCTGTGATGGGAGGGGCTGCCTCAAAGGTTTCTGTAATGCCCTGGAGGCATCTTCCCCATAGTCTTGGCTATTAACATTTGCCTCCTCTTTACCTATGCAAATTTCTGCAACTTTGAATTCTTCCCCAGAAAATGGGTTTTTCTTTTCTACCACATGGTTAGGCTGCAAATTTCCCAAACTTTTATGCTGTGCTTCCCTTTTAAATATAAGTTCCAATTTCAGACCATCTCTTTGTGAACACATATGAGTATATGCTGTTAGAAGCAGCCAGGTTATGTCTTGGATGCTTTGCTGCTTAGAGATTTCTTCCACTAGATACACTAAATCATCTCTCTCAAGTTTAAAGTTCAACAGATCTCTAGAGCAGGGGCACAATGCCACCAGTCTCTTTGCTAAAGCATAGTGAGAGTGACCTTTACTCTAGTTCCCAATAAGTTCCTCATCTCCATCTGAGACCTCATCAGCCCGGCCATCTCTGTCCACATCACTATCAGTATTTTGGTCAAAACCATTCAACAATTCTCTAGGAAGTTCCAAACCTTCCCTCATTTTCCTGCCTTCTTCTGAGCCCTCCAAGCTGTTCCAACCTCTTGCCCATTACCCAGTTCCAAAGTAACTTCCACATTTTTAGATATCTTTATGGCAATGCCCCACTTCTTTGGTACCAATTTTTTGTATTAGTTCATTCTAACACCGCTATAAAGAACTACCTGATACTGGGTAATGTATAAAGAAAAGAGGTTTAATTGACTCACAGTTCCATAGGCTGTAAAGAAAGCATGGTTGAGAAGGCCTCAGGAAGATTACAATCTTGGTGGAAGGTAAAGGGGAGGCAAGCATATCTTCACAGGGTGGCAGGAGAGAGAGAGGAGGGAAGTGCTACATGCTTTTAAACAACCAGATGTTATGAGAACTCACTCACTATCACGAGGACAGTGTGTTAGTCTGTTCTCACGCTGCTAATAAAGACATACCTGAGACTGGGTAGTTTATTTAAAAAAAAAGAGGTTTGATGGATTCACAGTTCCACGTGGCTGGGAGGCCTCACAATCATGGCGGAAGGCAAAGGAGAAGCAAAGTCACATCTTACATGGCGGCAGGCAAGAGAGCATGTGCAGGGGAACTCCCTTTTATAAAACCGTCAGATCTCGTGAGACCTATTCATCATCATGAG
Source organism: Homo sapiens (assembly GCF_000001405.40). Classification (NCBI taxonomy): domain Eukaryota; kingdom Metazoa; phylum Chordata; class Mammalia; order Primates; family Hominidae; genus Homo; species Homo sapiens. The sequence continues at coordinate 133,627,129 of NC_000009.12, forward strand.
AACAGCGTAGGAAAGACCTGCCCCCGTGATTCAATTACCTTCCACCAGTCCCTCCTCCAACAGTGAGAATTACAATTCAACATGAGATTTGGGCAGGAACACAGATCCAAACCATTTCAGTGGCCTTGGCCAACCCACCATGCTGAGACACTTCAAACCCAGACCTGTTCTCCTGGGACCAAACAGGCCTTTGGCAATCCCAGCACTTCCAAGACATCCTGTTGCTCCAGGTATTGACCAGTGCCACCCAGAAAGATATCCTCATCAGCACTGTAGCTCATGCTACCTCCTCACCTCCTACGTGACACAGACCATCTCTGTCCTGGTCATTTTAATTCGCCCTTTCCCCAGGGCCTTATGGGGCCAAGTCTCTCCATAACTTGATCAGCAGAGGGGAAATTGGATCAGGGTGTGCAGATCGTTGCCTGCTTCTTACTTTGTGAATGTCAGAAGCCCCCAGGCACAGAGACCTGCTTGTTTCCAAAGTCTCATCTTTGAAAAGCAGATGGCAAGGCTTAGGCTTGATTGAATTTGTGTTTATGTATGTGATGCATTTGATTGTAGCTGGAGGGAGGCTGCCTGGTCCAATAGCTAATTTGGCCCATCAACAGGGTTTAAACCTACTTACCTGTTAGAAACTATTTGTTCCATGGAGGCAGTTGTGCCTTTGGCTGGTGGCATAACAGCCAGCGTCTGAGCATCCCCCTTGACCAAAGCCTTTTGAACCTGTGGGTTGATTTCAATTAGGGAGCCCAAAGTCCTTGGCTCCACAGCCCGGGCTCTGAGGACTGATGCTATAGAGCCGTGGGTACAAGTGTATGAGGGCCGGCAGACAAAGGCAAGAGTTGCACCGCTGTCACTCATAGTTTAAGAAACAAACGACCCACATATTTATCAACAGGGAGTTGGCTAAATCAATCAGAGACCATGCCTGCAGTGGGATACTTGAGAGCTGTCAAAGGCGGAGGCAGCACTGAGCGTGTATACTCAACATATATCCAACATGCACGTGGAAAACACCAGTGGCAGGACAGTGTGTACAGCAGGCCATTTAACAAACAGTGATGGCTCCTCAAAAATTAAAAGTAGAATTATCACAGGATGCATCAATGCCATTTCTGGGTACACACTCAAAGGAATTCACAACAAGGATTCAAAGAGGTATTTGCACACCCAGCAGCATGATTCACAACAGCTAAAAGATGAAGCAACCCAACTGTCCATCTACTGATGATGGATACATCTAGTGTGATCATTCATACAATAGACTCTTCTCCAGCCTTAAAAGGCAAGGAAGCTCTGACACATGTTACAACCTGGATTCACCTTGAGGATAGTATGCTCAGTGAAATAGACCAGACACAAAGGATAAATCCTGTATGGCTCTATGTCTATGTGGTCTTAGAGTCATCAAAATCATGGAGACAGAAAGTAGAATGGTAGGTGCCCAGGGCTGGGGGAGGGGGAATAGGGAGCTGTTGTTTCATGGGCACAGAACTTCAGTTTTGCAAGATGAAGCGTTCTGAAGACAGATGGTGGTGATGGTTGCACGGTAATAGGAATATGCACTGAAAGCCATTGAACTGCACGCTTACAGTGGTTAAGGCGGGACATTTTACATGATGTGACAAATCAATAATAAACAATTTTAAAAATTTCAGAGAATGAAAAGCTGTTCTGACAGACGACATATTGAGCTGTTAATGGTAGTCGTATTTGAGGGAGTGATTCTGCGCCGTGTTTTTCAGGCTTGTCTGGATGTTTATAATGATAGAGCTCGCCACCGTGGAGGGAGCCCTCACTAAGCACAGATGGTCCAGCCTCTGCCTGCACTGACTCGGGGAGCCCCCAGCCTGAGGAAATGCGAGTGTAATTCTGTCACTGTCCCCATAAGCTGAGGAAACAAGGTACAGAGGTTGAGGAACATGCACCTGCCTCTTTCTGCCTTTGTCTTGATTACTTCTCTGGGATAAGGACCATGTCCCTCCCAGTGAAACTCACCTAAATGTCAAGGGACAGCACTCCTGAGCCTCAGCCTCCACATTGCTTGCCCCCGGGTAGGACCACAGATGCCCCCTCGGCCCTGGGCGCTGAGGCCAGTGGAAGCCCTGCTGAGCCTGCGAGGCTCTGCCCTTCAGCATCTCTGGGATCAGGTTTCCAAGAACACCTGGCCCTGAAATGGGCATGGGGGGTGGGATGAGGGCTGACTGACCACTCAGACCTTGGGGCCCAAGTCCCCTGTTCTCAGCCAAGGCCCAGGGAGTCAGGGCAGGTCCGGGGGTCCTGGGCTGGGTGGCGCCGGTCTCAGCCACATAGGTCTGTGTCCAGTGGGGTGTGGCAGCCGCGAGCTCCAGGGGTTGGTGGTGAAGTGGCCCATAAGCCCTGAGCGGGGGTCTGAGGGCTGGTCGCTGGCATTGTAGCCTTTGCCAGGCAGCTCACTCGAACCCTGCCCGCCCACTCTGAGGCTGCCATAGCCCCCATCTTGAGAGTCAGCAGAGCCTGCATGGAACCGCCCGGGAGGCCCAGGCCAGCCTTCCTCTCCAGACTCCATGGACGCCAGACGCCACGCTCTTCCAGGCCTACCACTCTGCAGCCACCACCCATGACCACGGAGCCCTGGCCAGTGCCACTTGTCTCTAGGCCTCGGCATCCTAAGTTGTGAAATGGTGACAGTCAGGGCCTCCATGTGACTTGGAAGGGTTGGGTGCCCTCACTCACGAGAACGCCCAGTGCCTGCATGCTCGCCTAGGGAAGAGGCAGGTGGGCTGCAGACACGGCTCCTACGAGCCTGTGGACTCAGAGGGCATCTCAGGACTCGGGAGCCCAGACCACAACCTGGTGACAGCTGTCCCACACAGGGCTCCCACTGCACATGGCATGGTGCAAAGGGCATTGACCCTCAATTCTCACCACAACCCCCATCTCCTGGGCCTGCCCAAGGCAACTGGTACCCCACAACTTCCTGCATCTCTGCCCCCCCCTCCCACCCTGGGGTGGGCTTGGCTGTGTGAGTGGACTTGGCCCACCAGCCGGCAGCCCCCATGCTGGGCTCTGATACCCCAGGAGCGTCCTTCTGCCAGTGAGGGATGGGTGTGGGAAGGTGAGGGCCCCGGCTTCTTCACCCTTGATGTGACAGTTTTGGGGTGCATTCCACAGTCTCTCCAGGGTCCCCTTGGAACTGAGTCCCTACTGCCCATGGAGGAAACTGATTATGAAAGTACGGTTCGTGAGTGTTCCCACTCCCCTGCCCACCCGTCTCCGCACACTCTGAGCTCTCCTTCCACACAGCCTGCTCACATCCAGACCCTTGCCTCAGCGTCTGCTTTTGGGAGAACCAAAACCATAACAGGACAAAAAGAAGGGAACACAGTCTCCGACTGCACTTGGGGGTCCCACCAGAGTGTGACGGTGCCAGCAGACACTAGGAGAGGAGGGCGCTTGTATTTCCTGTGGCCACTGTAACAAATGACCAAAAACTCTGAGGCTTAAAACAACACGATTTTTTTTTTTTACAGTTCTGGAGGTCAGAAGCTCTAAAATCAAGGTGTCTGCAGAGCTGGCTCCTTTTGGGGGCTCTGGGAGGGGAATCTGTTCCCACCTTTTCCAGCTACCAGAGGCCTCCACATCCCTTGGCTCATGGCCCCTGCTCCGTCTTGGAAGCAGCCTCCTCTCCTTGGACCCCATCAATGCATCTCCTTCTCTCTCTCGTAGGACCTTTGTGATGACATGGGGTCCACCCAGCCAATCCAAGACCACCTCCCACCTCCGGGTCCTTAATCTAATCACACTGAATGTCCCTTCCCCAGGTAGCCTACCCGACTTGCAGGGATCTGGACGTGGCCATTGGGGGACATCCCTCTGTCTGTCACACCACACGCCAGAAGCTCAGAGAGATTCCAGGGAGGGAGGCGGATTCTCATGTTCTCCGAGACCCTCCTGGGCCAGAGCCCTGCCTGTTGGACCCTGTGATGTCAGTGGGTGCAGCAGCCCCCGAGATGGATGCGGGTGAGGGCAGCCCGGGGCTGTCTCGCTAGCCCTCACTGCATCGGCCCCATTCTGGGTCAATGGTAGGTCAACCTGGTGGATCTCTGAGGTGACCAAGCTTACTGACAGATGAACTACAGCCTCAGGAAGAGGGTCATGGCTGGCAGGAGCCAGCGGGGGGCAAGACCAGCAGCCCTGAGTGCTGGTGCAGGCCACGCAGGGCCCAGCCTCTGTAGCCAGAAGTCAGCGCCAGTGCCGGTCCTGAGCAAGATGGCCATTTCACAGATGAGGAAAGAAGGCTCAGGGCTGTGGGGACTGTCCGGGTGGGTCACATGGCCGGCAGGTTTCAGGGCCTCTCTTTCCATCTGGTGCCCACAGTTACGCTGTGGCTTGGGTGTGGTCTGGAGCTACTGCCTCAGGACCCACCACCATCCTGGCAGTGTGGTCCCTTCAGAAAAGCTGAAAATGCAAAAATCAGGCACATGCACCTCCCCCCATGAGCTGCTCAAGAGAGAGGAGCAGTCACGCATCCTTATGGAGAAAAGGAGAAGCAGGACCCAGAAAGGGTTTCCCTGTAAGATTCCTCAGGGCCCAGCAGGCCTCAGCCCCAAGATTGAGGCCAAATTATTGGAGGGGTGTGTGTGTGTGTGTGTGTGTGTAAAACTGAGTATGTGAGCATGAGCCCAGAGCTGGGGGTGCAGGCCACGCAGGTGTGAGAGTCCACCTCCCCATCTCGCTGACCCCTGTGTATGGAGGAGAGATGGAGGCGGGGGAGGCTGTGTCCTGCCCAGGCCAGCCGCCTGCCAGTGACAGTGGAGGACTTGCTCACAGTGGGGCTGCTTGGGGTCACACAGGAGTGGCCTGGCAGGCCTGGCAGCCCCAGCCCTGGAGCCAGCCACAGACTCCTGGGTTCTGCTTCCCTGGGAGCTTCCAGGGGAGTGTCACTGGGGCTCACGATACCGACCCCTTCTGGGATCAGTGGCCCCTTGCTTTTGGCACAGAGCTTCAGGGCCAGAGGGTGCCTCTAATCCAGTAGCTGAGGAAAGCTTTCAGTGGTGCTCTGGGCACCTCTGTGACCTGCCCTGGGCCCAGTCCTCATGCTGATCCCACTGTAGCCACCCTACTCAGTGCCCCAGGCCCTGGACACCTCAGGCCATGGGATATCCCAAGCATTCAAACTCTCACGGCCACCTACGCTTATGAGCAGAGGCAGAGGCATGGTGCCACCGCTGCCTCCTCAGGCAGGATATGCTTTTTGTTTGTTTGTTTTGAGACAGGGTTGTTCGCTGTCATTCAGGCTGGAGTGCAGTGGTGTAGTCAGGGCTCATTGCAGCCTCAAACTCCTGGGCTCAAGCGATCCTCCCGCCTCAGCCTCCCGAGTAGCTGGGACTACAGTCTTGTGCCACTATGCCTGGCTAATTTGTTTTTATTTTTATTTTGGTAGAGACTGGGTCATGCTATGTTCCCCAGGCTGGTCTCGAACTCCTGGGTTCAAGCAATCCTCCCGTCTTTGCCTCCTAAAGTCCTGGGATTATAGAGGTATGAGTCACTGTGCCCAGCCCAGAATGTGCCTCTTAACTTTCATACCGCAGCCCCTATGCTCAGGACGAGGAGGGACATAGGCCAGCTGCCCCAAGTTCCCCAAGGGGACTGTGCCACCCTGGAGTGGGCTCTGTGATGGACAGAGTCACCGTCTCCCAGCAGCTCCCAATCCATCCCATCACAAGTCAGGTCTAGGCACTGCCATCAGACTGATAGTTGAATTTTTCCTGCCAAGAGGAGGTCCCTAAGAGCCTGAGCCACAGGCGAGGGACAGTGCTGTCCTGTGGCCAGGCCCCGTTGTCACTGGGGAGTGGCCTGGCCTGTTCACTCACCCAGCTCCAGTCTGCACCACCGTCGCTCCACTTGGGGTTGTCACTGCCTGAGGTTAGGACGTCAGCAGAAGCCAGCCTCATGTGGCAGAGGCGATGGGGAATTACAGCCTGCAAAGGCTGATGGCATCAGAGAGATTCAGGAAAGCAAAGGGCTTATTAAAAAGCTGAAATTGGTTCTAAACAAGGTCAGCCGTCGATGCGCCTTGGAGGGAAGCCAGGCGCTGAGCAGCAGGAATGGGGCTTATTTCCTGACACCGTGGCCGTGACACCCTGCACCTCCCCGGCCTACCCCACCCCCAACCCCACTCCCACCCCCATTCCCATCCCCACCCCCACCGCCACCTCTGGAGGGCAACGTGCACCCAGACACTGGAGCAGAGGCAGCAGGGGTGGGAGCAGGGAGGAAAGCCCCCCGCGGGGCACCACAGGGAGGCATGTGGCCAAGAGAGCACCTGGCAAGCAGGTGTCACCTCTGAGGAGGGTGAGGGCAGGAGGAGAGCTGACTGTTGCTTCCTTACCCTGGGGTCGGATTGCTCCCTTTTAAAATCCATTAATGCAAGGAAGGGCGCAGCCACGGGGCCATCCGATTGGATTCGCTCCCTCCCGCCCGGCCCCAGTCTCCGCAGATTTTCTCTGCGGTTGCATTTTTCATTTGAGCGTCCCTTCCTCTTGACTCCAGTGGAATTTTTCTGACCTTGGCTGACAAGGTGTGCAGCCCCCTCCAGCTCAGGGCACCCTCTTTGGGGTGCTTGCCCCAGGCACTGGCCCACCCTGTGAGCTCAGGCGCATTGTCTCGCCTCTCCGAGGCTGACTCTCCTGTGTCTGAGACAGGGATGATCGCACACCCAGCCACCCAAGGCTGGCCAGGATGGAGGCAGGGCAGGGGAAGCCCTGGTGCGGCCTGACTTGTGTCTCCTGTCCCTCCCTAGGACTTAGTTATCAGTATTTTGGAATCAGCTGAATCATTTCTGTCAAATGCTAGAGGAAAGCCAGTTTTGAGTTGGATAAAGAAAATGTCTTTGATTCCTGTTAAAAATAAACATGTGTGCATAACACTGCTGAGCACGAGACCGCACCTGCCGTCCCTCCTTAGAGCTCCCAGCAGCTGTTGGTCTTTGGCGTATCCGGGAGAGGAGCGAGGCCTGGAGGTGTGTTGAGCCGTCCAAGGGCTGGTAGCATCAGGGGCTCTTCACTGCCTCTCGCTCCACAGAACCGCTGGGTTGAAGGAAGCTGGAGGGATCAATTGTCCTTGTCATCCAACTTCCTGTGTCTGTAGATGGGGAGGAGGCGCTGGGTTGGAAAGCGCTTCTCTGAGGACGCCAGCTGCGCATTCAGGAGGGCGGAGCAGGATATGACCCCAGAGCTCTGACCCCGGAGGAGCAGGAGGGGTGCCTGGGGCCTCAATACCCCAGAGGGGAGAGAGGTGCCCCCCTTCCCACAACGCGGGCCCCAGCTGGTGCTCGTTTAGCCTGTTGTCTAGCTGGAGCCACCTGGGTGGCCACCAGGCTGCTGGGAGGGCTCACCCCTGAGCTGGGTGTGCTGTGGAGCCCGTGACCCTCACCTCTGCCTCTGCTGGCTTTTGTTATCCCGTGCTGGGAACACCAGTGCCTGCCCACCCCGGAGGCTCTTCGTATCACCGGCTCGCTGTGGCCGCTCCCCAGTCCCGAGAGTGAATGTCCGGGATGCAGCAGACACCTGCTTACAAGGCACAGGTGAGGAGGTTTTGGAACTAATCTGAGGCATGAAGGTGAGGTGCTCTCAGGCGACGGAGGTGGCATGTCCTGATGGGAAAGCCAGGCCTTCGGAGGCTGAGACCCTTCCCAAGGCTCACCAGAGAACTCCCAAGAGTGTCTTTCCCCTGGCCTGGGAGACAATTTCACACCAATGCCACACTCTATTGCACAGGTGATTATGCACTTGGACCTCACCTGCCTGGGCTGTGGGTGGGGGCGAACGGTGCCCCTCTGGGTGCAATCAGTGGGGAGGGGCTCATGGCCTGAGCTTGGCTTTGCAGGATGGCCTGGCCACTGTGGGGCAGAGAGCACTGCCTGCGAGGGCCAGGGGAAGGCTGGCACTTTCTCCAAATTTCACGTTCGTGCAAAGACACAGTCATTCCTTTCTACAGCGTAGAGCTCAGAGCTGAAGCAGCCTCCAGACCTGCTGTCATGGGTATTTAAGGACCTAAATGTTGCTGTCAGCCTATGACATGAATGTGCCCCTAAGGCTAGATTCTGGGTTTCTCCAGAGAGACGAGAAACAGGAGGGAAAAGGAAGGAAGGGAGGGAGGAGGCTGGGGAGGAGGGACAGCTTCTAGTCCAGCTGGAGAGATCTGTCAACCCAGCCTGGGGGGTGGAGCTGGAGGGATCAAGCAGAATGTCCTGAAGGCAGCTGCCCTCAGTCTACTTGTGGGAGAGGACAGGAGGGAGAGGTGCCGTGGTGAGACTGACCCTCGGGCCCACGGGTGGATGATGGCAAAGGTCCTGTGGCAGGTGTGGGAGAAGCAGGGCTGCGGCCAGCTGCCCTGAGAGGCTTCAAATTCAGGCCAGATCTGCTCTGGGCAAGAGGAAGCTGTGGGTTTGGGAGCTTCAGAGACAGGGGAGCAGGCCTGTCACTCACCCTCTTTTCCTTAAAGGCTGTCACCCCCAGCAGTGCACCCTGCAGCCTGCCTATCCCCTGTGCAGCTCCAGCTCCGTCTGTCCCCAGCAATGCACCCCACGCCCATGTCCCCCACTCCCTATGATGCTCTCGCGCCTTCTGGAGCAGCAGTGGTACCAGCTGGAGGCTGTGGAAAAATTGAGAGGAGACAAAAGTGGGAAGAGCAGGCCGTGGAGAGAGTGTCTAAACACAGGGACTATTTGGAGATTGTCTTATTTTTGGTTTGAAATGGGCCCACCTGCTAGTATTGTACAAACGGCTCTGCTCGCTAGGCCAGGCCTGCAGTGGCTACGGGCCTATCCTTCACTGGTCAGCCTGGAGCAGCTCCTCGGACCTCAGTCTGCTCATCCGTGGGTAGAGGCGACGCAGACCCCATCCCACTGGGGACTGGGCCAGACAGCCTGTGAGGCAGTCAGCTGGTGCCTGGCCAGAGGGTGTCTGAAAGGCCTCTTGGCTGCAGGGTGCATCTGCTTTTGGGACAGCTCTTCAGAGCCATCTCAGAAGGGACAGCATCCGCCTGTCTACTTCAACTCCCACTGATGACGTCCATGTGTCATTAGTGCCAATTAGAGGAGGGCAGCAGGCTGAGTGCTTGGCCTGGGGCGCAAGCTTGTGGGAGGGAAAATTGGATTCCCCGCTAGACAAATGTGATTACCCGTGCTGCCTGGACCCACCCCATTCAGGACCAGGGCATAAATGGCCAGGTGGGACCAGAGAGCTCACCCCAGCCATGCCCGCCCTCAGTCGCTGGGCCAGCCTGCCCGGCCCCAGCATGCGGGAGGCAGCCTTCATGTACAGCACAGCAGTGGCCATCTTCCTGGTCATCCTGGTGGCCGCACTGCAGGGCTCGGCTCCCCGTGAGAGCCCCCTCCCCTATCACATCCCCCTGGACCCGGAGGGGTCCCTGGAGCTCTCATGGAATGTCAGCTACACCCAGGAGGCCATCCATTTCCAGCTCCTGGTGCGGAGGCTCAAGGCTGGCGTCCTGTTTGGGATGTCCGACCGTGGCGAGCTTGAGAACGCAGATCTCGTGGTGCTCTGGACCGATGGGGACACTGCCTATTTTGCGGTGAGTCTCTCCTCCCTGCCAGCTCTCCAAACCCTTCCTGACCCGGCACCCCATCTGGCCGTCTTTCTGCACTCACCCTCCTTAACCCAGAAAGTTCTTCTGTCACCTGTCAGTGTTTGAGTTGACTCTGCTCTGAGCCAAGTCTGCACCCCGAGCTTGGGCATCATGGGGATCTCAGTTTGAGGACAAAATAGGAAAGACATGCTTTCCATGGTCCTTGACTGCCCGCCCCAAATCATGGGACCCAGTAATCCCAAGGAATGGAACTATACACAGAGGACGCACACACCACACACACTCGTGCCGCTCCACACCCCACACGCGCATGAGCACAGACCCCACGACCCTCGGCCCTGTAAACAATGCCTAGTACCACGTCCCCAGAGCACACATGCCCACTGATGTGGGCCAGGTGGTGGCGCGTGGCTGGGCACAGCATGAGGCCTGCACACCCATGGGATCCAGCCTGACCTACTGTGCTTGTACCCGTGGACCAACTGAGCAGGTGCAGACACCCTGCCCCTACCCATAGGTGTTGAACAAGCCCCACAGGGCTCAGCCAAAACTGTTAGGATGGGCTCTTGACTCCTTTCCGTCCAAATTTACCTCCACTCTTGTTTCACAGGGTGGAGAAAGGGGAAAAGTTTCCCTTCAAACTGGAGGGGACTTTAGGCCCTTCCACAAGCTGCAGGGGGTCCCCGAAGTGGGCGAGCCCACCGCCTACAATGGGTCCTGCTCCAGCCTTCCTTTCCACATGGGACTGGCCACCAGGGCTTCTTTGTGGATGAAACCCAACTCTCTCCACAGAAACACACAAAGGAGTGACAAAAAAGTTTTATTTCTGAAGTCAGGAGGTGCCTGCTTTATCTGGGAGTGCCGAGCTGGAGCGGGGGAGCTGTGTCTGTGCGGAGCGGCCGGCTCCAGCTCTGCATCTTGGTCTCACCATGGGCTGGTGGGGCGGAGAGTCCCTCTCTGCCTTTTTGGGTGTTGTGAATTCATGAGGGCAGATGGTGGCTGCTGTTTCTGGAGCTGAGCTTGCCCCCTCCAATTCCCAAGACTCGGCCAGGAGGCACTTGCCTGTGTCGCTAGTGAGGCTTAGGGCCACCCAGGTAGGGTGAGTGGAGCTGCCTGGGAAGGGCCCTGCTCTGACCCATAGGGCTGCACAGATTCCTGTGCACAAAGACACTCTGTGGCTCAGGTTCCAGCCAAGAAAGACCTGGGACAGCCCTGATTCTGAGCCGTCAGCCGTCTGGAGGAGCAGCTGAACCCCATCGCTGACAGTTTGGGGTTCTTCGCAAGCCTCTGCCATGAGGCACCCTGAGTGCAGGAGCATTTGCTCCTCTCTGGGGCAGCGTCCCCCCTGCCTGCATTTCCCGGCTGCTAGGGAAGCCAGAGGAAGCCAGGTGACTTTGCCTTTCCGTGCACTGGCAAGGTTAATTTGCACAACAAATTCCTACGAAAGCAAATGTCAGCCTTATTATTCCTCCCTAAGCAATATGTTCAACTAATATCTTCTTGATTTCCAGCTGAAATATCACAGGCGAACTTTCTGCCTCTGTTTAAAATGAGTCTCTCGGCAAACCAGCGGTGTCCCCAGCGGGGTTGCATTGTGTGGCTTTTTTCTCTAGGGAAAGTTTTGCAGTATCTTTTGCAGATTTCTTTTTTCTCAAGGAAATGAAGAAAAGATGTTTTACCCTGAATGTAAGATTAAAAAGAAACACAACCCAAAGTCCTTAAGGCCAAGGGCCCGAGGCTTTCTTGGGGTTTCCATGGGAAAGGCCAGGCAGGGCAGGGAAGCAGCTTCGTTTGGACAATTCTGGTGGGCTCTGGGTGGCTGGGGTGGTCTCTAGTTGCCTGGTTCCTGGCCCTAGGGTGTTTTAGGGTTGGGGCAATATTGGCCTGGGGTGTGAGAGTCAGGTGGAGGAGGTAGCTAGGGATATGGGCTTGGTGTGGGTCGGAATGTTAGGAATATGATTCTCACACACGTGTGAATGTTGGAGGGCAGGACAGGTGTAAACAACTCTGACCATCTGTTTGAGCCTTCAATCAATTAATAGATGCCAAATAGACAAATATGGAATCTAAGAAGGGCCCTTCTTGAGTACGAAGGGCAGCCTGCTTGTTGGGGAAGGCTCCTCGCTGTCTCTCAGTGGGTCTCCCTGGTGGTCTTCCATGTGACCTGGCCTCGGGCCACCGTGTCCCTGCCCCTTAGGGCCCAGTGCAAGGGGAGCGGCCGGAGACGGGGAGGGCAGAGGTCACTGATCCAGATCCCAGGAAGCATCCTCGGAGAATGCAGCAGGTCCAATGCCTCCCTGGGCCTCAGTTTACCTTCTCCAAGCAGGGCTGGGACTAAGGTGAGGGGAACAATGCCTAGGCTGCAGGGTTTAAAGTGGTGCTTCAGGCTGGGTGTGGTGGCTCATGCCTGTAATTCCAGCACTTTGGGAGGGCAAGGCAGGAGGACCGCTTGAGGCCAGGAGTTCAGGACCAGCCTAGGCAACATAGCGAGACCCTATCTCAAAAAAAAAAAAAAAAAAATCCAAAATTACATGTATTTATAAAGTAATAAAGCAGTGCTTGTTCTCAGGGTTGTGCCAGTGCAGGGTGGGCACCTGCTATCAATCACCATCTTAGATGTGGCACCCTGGTTTCTCTCTCCTTTCCTGTTCATGTCCCACCCTGTTCCCAACTCTCCCCTTTCTGAGGCTCCGCAACTCTCCTGCCTGCATGAATGTGGGCAGCATTGGTCTGAGGCATTGTTCCCAGTCTTGAGGAGGCCTTGGGAGCCTCAGGCATCTTCTTAAGAAGCTCAGTGTCCCGCCCGCCAGGCCCGGGAATGCCCATGGCTAACAGAACCTGTGACCTGCTGGCAAGTGACAGCCCTGGTTCCTGGCTGCAGAGGAGGAACCAACTCCACTGTCGGGGCTCATCTCCACTGTCTCCAGGCAGAAATGGAGATAGAAGGTGTGAGTGAAGCCACAGCCCCAGGCAGAACCCTCAGATCCACAGGGACTGAGGCCCAGCATCCCCAGATCAGCTGGCAATGAATGCGGAGCTCTGCCGGGGAATGCCCTCTTCCCCTGTGGATTGGCCCGGCTTGGCTCCTTCATGCCTGGAGCCCAGTGCTTGTCTCTGCAGGACGCCTGGAGTGACCAGAAGGGGCAGATCCACCTGGATCCCCAGCAGGACTACCAGCTGCTGCAGGTGCAGAGGACCCCAGAAGGCCTGACCCTGCTTTTCAAGAGGCCCTTTGGCACCTGCGACCCCAAGGATTACCTCATTGAAGTAAGGGGTGGCCGCGAGTACCCAGGAGGGCGTGGGCTGCGTGTATCATGCTGCCATCCTGTGCCAATGTCATAGTACCTTTCCTGTCCCTGATAAGTCTGGGGCCTGGGCCTGGCCAGCTATGACAGAGAGAAAGCCAAGGAGGATGGCCAGAGGCAGTGGTGGGGCCAAAGCACTTAGGATGGTCCAGCTCTGCTATTGCCCCTGAGCCCTCAAAGACGCAGCTCTTTGCCAACACGTAGCTGACATGGTTTCTAGATGCGGGGCTTGTGCTGAAGCCTCTCCCATTGGACTAGACCTTGCTTCTGGATGTCTCTCTCCTCCTGGTCCTGTTAACCATCAGGTGGGATTCTGGAGCCCAGGCGACCTGGCTTTCCATCCCGGCCCTGTTGCCAGCTCGCTGTGAGGCTCGGGACAACTGCCCCCCTCCTCTGGACCTCACTTTGCCCATCTGTAAAATGGAGATGGGAACTAGATGATCTGTATGGCCTGACCAACTCTGGGAGTTCATGGGAGCCATAAAACATTGTAAAAGCCATAGGCTTCTTATGCTGCTCTAAGAGCCCCCCAACCTCTTAGGGAAAGCAACCCACCTTGCCCTTGAAGACAAAACTCTTTTAACTCTAGCACACCTGACAGCTTTTGTCTTGTGTAAGTAATCCTTTGGTGTGGCAGTGGCCTGGGCTGGCCGTTAGTGCCAGGTCTTAATCATGGGTGTAGCTGAGTGACCACACGGGAGGCCAGTGCCATCGAAAGATTGATTGCATTTCCGGAGAGAAGGGGCACCTGTGCCGTGCAGGGCCACCTGCAGAGCCCTGGGTTTGGTCAGGAGGCAGATGCAGGAGCTAGGGGAGAGCCCAGGCCTGAGGCTTTCTTGGGGTTTCCATGGGAAAGGCCAGGCAGGGCAGGGAAGTTGCTTCATTTGGACAATTCTGGTGGGCTCTGGGTGGCCGGGGTGGTCTCTAGTTGCCTGGTTCCTGGCCCTAGGGTGATTTAGGGCTGAGGCAATATTGGCCTGGTGTGTGACAGTCAGGTGGAGGAGGTGGCTAAGGATATGGGCTTGGGACGGGTTGGAGGGTTGGGAATATGATTCTCACACAAGCGTGAATGTTGGAGGGAAGGGCAGGTGTAAACAACTCTGGCCATCTGTTTGAGCCTGCAATCCATTAATAGATGCCAAATAGACAAATACGGAATCTAAGAAAACAGAACAGCTGGCTGTTTGCCAGATGAGGAAACTAAGGCCCGGAGACGGGGAGTGGATGTACCCAGGGGTTCGGGGTGTGCTGGGGCAGACCTGGTGCCAGAAGAGGTGTTCTTCCAGGAGGTTGTTGAGCCCTTACCCTGCTTCCCAGTGGACGAGGCAAGGGTGAGCAGAGAACCCTCTGGAAGCACCTCACAGGGGGAGGCCAATGCCTGTGTGTGCTCAGCCCAGTGGCCCCAGGCCAGGTATAGGGGCCTTTGCCTGGAGTTCTGGGCGTCCCCTGCACAGGGCGGCCCATCGGCTTTCCGCAAACTCAAAGAGCAAATTAGCCACCCACACGGGTCTGCACTGTGGAGTGCCCAGAAAGCTATGAAAGGCACTTTCCACACCCGATCCCCGTTTCCATTCATGACAGCATGTGAGGAAGCCAGCCCCACAGCTTGCCTCCTGAGTCTGCCTGTGGCCTCCAGCACCGCGTAGATCCATGGAGCTTTCTGTGGCTGCTTGGTCCCCTCCTGCCAAGCTGGTGGTGACTACATAATATAGCGTGGCTCCGCAGCTCAGCGTGACCATCAGCAAGCCCCAGGGTGTTTCCTTCCCTTCATAGAGGGCACTGAATCCTCAGGCTGGGCTGCTGAACTGACCAATGATCCCCCACACCCAGTCCCCAGTGACCTTGGGGTTGGTGGAGGGAACAAATGTTCCGGCCACACTGGCTCACGGCGGGCCCAGTAGTCACTGGTTGAATGGATGTTAAGTGAATGTAGGTGGAATGTGTTTAGAAGAGAAAAGTATTTGATGGCCGGTGCAAATAGGGGATCCTGGGGGTCGTCAGCCCGGGATTTGGCCCCAGCCAGGGCCATGCAAGCCTCAAGGGTCCCTTATTCACAGAGATGAGAGTGAGGTGTGTCACCTGGTAGGTGTGGGTGGGCAGGGATGTGGCATCCTCTCAGGAGCCCAACTCTGGGGGCTCTGAGAGGGCGACCAGCTGAACCCTGTCTCGGCTGCAGGACGGCACTGTCCACTTGGTCTACGGGATCCTGGAGGAGCCGTTCCGGTCACTGGAGGCCATCAACGGCTCGGGCCTGCAGATGGGGCTGCAGAGGGTGCAGCTCCTGAAGCCCAATATCCCCGAACCGGAGTTGCCCTCAGACGCGTGCACCATGGAGGTCCAAGCTCCCAATATCCAGATCCCCAGCCAGGAGACCACGTACTGGTGCTACATTAAGGAGCTTCCAAAGGGCTTCTCTCGGCACCACATTATCAAGGTACGTGCGGGTCCAGGGCCGAGGTCCTCGCCCAGCCCTGCCTTCCTCCCGGGCCTGGGTTGTCCCTGACCCTGGAGAGCTGTCCACAGTCCTGGTTGGACCAGGTGTCCTCTTATCACTGGAACCTCAGGCACCTGCCTGAGCAGGGGAGCAGCAAGTGGTCTTGGCTTCCCCATCACTCTGCTCACTCCCCTACCCTCAAAGGGCCTTGGAGCTCCCACTTCCCTGCCTGGACCAAAGTGACCAACATCTTGACTTCTGCATCTTTCCTTGGGACTGGAACTGCTGTCTGTCTGCCAGGCCACCTCCCCCTTCATGAAAAAGCAGCTCGAGTCAGAACTCACTTGCTCTCGAACACCCGTCCGGGGAAGACAGAATAGCAAAGGCGATAGCTGTCGAGTGTCCACTATGCCACTAGTCCCGGGGGAGGGGCGAGGTGATCCCTCCTTCATCATAAGAGCCCCTAGTTTCCAGCAGAGGAAGTGTGGCCCAGGGAGGTTGAGTGTCCAGGGTCACATAGCAAGAAGGGGCATGTCCTTGAAGGTGCACTCAGAGAGGTTATGTGAGTGTCCAGAGTCACACAGCAGGAAGAGGCATGGCCTTGAAGGTGCGCTTTGGGCCCGGGCTCTAACCTCAGGGCTGCCCTGCCTCCCACTGGGGCTGCAGGAGCTGGCCCGGCCACAGCCCCATATGCATGAGGACGGCTGCGTCCTGTCCCTGCCTTGGCCTGTACGAACCTCATTTCCTTCACTCTGGAGCTGCCTACGGGATTTCTTTCTGGGCTGATGGCTCCACCCTCAAGGCTGTGAACCCCAGAAGTGCCCCTGAAATTGTCTGGATCATCCCTCCCATTTTACAGATGGGCATTCGGAAGCCCATGGAGGAGGGCTGCTGGGGAGGGGAGGGTGGGCGGCCGGTTCCCGGGCTCAGAGGGCTGCCTCCTCACAGTACGAGCCCATCGTCACCAAGGGCAATGAGGCCCTTGTCCACCACATGGAAGTCTTCCAGTGCGCCCCCGAGATGGACAGCGTCCCCCACTTCAGCGGGCCCTGCGACTCCAAGATGAAACCCGACCGCCTCAACTACTGCCGCCACGTGCTGGCCGCCTGGGCCCTGGGTGCCAAGGTGCGTGCCCTGCGACCCCAGCATGGTGTCTCCTGCCTGGGCCCCTGGCATCCCCACACCTCTGTTTCCCCAGCTTCACCGTCTCAGAGGCTTCAAGAAGGGGCTCCCAAGGGGGCTCACGAGGCCACCAGAAGGGCCAGGCCTGAGGTGGCCCCCTCGCCTCTGTGATGTCTGAAATGCTTCAAGCCTTTTTTTTATTTTCCACAGAAACGCAAGTGCCGCAGGACCTTATGCCCTCAGTGGGTCCTGATTCTGTTTCCCAACTGGAGTCAGGGTTTTGTGTACAGGTGGTCCCAGGGCTGGCTGGCGGTGGGGCCAGTGTTGAGGCCTCCACAGGCTGAGACGATGGGGGTCTCCCCAGCTCTTACACCCGTCTAGAGAAGGGGTTTTGGGGGAAGGCTCAGCCCTAGGCACCAGCTCCTCTCCCCAACTCCCTGACCCGAGTCTCACAGGATGTTCCTGGGGCGTGTAATGAGCTGCCTGTCAGGAGGAAGCATCGCTCTAATCCTGCTGCGCCCCCTCCACCACCCCTGAGGCTCAGGCCCCAACAGTTGACTGGGTTTGCCCCTGCCCAGACCTGGGGCCCTCTCAGGACACACCCGTCTGTCTGACACCTTGCCCCACACAGGCATTTTACTACCCAGAGGAAGCCGGCCTTGCCTTCGGGGGTCCAGGGTCCTCCAGATATCTCCGCCTGGAAGTTCACTACCACAACCCACTGGTGATAGAAGGTAGGCGGCTCTGCTGCCATCCTCCTCAGAAGCCCTAGGACTCAGCTGTGTTGAGCCAGTGAGCAAATCCCGCCCTTCGTCTGCCCAGCATGGTGCCCCCGCTGTACAGCTCCTCTTGGCACGAGGCCCTTGCGTCTGCCTCATCCGCTGTCCATCTTCCATGGCTGTGGTGGGCTCCCAGGGACAGGACCTCGAGGGGCTCACTCCTCACAGCTTCGCCAGGGCCCAGCAGTGGCCCCACACCTCCCTCCTCGTCCCTATAATACGGGCTGCCATCGGCGCAGCACTGTGCATCCCAGGGGAAAGGACAAGGAGAATTTTCATAAGGGAAGCTGCCAGATGCCAAGTTCCAAATACAGGGAGAGGTGTGTGCATAAACAGGGAGGTGGTAGTAAAGCAGGGCATATTCCAGGACACAGGCGCTCCGGCCTGGCCAGAGTGCAGGGACGGGAAGGGGAGCTGGGGCAGCTGCTGTTGGATCACCCATACCTGAGGGTGGAGTGAGCAGGGTCAGCTTTTAGCATGGCAAGGCCAGGTGATGCTGTCTCAGAAACTGAAAAAAATACTTCCCTCTCTCTGTTGCACCAGCATCTTTCACCATATATAGACACACACGCACACAATGCACACACACACGCACACACACATGCACACATGTACACATATGCACGCAGAAGCACACACATGCACACACTTTTTCTCTCTCTCTGAATGGTGCTTCTTCTTTTCATTTGTGCAAGGTGCAGAAGTGGCCTAAGAGATAGGTGCTAGGCTGTGCCTCACCACCTTGGGGACGCTGGGTGGATGACCTCACCCGCTGCCTGTTCTCCCACCTCCCACAGCTATTGTGAAGCTGGGAAAGGCTCACGCACAGAACTTGCTGTGGGCACGGGGCTGTGCTCAGCTAACAGTCGCCTGTGGTTTTTTTTTTTTTTCCTGGCTGCATAAGTAATACCTTCCGCCACTGTTGGAGTTATCTCCACATGCACAGAGAAGGGTATAAGTCAGCTTGGGCCTTAGCATGACACGGGATTTATTGCTCATTTAAACCCTGAAAGCAAATGGATTTTTGAAAACTCCTGAAGCATCAGGGAAGTCTGTCTCTTCATGATTATCTGGTTGTATTTATGGATCCTTTGCCAAATATAAGGACGCTCCTGTCACTTCACCCATCTTGAGATGGGCTGCTTTTCTATAAATATCAAAATCCCACAATTATTTCATGATTTAATCCCCATCTGAATTTTAACCAATTGCAACACCCTTTTTATTATTATCCTCTGATGTAATCAGCCTGGAGATACAGGAGCCGTTTGAGTTTGGATGGTGTAGGGGTGTCGAGGGAAGAAGGCAGAGGCAAGAGGAGTTGTTTTGGCCTCATCTTAAAGGAAACAAGTAGGGAGATGGTTGGGCCCCCTGGAAGTGCCCTGCACCCCAGTCCACAGCCCTGGGTTTGAACCTCAGCTTGGCCACTTCCCAGCCCTGTGGTCTTGTGTGGAGTCTTCAGTTCAGGCTCCATCCTCAGTTTCTTAATCTGTGAAATAGGGCTGATGATTCTCACTGTGCAAAACTTCCATGAAAGGGGTAGGTTATGCTTAGAGCATTTTTGGCACCCAGGGAAGATGTTAGTATCTGTACCACCCTCTTGGTTTGATCAGAAAGGGCAATGCATGTACACTGGTGAGAAGATGGACAGCAGAAAAGCATGAAGAAGATGAAACCACCCCCCAGCTCCCGGCTCCAAGTTTTGAAGTGAGCACTGGTCACCCAGCTATGTGTCTGTCCTGACTGCTTTTCTGGCCCATTAATTTTTTTCTTGTGACTAGAATTTTATATCTTTTTTTTTCATTGTTGTTTGTTTTTTTACTTAAACTTCATCAGAAGCCTCTTCCCTGTGAATTAAAACCCCTTGTCAATTTCACACTCCTTGCCGCCTGACATCCCTTTCCTGTACATAACCCAGGGGGCAGAGCCTCCTGCTGCACAGCCCCTCCAGACCACCCCGCCATGTCCGCCATGTCCACCATGTCCACCATGCATCCGGGGGCATGGGGCCAGGCCTTTAGATCCTCCGCCAACCATGAGCCCAGCCGGTACTCAGAGCCTGGCTGCTGATTCACTAGGCATGGAGTTTCAGGAACGGTGGGGCTACCTGGATGACACCTGGTTGTGAGGATGTTCGAGTGGGTGCCAGCATCCCTGAACCTCTGTTTTTTTGTTTTGAGACGAAATCTCACTCTGTCACCCAGGCTGGAGTGCAATGCACGATCTCAGCTTAATGCAACCTCCGCCTCCCAGGTTCAAGCGATTCTCCTGCCTCAGCCTCCTGAGTAGCTGGGATTATAGGTGCGTGCCACCACACCTGGCTAATTTTTGTATTTTTAGTAGAGACAGGGTTTCGCCATGTTGGTCAGGCTGGTCTCGAACTCCCAACCTCAGGTGATCCACACACCTCGGCCTCCCAAAGTGCTGGGATTACAAGGCGTGAGCCACCGTGCCCGGCCCCCTGGACCTCTGACCATCAGTTTCATGTGACCACTGGGAGGCTGGCCCAGGGAGCTTCAGGGACTCTCCAATTAGCAAACGGCAAGGAGAACTAACAGGTGTGGCCACACCATAATCAGGAGACACAGTCTCCGTGACTCGAAGAAGCACCATGTTATTCCTTTGGAAGAGGCCCTTGAGTGTGGGCTGAGGCTCATAAAGGGACAGCAAGTCATCTGAGAGCACACAGCACGCTGTTGACCAAGCAGGACCTGGCCTGTGCATGAACGGGGGCTAGACCTGCAACGCTGGCCCTCCTCCTGGGGGGCCACATTCTCACTCAAATTGTTCCTGAGATGTCAGCTTGGTAGGTGGGTTCCTTGGGTCTGCAGGACATAAATCAAAGTA
This sequence comes from Homo sapiens, assembly GCF_000001405.40. Lineage (NCBI taxonomy): Eukaryota > Metazoa > Chordata > Mammalia > Primates > Hominidae > Homo > Homo sapiens. The sequence continues at coordinate 133,647,213 of NC_000009.12, forward strand.
GTAAAAGTGGGGGCTGCTGGGAGGATGTGCTCCTTGAATGCTTCTTGTTAACCTCAACACAGAGATACACTCACACTTGCCCAGCTTTGACGCAGGGCCAGGGCTCTTCTGTGCCATCGGCAGATGGGAGTTCCATGCCCTCTTCTTTGCCCAGACCACACCCTGCAGGTTGTCACCGTCTTGCAGGCTGATTTCCAGCTTAGGTTCCTTTGAACGTGGAAGAAGAACATCAAAGCACTTATGAAACAATCTGAGCACAGAACTCAAGTTGTTTACGAGTTTCCGTCTATCAGCAGCATCTCACCCGCACCTGATTCCATGGAGGCTTTAAGTGGCTCACGTTGATCACATCTTTCCATAGCATTCAACTAGTTTTCATAGAAACAGCAGCTCTTTCTTCCCAGTGAGTGTAGCCTGTTTGCGTTAATTGATCTTGCGAGCTGCCTGGCATCCACAGGTGTGGAAACAAAGACAGCCAGCTCTTGGTCTGCCTAGCAGGTGGGAGCAGATGGGGGGTGACCGGCCCTGCCTCCTGGCTGAGGGTGGCTGGGGTCATAGGGATAATCTGTCCGCAGGGGGAAGTGAGAGGGCCTCCACTTACCGCTCACCTCCATCCATCCCACCTTCTCCCAGGACGAAACGACTCCTCAGGCATCCGCTTGTACTACACAGCCAAGCTGCGGCGCTTCAACGCGGGGATCATGGAGCTGGGACTGGTGTACACGCCAGTGATGGCCATTCCACCACGGGAGACCGCCTTCATCCTCACTGGCTACTGCACGGACAAGTGCACCCAGCTGGTGAGTGGGGCTGGGCCCGGCACTGCACCCTCCCTCCTCCCGCGTCCCTCAGTGGAGGCCTGGCAGGTCGTGGCCCACGAAGGGTGGCAGGCACAGCTTTGGTTTCCCCTGACCCTGAATCCCCCTGCGGTCCTCCCTCTTTTCTGTATGCAAGGGAACCCTGCTGCTGAGAGGCCATTTGTGTGTGTATGCACCTCCCTCTCCAGCAATAACCATGGCTCCCACTAGTCCACACCCACGTGCCAGGCTTCCACGAGCTGCATTTTAAAATATGCCTTCATTATGTAAGCAACACACACATGCACTTGCCACTCACAAGCGCAGGCACTGCAGCTAAAGAGAACGCTCCCCTCATCCGCTGCCGCCTCCCCCTGAGATAGCCACTTCTTGGCTCTTTGTGTCCTTCCAGACCTTTTTCCTGTATATTTCAGGAAGCTCTTGCAGGTGTTAGAAACCTTTTGTGTTTTTAAAAAGTTGTATTGAATAGTTAACAAATTTTTCAACAAATGGGAGGCATTTTTCTGGTGATTTGCCTTTTTATTGCTGCATAGTATTCCACAGGATGGGGTTTTCACCACGCACCTGAGCAGGGCAGGACTAGGTGAGGCAGTGAAGTGCCGGGTACAGGATCTCAGGGAGCACCCGTCCTCAGGGCTATGCACGCTGGGTGGAGGCACAGGTTGGCGCTTAGACTGGCGCCAACAGCAGGTCCTGTCCTTGGCTTCTGGTGAGTTCAGAGAGTGACTACTAAAATCTCCTCCTTTGCTTGCCCTATCTTGGTCCAAGCCTGTGCTGAACTGTCTCCCTATCAATCAGTGTCTAGGCTGTTCTCAACTTTTCACCAATAGAAAGAAGCTTCTGGGAAATCCTTGTCCATGTAGGAAACCATTTTCTCATGTAGATTTCTAGGCATGAAATTGCTGCTCAGAGATGTGAGTGTTCCCTTGAGTAAATCTTGCAAAATGCCCCTCAGAAAGCCCATCTTCTGCTCCCTCCCACACATAGGACGAGAGGGTGCCCGGTTTTACTGACCCACTGGATTATTAATATTGTAAATATTTTCTGTCATTTGGGAGGAAGACATGTCAGTGTTGTTTAACTTGAATTTTCTATTTGTGGACTTGAGGATCTTTTCCTCTGCCTCTTGGCCATTTGTTCCTGTTTTCTGTTCATTCCTATGCTCGGTTTTTCCAGTAGGTGGTTTGTTTTTCTTACTGTTGGTTTCTAGGAGTTCTTCTTATATGATGGATGTTATTTCATAGTTTGTGTATATGTTACAAACATTTCCTCCTGTGCGGTAGCTTTACTTCTCACAGTGACCTGCAAAGTAAGTGTTGACGTACCCATTTCACAGATGGGGAGACTGAGGCTTGCTGGGATCACACTGCCAGCAGTCACGCAGAGTGAAGATTCAAATACCAGTCTGTCTGACTTTGAAAGCTGTGGCCGTGACAGCAGATTTCGTTGTAATGAGGTTTAGAGTGGATTTTCCTTCCTAGTAAATGGGTCGATTGGGATTTGTTCTTCATGTGGGTGAGCCCCCAGAGCATCCCAGTCTTCCAAGCAAAGGTTCCTCAAGGCTGAAGGGAGACGGAGCTCTCAGCCGGCATGGCACCCATTGTCTCCGGCAGGAAATCAGCTCCTTTTGTCCCAGACGGGGGTGGACACTCTCTCCCACTTCCCTAAAGCGCCCACTGGTGAAGCGTGGGCCCATGTAAAAGGCACCTTGGCCAGGGCTCATGGGGAAGAGCGGCTTCCGGCCAGGCAGCACTCACTGCCCCTTGCAGGGCCTTGGGGCCTTCGACCCCGCTGACCGCTGACTGTGAGAACGCCTCTCTCCAGCCTCAGGAATACAGACCCGCCTCCCCTTGCCAGAGTCCTCCACTACCTTAAGTAACAGAATGAGAATGTTCAGTCTTGTCTCTCCTTTGGCAGATAAAAGAGGGGCACAAATTCTGCAGCCAAAATCTGGCCTAGTCTAGCTATCCCAGTGAAATAGGCCAAGACAAGAGTGCTGCTTTGGACCAGAGTGCCCAGAAGAGCATAGTCCTCCCTCCACCTGGCCGACACCTGGCATCTCTGGGCCAGGGTCGGCCTCTGGGGGCCAAAGGGGCATTGGGACCCTTTGGGCTCCCAGGCCTGGCACACAGTGGCCTCTCAAGCCATTGCAAGGGACACAAAGCTATAGGCGACGGCAAGGTCAGGGCGGCCGCTGCTTGGGAGCGAGAGGGAAGGAGCAAAAGTGAGTCCTAAAAAGCTCGGCCATCTGGGACCTTCAGGGATGGGGCTGTCGGGACCTTGAGCTCTGGGACCTGCTGACTGCATGAACAAACTGGGCAGAGCCTGGCAGCGGGTGGGCAAAAGGACAACTGACTCACAAAGAAAATGCTCGATTTCAGGAAAGACGTGTTCTTTTCTTTCCTTCTTTCCTTCTTTTCTTTCCTTTCTTTTCTTTTTCTTTCTTTTTCTTTTTCTTTCTTTTCTTTCCTTTCTTTCTTTCCTTCCTTCCTTCCTTCTCTTTTCTTTCTTCCTTCCTTTCTTTTTTTTTTTTTTTGATGGAGTTTCGCTCCTGTTGCCCAGGCTGCAGTGCAATGGCACAATCTTGGCTCACTGCAACCTCTGCCTCCCGGGTTCAAGTGATTCTCCTGTCTCAGCCTCCTGAGTAGCTGGGATTACAGGCACGTGCCACCATGCCCGGCCAATTTTTGTATTTTTAGTAGAGGCGGGGTTTTACCATGTTGGCCAGACTATTCTCAAACTCCTTACCTCAAATGATCCATGTGCCTCAGCCTCCCAAAGTGCTGGGATTACAAGCATGAGCCACCATGCCCAGCCATGGAAATGCATTTTCTATCTAAAAAAAGTTAGCATTAGGTTAGAGAAAACTTTCGTTCTCTGGAAGATTCTCTCATGCCCCAGTGATGGCATAAGACCTCTTGAGATGAGGGCTGCCATCTTTTCTGTGAGGCCGGCCTGCAGCCTCAGAGTGTCCAGCTGCAGCACCCCATGGTCACATCCATCTTGGTCCTGGATGACCACCTTCCAGTTGTAGCTACAGCTCCCAGCTGTAGCACGGGGTGATGCTGAGCACAGGGAGAATGCAGCCTTGGCTGCTTTGAAGCTGAAAGGAAGCCACAACGCAGGGCAGCTGAAGGTCCTGCTCGGCCCACCACGTAGGGGACCTGCCAAGTACCACCTTCTGCCACTTGCTTTTCCCTGGACAGCAAGCTCTTCAGCACAGAGGCCACGCGCTGCTCAGCTTGGTGGCTTTGCCACACCCTGTCCACGGGAGGCTCGCCTTAAAGGCCTGTTGACTGAGTGAAGATGAACCTGTCAGGCTTCAGGGGCTCAGGAGAGGATGAAGGACTCGGAAAGAAAGTCGCTCCTGAGTGGGACTAGGGGCTGCTTCTTTGGGAGCTGGGGGCTGTTGCGGCCCCCTCGCTCTTCCCCGTGAGGTTTCTGATGGTGGCTCTAACCTGGCCGGGGAGAAAGACCTAGAAAATGCAAGTGTTCCAGGGAAGCAAACTGCCCAGGGTGGCTGCTCCCTACCGGGTCCTGGCCATGGACGGGAGGGTCCCCTCGGGGGTCAGGCCCTGACACTGCAGCCCCCCGACCCCACAGGCACTGCCTCCCTCCGGGATCCACATCTTCGCCTCTCAGCTCCACACACACCTGACTGGGAGAAAGGTGGTCACAGTGCTGGTCCGGGACGGCCGGGAGTGGGAGATCGTGAACCAGGACAATCACTACAGCCCTCACTTCCAGGTAGGAACCTGCACCCCACCCCTGCCCCGCCCCCACACCCTGCCACCACACGACCTCCTGGGTCTACTGTTTCCTGACACCATAGGGATGGCTCCAGGCTGGCTTCTTTTTCCTGGGCCAGCCCCACCCGCCCCCCACCCATGTGGCCTGTGCTCCCCACTTGGGTGTCTGGTGTCTGATCGTAGGGAGGCCTCTGGCACATGGCAGATGGTGGTGGGATTCGGGAGACCCAGGCGGCCCTCTGGGAACATCAATCTTGGTCTTGGATAACCACCTTCTGGTTTGAATCTAATGCCCTCCCTGGCCAGAAGCCACACTTAGCGGGCTCTGGCTTCCACTGTAGAGGCTGGGGCAAAATGGACACCCCCAGAGGTCAGGGAGGCCTGAGGGAGGACACAGTGGCCGGGGGTCTGGTCTGCAGCTCTCTGAGGTCTCCTCTCCCCCACCCCTCGGCTCTGCCTGCCCCAGGAGATCCGCATGTTGAAGAAGGTCGTGTCGGTCCATCCGGTGAGTGCCCAGCGGGAAGGCTGTCCCACTCACTGCCACCAGCTGGGGTGGCTGAGAGGGCTGGGGGTGCCACCAGAAGGAGAGGGACACAGAAAGTGATAGGGGGAGGGAGAGCCATCCAGGGCAGGGGGAGGGTGCCTGTGGGTGGCTCTGGGCTGGGCTACCTCATGGGGAGACTCACTCAGGAGTTCATGGAGAGACGTTGGAAAGAGTGGAGCAGACAGGACACTCCCAGGGGACGCGTGTCCTCAGTCTGATGGGCCGACCACAAACCCGAGAGTGTTTGGGGGAGATGAGGGCACTAAGGCAGGCAGTGGAGCCCTGATCCCACAGAGGGCCAAGCCCAGGCCTCGGTGGGGACTTGCCCAAGTCCTTTGAGATGTGTCATGGCCCACCAGCTGCACCCCCACTGGCCTGGGCCCTGGCCCTGTTGTGACCCACTGGGTCACAGGAGCTGATGGTTTATAACTTGCTCGGGAACACTCAGCCTGTGACCTTCGCACATGAATCTGCTGGGCTCCTTGTAGTGGACGACAGGGACTGTACCCCAGAGGTGCCGTGGCATGCACAGTGGCGTGGTCCTATGGGGGCGAGGCCTCCAGCACCTGCCAACGCCAGGTGGCAGGTGCTGATGGTCACATTGGCTTTTCCTCAGGGAGATGTGCTCATCACCTCCTGCACGTACAACACAGAAGACCGGGAGCTGGCCACAGTGGTAAGTCACCCCCGCTTCCCCCTGCACCTGCCCAGGGCGAGTGTTCAGCCTGAGCCATCTGAGGAAGGATGACAGGTCTTGACTCCTCACTTAGGGCATGGGCTCGTCCCCTCAATAAGCCAGTCGTTCTCAGCTCCCTGAACCACAGTGGCAGCATCACCAGGGAGCTTGGGATGAATGCAACCTCCTGGGTGCCACCCCAGGCCCACTGAGTCAGAGACACAGGCGGTGGCATCGGGCAATCCATGTTTTAACAAGCTCCCAGCGGATGTTGACCCCTGCTCAAGGTTGAGAAGCACTCACACCAAGAAGCTTCTCAGCACCCGGGGCTGGTGTGGGGAGAAGCTGTAGGACAAGAGGTTGACCTTTGCCCCGTGGAGCTCAAGGTGCACCAGGGAGACAGGCCTGGAGCACCTGCTGCTAACAACAAGCAAAATTACAAAACAAAACTTTAAAAACCAGGTTGAGGAGGCAGAGGTGCGGGGACCTGGGAGGGCCTTGTCAGAAATGTGGCTGTCACATGGAGCCCAGGGGAGAGGGGAGGAGGTGAAGGAAGGCTCTGTGCAGGGGCTGCGTGCGGGAAGGCCCAGAGGACCAAGAACATTCTCAGGATGGAAAGGAGAGGAGGAGAGGGTGGAGACATGGGTGGGGGTCAGGCAGGATGAGCGTCAGCTGAGGATGCATTTTGGCTGGACTGCAGACAGTTCAAGGAGAATCTGCACTGGAGAGATCTATTTTCAAGGCTGGGTATGCAGGCAGCACCAGGACACGGGCAGCCACGTGATGCATCACGCAGCGGGGCTGCTTCCGGGAGCCAAAGGGGATGCTGTTCACAATTACCTGGGTCCCAGGCACAAGCCAGGGCTGTCCTGGCAAATGGGCCACCTTGCCAGTGGATCCGTGCCAGCTGCTTCGGTAACCATGGTGGTCTCCAATAATTATCCTGTGAATTGTGTGGCTCAAGTGGAGCAGACCTGGGTTACAGCTACCCTGACATCCCTCAGCGCCAGGAACTCAGGTCCATGTCACAGCCCTATTCTTTGTGTTTTAATCCAATGTGGATTCACCTGATGTTTACTGAGCCCAGACTGCCAGTGGTTTATTTTATTTTATTTTATATTTTATTTTTTTTTGAGACGGAGTCTCGCTCTGTCACCCAGGCTGTGTGTTCTCAGCTTGCTGCAACCTCCACCTCCCGAGTTCAACCGATTCTCCTGCCTCAGCCTCCTGAATAGCTGGGACTACAGGCACCCACCACCACGCCTGGCTAATTTTTGTATTTTTAGTAGAGATGGATTTTCACCATGTTGGCCAGGCTGGTCTCAAACTCCTCATGTAATCCCTCATGCTGGGATTACAGGCATGAGCCATAGCACCCAGCCAGTGTTTGTATTTTCACAGGTGAGACATAAAGGCTCAGAGAGGGCAGGCACTTGACCAAAGTCACACAGCTGATAGATGGCTGAGCTGGGATTTGACCCAGGGTCTTGTGCCTCACAGCTGTTACCCCACCCTTCCTGTCTCCCTTGGATTTCAGGTGACAAGTGTCCTAGGTTCCTGATCACAAACTCAGGGTGGAGACAGGACAGCTTTGTCAGTCCTTTATTCTCTCTAGAGGAGGTGCTCAGTATATCACAGCAGTGGCTGATGTCGGGTGCTTGCCACAGCTCAGCACTGCTCTAATAACTCATCCTAACCACACCAAGCCTTGCTGAGACCTCTGAGCAATCCCACCAGGAGATACAGTGAGGTCCAGCCACTCAGGCCACACAGCGAACAGGAGGCAGGGCTGGTATGGGTGCAGGTGCCAACCCCGACTGTGCCGCCTCTCGGCTAAGCACCTGTGCAGTGACTGAGTGGGCTCGCAAACAGAGGGCTCTGCAGGTGGAGCACCCCAGGCAAGTCCCCACCATCAGCCCCATTCTGCAGGCGCGGCCCCGGGGCCAGGGATGGGAGGGTCTTGCCGGGCATCCAGCGAGGAGACTGCATATTCCCTGCCCAATCTGGCTTCACGGCGGCGGAACTGACGCCACGTCCCAGGGCGTTCGGGGCTGCCAGGCCTGGTGAGCACCGCGGACATCTCAGATGGCCGTTCTGCAGGTTGAGGCCCTCGGTGCCAGCGTCCCCGTGGGCAGTTCTGTGGCTTCCCTGGCCCATGTCGTCCTCTTGGCAGTGGCCACATCACAGCACCAGGTGGGATCAAAGGGGAGGGCAGCTCCCCAGGTGGACCTGAGCTTCTCACACTCTGACAAGCCCTCGCCTGCTGATCCAAGACACAGTGGCCTTTGAAATTCGATTTCCTTCCCCAGGTGAAAGAGGAGAACAGATTCTACACAGGGTCGGACTCAGTTCCCTTTTGATGTCTGTGGTGGCAGAGGGTGGGGAGGGACAGGAACTCACACAGGAGGGCAATCGTCCCGATCTGACGGGGGCGGGATGGATGAGAAAAGCTGGGAAAGGAGGAATCCGGCCCAGAGAACAATGCTGGCAAAAACGCGTCCTGGCCAACAGGTGCCAGGTTTCGTCTCTGGGCAGAACTGTCCCATGCTCTTTGTCTGCACGGGAGGAGGGGGCGGCAGCTGGTGTAAGTGCCACGCCAAGCTTTGCCCAGTCCCTTTGTTCTGCCATAGAGTAAAGATTGCCTTTCTTCCCCACCAGCCAGATGAAATCCCCAGGCCCACAGCAGCTTCACAAACAGCGGGGAGCCTGGAGGGGCAAGGGTGGCCAGGGCGTCATGTCCCGGCCCCTGACCTGCTGGGATCTGAGCTGCTGCCGGGGGAGCTTTGCTCTCTCCAGCCCCAGCTCCTCCAAGCTGCTGCTGTTCTTCCTCCTATGGCTGAGGCTCCACGGTCACCAGCTCCAAGAGCAGCAACCCAGCGAGGGGCTTAAAGCTGGCAGTGGGGACTCAGAGGGTGCCTGCCCTGCCCCTCCCATGCGATGGCAGGCCGTAGGGTTGCCGTGAGAGGCTGGAGGTTGTCGCGGCCTCTAGTCACGGTCCTGTCTTATAGAGTCCCTGCTCCCCTCAGAGCCACGTTGGAGAAATGACTGGTGGACGGTGCGGGGCTGCAGTGGAAAGGGCCTCCCTTGCAGTCCTTGGCTCCAGGCTCTCGCTGGAGGTCATGGGGACAGCTTCCAGACAATGGCCGGGACGCTGGGTGCACTCAGGCTGTGCCACCGATGCTGTGGCCACCACGGGGCATCCCCTTGCCTGCTCTGAGACTCAGTTTCTGTACCCATAAAATGGGCACAATAACACCCCATCCGCTTGTCCCGTTTCATTTTTCCTCACAGCATCATCAGTACCTGATACGAATTTCCTGGTTGACTCACTCACTCACTGCCTGTCTCTCCTGCCAATGGTGGCAATTCCTTGAGGGCAGGGACTCGGTTCCCCAGAGCATGCCTGGCACGGTGCAGTGAACAGACGAGTGGACGCAGTGTACACGTGGGTGCGGCGAAAGCTGCTGGATGGCAGCGTCTGCGTGGCATGGCCCGGGGCTGACGGGTCTCCTCCAACTTGCAGGGGGGCTTCGGGATCCTGGAGGAGATGTGTGTCAACTACGTGCACTACTACCCCCAGACGCAGCTGGAGCTCTGCAAGAGCGCTGTGGACGCCGGCTTCCTGCAGAAGTACTTCCACCTCATCAACAGGTGAGGGCTCCCTGCACAAGCTCCCTGCCCCCAGGGAACCCCGACACAGAACCTCGGGCCTGTTAGGCGGCTGGGCAGATTGGAGGAGTCCAGGCTAAGTTCTAGGAGCAGAGACCTGTGGCGGCATCACTCACCCCTCCCCTCACTCGTTTCCTGCTGAGTCTGGATTTGGCTTCAGAGCCTCCTCAACCCAGCCTGCAGCAGCCATTACCCACCCGCCAAGGTGACAGGAGAGGTGAGGCCGTTGCCGGTGAAGGCAGCATCTGGGGTGGCCTGGCGGAGGCAGCGGGGCTGGGGAGGAGGTGGCAGGACGGTTGCCCCAGGGACAGGACTCGAGTTGCAGGGAGGTGTTGCTGGTGCCCACTGGGCTCCCTGCCCGTCAGCTGCTCCCCAGCCTGGCTGTTCCTTGTCCCCACCAGGTTCAACAACGAGGATGTCTGCACCTGCCCTCAGGCGTCCGTGTCTCAGCAGTTCACCTCTGTTCCCTGGAACTCCTTCAACCGCGACGTACTGAAGGCCCTGTACAGCTTCGCGCCCATCTCCATGCACTGCAACAAGTCCTCAGCCGTCCGCTTCCAGGTGCGCTGCCATGGGCCCGGGTGGGGCATGCAGTCAGGCAGGCCTCATGGGGGGCCCCAGTGAGGGGTGATGGGTCTGCACTCCAAACTGCTGGCAAAAGCACTCGCACAAGACAATGAGAGCAAGTGCCAGGTGGTGACACATAGGCCTAGACAGCCAGCCAGCCAGCAGAGAGAGAGGAGAGAGGAGAGAGAGGAGAGAGAGGAGAGAGAGGAGAGAGAGGAGAGAGGGAGAGGGAGAGAGGGAGAGGGAGAGAGGAGAGAGAGAGGAGAGAGAGAGAGAGAGAGAGGGAGAGAGAGAGAACCAATAACGAGGCAAGGAAGGGAGGGCAGGCACCCTCTCTGGTGACACCTCCACACTGTACCGAATGCCAAATGCAGGTGGTGTGAGCAGGGCGCACTAACCTGCCTAAAAATAAAGCACCAGGGGAGGGGAAGGTAAGAAACGAACCAGTCTGAAGCTGCGAGCTGGTTTTTTCCTCCTTATCTGAGACCCACTGGTATTCGAAGGCATCTAATTTATCCTGGGCCCACTGGGCTGTGGTCAGGAGGCCAGGGCCTATGCAGAGTTAGTCGCGTAAGGTGCCGCAGCCTGGAGATCCAGGAAGATCCTTCCCAGAAGCATTTGGGAGCCAGATTAACTGCTAAGTCAAACATCCTCAGCACCAAGGGAAGGAAGGGCTAATACTGGCTTGCTGAGAATAGTGTGGGGTGGACGTCTGATGGGGTTGAAAACTTGGCATTTGGTGTAGCCTTGAGGGGAAGAGATAGCTAAAAAATATCAGAGCCTGCAGCCAGGGGCTCTGGTTGCTACACTAGGGTGAATGATTAAATTGGGTGGGGACAGAGGCGGGGAGAGGCCTGGATGACTCCCAGGTTCCTGACTAGGTGAATGGGAAGCCAGGGGAGGGGGCATTTACTGAGGTGAGGACCCCCAAAAAGCAACTTGGGGGAGCAGAGTGAGTTCAGTTTGAGACAAGCTGAGTTTGAGGGCAAGAATCCAAGAGGTGGCTGGGAAGTGGCTGGGGAAGCAGCCACCCATCTTGCCCCTCCAGCCTCAGTTTACCTCCTGCCCCCTTCCTTGCAGGGTGAATGGAACCTGCAGCCCCTGCCCAAGGTCATCTCCACACTGGAAGAGCCCACCCCACAGTGCCCCACCAGCCAGGGCCGAAGCCCTGCTGGCCCCACCGTTGTCAGCATTGGTGGGGGCAAAGGCTGAGGGGGGACCTACTCCTCCCCCTCCTCCATGCTGTCCCTGTGGGCTCACACCGGCACTGTGCACTCTACTCTGCGACGATCCCCATGGAACAGCCCTGCACGCCCAGGATGAAGGGGCCAGACCACGCCCCTGCCTGAGACCACGGTCCAATCCAGCCTTCTTCCCCCAGGGTCCCCTGCATGGCTGAGAGGGTGTGGGTGCCCTGTTGACCTACCCTGGACCGAGTGGACCACGACCTCGTCCATTTAAACCCGGCTGACTCAGTGCAGGGACAGCCTGCACAGTGGTCCAGGGTCCAGCCCTCCGCCAGCCCTGTTCCGCCTCACTGGGTGTGGCCTGGCTTCTGGGACAGGCACCATGCTGGGCCGGGGTGTGGAATCACCGGGAACGCCCCCGCCCCCGCCCCGCTGCTCCCGGTGTGCAGCGGGTGCGGGTGCCGCTTAAACATTTCCCTGCTGAGTGGCTCGTGTTTCACAGTGGGCGGCTTCCCTGCGACGGAGGCAGGACCAGGCATTTAGCTAGTTAGAGACTCGCCTGGGAAATTGCTCCATTCCTGAGTAAACAGATATTTTCGCCCACCTAAAGGGAAGCCCTGACAACAACTATCACCAAAAGACGAGGCGGCAAAGATCCAGCGGGGCTTCTGGGCGCCGGTTCCACGTGGGGTGGAATTATTAGCACCAGCTTGCTTCTCTGCCGGTGGGGCCAGCGCTGAACAGACCGGGGTGGAGTCAGGGCTGTGCTTTCCGCGTGGTTCTGCCACTTAGGGAGTGTGCCTTGGGCGGGCCATTTCACATTCCTGACCCTCACTTTTCTCATCTGTAAAACCAGGCTGATGCCGTGCGGGCTAATGAGCCAATAAAGCTCACACTTGGGCTGGCACCCACTGGAGGTGGGTATGTTTGCACTCCGGGCCGTCGCTCCAGGAGAGAGAAGCTTGCTCCTGAGCCTCCTCCCTGTGCCAGGCGTGGTACCAAGTGCTTCCCCCTGAGCGTCCTGAAGCTGCCTCAGCTGGCCTGGGTGGGTCTCCCCTTCCTGCCCTCTGAGCTGCCTCTCAGGGACAAGTTCAGCTCTTTGATGGTTTCTGGAGACAGTAACAGATGCACTTGTGTTCAGCCACTTCAGCAAAACGCTGCCCAGCCTCATGGGGAGAGAGGGAGATGGATGGGCCTCGGAGTCCCCTCGCATCAGCTAAGCGGCTGCTGCTTCTGCAAGGCACTTCACTTCATCACAGAAGGGAAGTCACGAGCCCAGGAGCTCTGCCTCACGTTGTATAAATCACAGCTTCTTGTGGTCCATAAGTCACGGCGCTAGCGCTGTGAAATGCCAGGCCCCAGCCTGGAGAGCCACTCCGGCCCTCTGTCATCTTTACAGCCTAGGTGACAGTAGACACGGAGCAGGCCCAAGAAGCCTCTTCCCGCGATCACACCCAATTGCCAGCCCAGAGAAGGGTCCCAGGGTCCTGCCCAAACACCTGGGGGGCACTTGTAGCCTGCCGATCTCGGGCAGGGAAACTGAGACTCCCAGATAAGTACCTCACCTGGGGCCCAAGAGCGGCAGTGATTGGGAATCCTAGCCAGCTCTGGAACCTGCCACAGCGACAACCCCACCCCCACCTCACCCCCCACTCACACTCTTGCTCTCAGGCTGGTTATCCTCTTCCTCTTGCAGAGACAGCAGCCGTGTCCCCCCTACCCCGCTCCAGCAGTACCCGCACCTCCTACACCCAGATAAGCGTAACCCCGTGGTTGCTGAGAGTTGCCACTTGCCCCACACTGAGGCTATGCACAGCCGTGGCAATCTCGTGAAGCCATGTAGTTTCTGTTTCCATTGATGGAGGAGGAAACTGAGGCTCAGAGACCTAAAGTTAGGTGCCAAGGTCACCCAGAGTAAGCCGGGGAGCTCGAAGTGTCCCCAGGTCTGACTCCAGTGTCTGAATGCTCAACCTCTGCTTACTTAGGAAACAGGAATTTCCCCAGGACCCTTGTGGGGGATTTTATCTAAAATAAGTTCCTTATTTAGAGGCTTAGGGGAAGTGCTTTGTTACCTGAAAATGACCTACATGCCCCAAGCCAAAGGGACTCTGGGCTCGCCCACCTTCCGAATGATTGGGGTGTGAGTCCAGCAGCCCAGGTTGCTATTCCTGCCCCTGCTGTGTGACCCTGAGTTAGTTACTTTCCTTCCCTAGGCTTGGGTCTCCCTATCTGCCCACCGAGGAGAGGGTTCCCCAGCCTCCCAGGGGGCAGGGACTGCTAGGGTGGCACAACCCCCCATCTGTGAGGTGCTCAGAGCCCTGGGGTGAGGAATGCTCATGCCCATCAGTGTTGAGAGAAGTGGGGCGACCCCAGGCTCCAGCCAGCATAGGGGTGCCTGCCCGACTGGGTCCCAGAGCACACCAGGGCTGTGCTTTCTGGTGGCTGCTAGCCTCATGTGGCTACTTACGATTAATTTTAAATTAATTAAAATGATACAAGGTCGGGTGCTGTGGCTCATGCCTGTAATCCCAGCACTTTGGGAGGCTGAGATGCGAGGATCACTTGAGCCCAGGAGTTCAAGACCAGCCTGGGCAACATAGTGAAATCCTGTCTCTACAAAAAATACAATAATTAGGGCTGGGCGCGGTGGCTCACGCCTGTAATCCCAGCATTTTGGGAGACTGAGGCGGGCGGATCACCTGAGGTCGGTAGTTCGAGACCAGCCTGGCCAATATGGTGAAACCCCGTCTCTACTAAAAATACAAAAATTAGCCAGGCTGTGGTGGTGCGCGTTTGTAATCCTAGCTATTTGGGAGGCTGAGGTGGGAGAATTGCTTGACCTGGGAGGTGGAGGTTGTAGTGAGCTGAGATCACACCACTGTACTCCAGCTTGGGCAACAGAGTAAAACCCTGTCTCAAAAAAAAAACAACAACAACAAAAAAAAACAAAATGGAACCTTTCTGCGTCCCATTCATACCCCCAACTTTTCACATGGCCCAAGGCTGTCTCACTGCACACTGTGGTATAGCGCTCTGCCGGTGACGATGTAGGCACTTTCTTTTTTTTGTTGTTTTTGAGACAGAGTTTCCCTCTTGTTGCCCAGGCTGGAGTGCAATGGCATAATCTCGGCTCACCACAACCTCCGCTTCCTGGGTTCAAGCAATTCTCCCACCTCAGCCTCCCAAGTATCTGGGATTACAGGCGTGTGCCACCACGCCCAGCTAATTTTGTGTTTTTAGTAGAGATGAGACTTCACCATATTGGTCAGGCTGGTCTCAAACTCCCAACCTCAGGTGATCCGCCCCCCTCGGCCTCCCAAAGTGCTGGGATTACAGGCGTCAGTCACTGCGCCCGGCCAGTGTAGGCACTTTCAAAACAGTTTGCTCAGAATTCCTGAGAGGCAGTACTCAGCCACAGTGAGCGTCATGGTATCAATATTTCCAGAAAAAAAATTTAAAAATAGCTACGAAACGGTGTTTTTAAAGTTGAGGTCTGGAAGACCTGGCTCGGGGTCTGGGAAGGTGGGTCTTTTGTGATGTGGTCCCCGGGCGGTGCACTTGGGAGCCATGGCGGGGCCAGGACCTCTGGCAGCGCAGGGATGGAGCCCGCAGGTGATGAGCTTGGGAGGTGAGTTGTGGAGGCTGCGCTCACATCAATGCCCAGTGCCCTCCCCGAGGGGCCAGGTTCTCTCTCCACAGGGGCGGGGGAAGCACACAGGGGACAGGGAGGGGTGCTGGGTTCTCTCTCCTCGGGACAGGGAGCGCAGCCAGGTTCTCTCTCCTCGGGACAGGGTGGTGCCGTTGCGTGCATTCCCCAGCTGCAGCCACGAGAAACAATTTGGAGCGGAACCCGGGCTCTGACCTCCCCTCATCCTCAGCCTTCCCCCAGGGATGGGCCGTGAGATGAATGTGGTCACCGGCCCAATCCAGGGGTCTATGGCCAAACCGCAGACCCGGAGGAAGCAGGCCAGGCCATCTGGGGAGCCGGCTCCCCTCCTCTCCTCCCCTGGCTCCCACAAAGCTGTCTCATCCAGAAGCCAGGCCCGCCTGTGAGCAAGGGGAGGCTGCAGGTGTTCCTTCAGCCTGAAGCGTGTGAAAGCCAACAGCCCCCACCCTGGTCTCCAGCCGCAGCCCCCTCCCCAGACTCAGGGGGCCAAACCCACTTTTCACAGCCATCTGTAACCCAAACGTCTGCCCACAGCTTTGTTCGAGCTCAGTCCACAGTGGGCCGCGTGGCCTGGGAGCGTCCAGTGGCAGCTGGGGCCTGCCAGGACTGCTGCCCCCAGATCGCTGTTTGCTGTGTGTGTGGCTCTGTGGGGCCCCGGCTCCACGATACCCTCAAGCATCTGCCTCCCGCTCTTCCCAGATTGCAGGGCATGCCTGGCAAGACTGCGCAGTGCCGCTCTGACGGGCCTGATCTGAACCTGGGCTCGGGGGGACAAGGGAGGGGACTGAGCACGTGGGATGGACAGAGATGCACACCCCTCCCAGGCAGGAGAGGCAGAGCTGCTTCTGACACACAGGCAGTTATCAGGGGGAAGAGAAGGTGGGCAGAGGAGCCACCCCATCTCAAGGCAGCGTGCAGGGCAGAGCCTAAGAGAGGGTCCTCCTGCAAGGGCCAGACAAGGAGGAGGGCATGGGCAGGAACCGCGTCCAAATCAACAGCAAAGACAAAGGTCACCTAGAAAGGGGGACTCCACCAGACTCTTACCCAGCAGCACGTCCCTCCTGCCTGGGCCTGGTGAGCGAGGGGCTCAAGGGGAAACTGAGGCAGGAGCTGGCACTTCTGTGTGGGTGAGGAGGGCACCAATCTGAGGCCCCGCCCGCTCCCTGCTTCGGCTCCTCTGTGTTCCCGGGCTGCCGACTCTCAGGAGGCTTTGCCACCTGAAGAACAGGGAGGTCGAGCAAGGTAAGAAGAGCTTTCCAGCTCCTGTTCCGACCTGAGAGCCGAGAGGCACCATCCTGAAGAATGGCCTTGGTCCCAGGCCTCCATGTGCGCTGTGGCAGACAATGCCAGTCGATCACCTCTCTTTCCTGACCCAGACACAGCCTCATGCTCTTCAGCCAAGTGCCCCAGGGAAGCCCGCCACCGATCAGTCAAGCCTGGAGTAAAAGATGAAGCCTATTTGCTTCGCTGTTTTCACGTGGGGCTTATCAAGTATTTACTAAGCACCTTCTAGAAGCTTGGAAAGGGCTACAAGCCATGGTCCCTGAGCCCAAGACACTTACAGGTTTGCTTTCTGGGAGGATTGGGGTGGATTAGAGACTGCCTTCCAGTCAGTGACCACAGGATGGGCCATCTTGGTCTCTGTCCGTATCTGGTTTGGGGGTTTTCGCAGGACTAGGCCTAGGCTAAGGACAGGGAGGGCACAAGTTCTGGCTGGGTCCAGGGTCCTGGGACCCAGGGCCATTTGGGACCTGTGAGAATGGATGGACAGCATGGGATGGGGCATGTGGTCTGAGCCCTCAGTAGATTCCCTTCACCCTCTTGTTGTTGGGGTCGAAGGGCGACTTCAGGTGAGCCTGGGCACCATAGGTCACCCCCATTCTCTCCAGGGCATAGTCCCCGCTCTTCACAAAGTCCAGCGAGACCTAGGAGCAGAGGTGGGGATGAGGATCACTCTCTGTTGGTAGGTACAGGGCTCACGTCTGCCTGCTTCTCTGGAGGAGGGGGTCTTGGTCTTGCTACCTGCCCTGTGGGCAAACTCATCCCTGTGCCAGGGACTCCTTTCTGAACCCAGGCATTGCCCCAGAGCAGGTGCAGTTCGTGTCCATGTGATCTTGAGTTGGACATGGGCATCTGGGGTCCGGCAAAGCCAAGGTCTGGCAGCCAATATGACTTCCACCGGACAACACACCTCCCACCCCAGCAATTCCAGATGCCTGGGAAACAGCAGCAACACGGTGGCTTCCCCGGACCCGGGCAAGCACAGCGGCCAGAGCAGCGCCGAGGCTGGGGGCCAATCCGGCTCGAATCCCTCGGGGCAGGGGCGGCTGGAACAGCCTTCTAGACAGCTTGGCCTCTGCATGCTCCCCATCCCACACCCTGGCTCGGGCTCCCCAGCAAGCGCTCGGGAGCCAGTCAGCCCCAGGTGCAGGTGCTCTTAGGCAGGAGGAGGGTGTCACCTCCAGCCTGGCACAGCTGGTGACGCCTGGCACTTTTGCTGCAGCTGCTATGAGGAGGGCAGGCTAGGCCACTCAGGGAAGCTGTTCTTCCTTTACAGCAATTAAACCCAAGGTCAGGGCCACAGGAGGGAGTCTCGGGCTCCGCTCTGGGAGTCAGAGGGCTCCTTCTTGTTCCTAGCAGCTCAGGACTGGATGAAAAAAATAAAAAACAAACCAAGCTTTTTCTGCGACAGGAGCTTTAGGAGTGGTGCTTCTGAGCCATGTGTGCACCTGCAGGGCTGAGAGCTCTGAGCTGCCCCCCGCAGGCAGGCAGCATGGAGAGCTGGTGGCCTTCAGATGTCCACGGGCATGCACAACTCAAAGCGGGCATCTGGCCTTGCTAACAGATACCTACGAGGCAGAAACGCCTTCCCCATCTCGGAGCCTTTCCCATCAATGAGCAGGTTTCCCTATCTTAGGCAGAAACCTCCGTTACCCCACTTGGGTGCTAGAAAATGTTTAACAACCAGCTCTGGGGTGAGGTGGGTGTGACTGTAGCATTTGCCCATTTCCATGGTGCAAATGCTCTGGACAGCCCTGATGGAGGGGGCAGGAGACGTGCACCGGCCGCTCTGGGT
The DNA here is from genome assembly GCF_000001405.40 of Homo sapiens. Classification (NCBI taxonomy): domain Eukaryota; kingdom Metazoa; phylum Chordata; class Mammalia; order Primates; family Hominidae; genus Homo; species Homo sapiens. The sequence goes on from NC_000009.12 coordinate 133,665,166, forward strand.
GCATCGACTGGTTCCCCGGCTGCCTGTCTGGATGCCGTTTAACCTCGGAACCTCGGCTTCCCTGGTCACGTTGGTTATGGACCCATCCCTGACTCCGGAGAAAGGCGAGCATTACTGTTCTTTGAAGAAATGGCAAAGGAGCCTCCACTCCCCAGCCCACCCTGGCATGGAGCCCATAAACTCCGGTTTGGCTGGGCCCCAGGGCTGTGGCCCCCAGGACCATGGCCCCAGGGCTGTGTCAGGAGGCCCTGCCCACCGTGGGAGCCATGCCATCACAATCCCCACATATTAAGACTCACTCTGTGCAGTGGCCTGTATGACAGCCCTGCATGGTAGGTGAGTGTCCACATTTTATAAATGAGGAAACTGAGGCTCCAAGAGAGGATCCTTATCCAAGGTCACAAAGCAAGTAAAAGGCAGATCCAAAGGCTAGTGGCATCAAGTGTGTCCCCAGCCTCCCAGCTCCACCGCCGGACTCAGCCCCATGGGCTGCCACTTCCCCACAGCTCCACAGGACCATGGTCTTGCCCGAGGCCTGGCGGTGTCCCCTCCCCATTGGGCCTGCGAGCTGGGCCTGCGCATGTTCTGCAGCTCTTGCTAAGGCTGCTCCGTCTCCAGCCTACCCCTCCTCATGGCTTCTCCCAAGTGCTCGCTCCCTCCCCAATTCCCTCTACGTGTCCATCAGGGGCTCAGGCTGGAAGGCTCTGGAGCCAGGCCAGCACCTCCCGGCCTCACTTAGGGCTTAGGCCAAACGTCAGATCGGCTCCCATGGAGAGACACGACCCTCCTCACCGGCACCTCTACTTGCAGTGCCAGAAAGATGGGAAAAGGAGGTGGAGGTAGAGACCACCCCTTCCCCTTCTGGGGAGGCTGCCCACCCCCTGCCCCACCACCCCTGGCCACCCAGAGCTGTCCTGGGACTTGCTCCTGGGGGCAGTGCCTGCTCTTTCCAGCCTGTTCCTGCCTCCTGCAGCCAGGGGTCAGGGTCACCTGGAGGGGGTGGGGTTGCCTGGGGTCAGGGGTGTCGGGGGTGAGGAAAGAGAGGATAGGAACATGGGTCTCTGAGTCTCTAGTCGGTCACCCTGGGGGCCACCCCTGCACCCCAGGCAAAGGGTGGGCTGTGGGTGGCCTGAGGTTTGGGTCTCTGGTGTGAGGAGCTGGAAGGTATCAGCCTGGCTGGCTGGCACCTCCTTCTAACCAAAAAAAGCCTGGAATCACCAAAGTCGGATTCTTCCAGAAAGAAAACAGAGAGCAGCTTTGGCTCTGCCCAGGCACAGCTGGGGAGTCCTCCACCTGCTGAGGCCTCTTCCTCCCCCTTCTCCTTCTCCCTCCCTCCTCCCTCTCCCTCCTCCTCCTCCTTCCTCTCTCCCCTTTTTCCTTCCCCCTCCTTCTCCTCCTTCCTTCCTCCCCCTCTTCCCTCCTCCCTCCTTTCTCTTCCCTCCTCCTCTTCTGGACCACACCCGTGCCTCCTCCCTATGCCCGGCACACTCAGGGTGCAGTGCAGGGAGCTGGTTTGGAGCTGGTGAGGGATCGGCATCTGCCTTAGCAGGGCCAGAGAAGGGGACTCACCGGCCCACCGCTGGGGTCATGGATGTAACCGTAGGCGATGGTCTTGTCGATGGCGAACCCAAAGTCAGCCCTCCGGACATGGCCCACCACTTGGCCGTTCCTCCAGATGGCCTCCAGGCCAAACATGGGTACTTTGCTGGAAGAAGCAGTAGAGAAAGCTGGGGCCCCAGAAACCGCAGGGTGGGGACGCGTCCACAGCGGCCTGGAGGAGAATGGGGGGCTGCATGATGCACACCCAACCGTGGCTCCAGGCAGATAGGGCTGGCCTACTAGGACTACGCTGGTCCCCAGAGCCAGCCCAGCACCTGGCCTGGACAGCAGGGCTCGGGCTTCGAGTGAGTAAAAGGGATGAATAGAAAACATCAAAACCAGGAGTGGACTTTGCTGTTTCCAGAAGCGAGCCCCGTATATTTGGGAGGGCCCCTGCTTCCGATTTCCTTCCATTGTTGTTCAACTCTGGTTTTTTTTTTTTTTTTTTTTTTGGTGCAGTGGCACAATCTAGACTCACTACAACCTCCGCCTCCCAGGTTCAAACGATTCTCCTGCCTCAGCCTCCGGAGTAGCTGGGATTACAGGCACCCACCACCATGCCCGGCTAATTTTGTATTTTTAATAGAGATGGGGTTTCATCATGTTGGCCAGGCTGGTCTCGAACTCCTGACCTCAAGTGATCTGCCCACCTCAGCCTCCCAAAGTGCTGGGATTACAGACTTGAGCCACTGCGCCCGGCCAGGTTCATTTTTTTTATAGTACAATACATACTTTATTCAAAGGACTTTACTACATGTAATACATGAATGCTCACTGTAAAAGTTTTAAAGATTAAAAGCAGGAAGACAAAAAAAAAAAAGTAAGCTAAAATCAAAGAAAGGCCAGCACCCAGGGCTAACTGGTAACATTTTGTTGCCAGTCTGCAGACTTCTCCCTGTGCAATGGGTTATCACGGCGGCAGCTATGCAAAGGGGTCCCTGAATGGAAGGGCTGGGGTGATGTTGAGGGCACCTCCTGCATCCTCAGCCTGGAGTCACTGTTTGGGTCCCACCTGTCCATCAGATTAGGACGAGGCTGGAAGGAGGTTTCGTAAACATCTTTGGTGTCACCCTAGTTTCTGTTCTCCACGTGAGGACGCTGAGGCCCCAACTGCCCGGAGTCCCAGAGCAGTGTGGCAGGGCTGTTCTCTGTGACTCCACTGCCAGCATCTTCTCTGCGCCTGTCCTGGAACTGCAACAGTCCAGAGCCGCGGCGCAGGGCAGCTATTATGCAGCCTGACAGGAAACCCCTGAGCAGAGCGCACTGGGTCACAGGGGCCGTCCGAGGCCCTCCTAAACCCAGACATCAGGCTGCAGGTACTTCATGGAGGGCCAGAAGGTCGGGGTCAGGCAAGCAGAAAGGACCCATGGATGCTGACCTGTCTGCAAGGGGCCCCCTCTCCAGGAGCTGAGCTGATTCAGGGAGCTGGACAGGCTGTCACACAAGAGACAGAGCCTGACAGGCACCCAGGGAGAAGCCACAGGATGACGACGACACGGCTCCACTCACCGTCCCTCTCCCTCCCTCTCCCTCCCTCTCCCTCCCTCTCCCCCACCCTCCCTCTCCCTCTCCCTCATTCTCCCTCACCCTCCCTCTCCCTCACCCTCATTCTCCCTCAGCCTCCCTCTCCCTCTCCCTTCACCCTCCCTCTCCCTCTCCCTTCACCCTCCCTCTCCCTTACCCTCCCTCTCCCTCGCCCTCCCTCTCCCCTCGCCCTCCCTCTCCCCTCACCCTCACCCTCCCTCTCCCTCACCCTCCCTCTCCCTCACCCTCCCTCTCCCTCACCCTCCCTCTCCCCTCACCCTCCCTCTCCCTCACCCTCCCTCTCCCTCACCCTCCCTCTCCCCTTACCCTCCCCCTCCCTCTCCCTCACCTTCCCTCTCCCCTACCCTCCCTCTCCCTCACCCTCCCTCTCCCCTCACCCTCCCTCTCCCTCACCCTCCCTCTCCCTCACCCTCCCTCTCCCCTTACCCTCCCCCTCCCTCTCCCTCACCTTCCCTCTCCCCTACCCTCCCTCTCCCTCACCCTCCCTCTCCCTCACCCTCCATCTCCCCTCACCCTCCCTCTCCCCTCACCCTCCCTCTCCCTCACCCTCCATCTCCCCTCACCCTCCCTCTCCCTCACCCTCCCTCTCCCTCACCCTCCCTCTCTCTCTCCTTCCCTCTCCCTTACCCTCCCTCTCCCTCACCTTCCCTCTCCCTCACCTTCCCTCTCCCTCACCCTCCATCTCCCTCACCCTCCCTCTCCCCTTACCCTCCCTCTCCCTCACCTTCCCTCTCCCTTACCCTCCCTCTCCCTCACCCTCCATCTCCCCTCACCCTCCCTCTCCCTCACCCTCCCTCTCCCTCACCCTCCCTCTCTCTCTCCTTCCCTCTCCCTTACCCTCCCTCTCCCTCACCTTCCCTCTCCCTCACCTTCCCTCTCCCTCACCCTCCATCTCCCTCACCCTCCCTCTCCCTTACCCTCCCTCTCCCTCACCCTCCCTCTCCCCTCACCCTCCCTCTCCCCTCACCCTCCCTCTCCCTCACCCTCCCTCTCCCCTCATCCTCCCTCACCCTCCCTCTCCCTCGTCCTCCCTCTCCCTCCCCTCGTCACTCTGACACTCCTTTTGAAGGCTCCAGAAATCTGGGAGAAGTGGCAGTGTTTGCAGCTGGCTGTCAGCTCCATGTCCACAGAGCCCAAAGCCGCCCACTTCCCCGGATACCTGTGCTTCAGACCCCCGTGGGCACCACGGGAGGGCCTCTGATCAGGGCCTGATCTTCTCAGACTGCCCTGCAACCCAAGTGGGACTCGGGTTCCTGGAATCCAAACTCTCCCAGTAGCCCAGGGATCACGTGCGCCGGGCTCCAGCAGCATGCTCAAAGCCACTCTCAGTGGGGAGAGCAGGAGGTCAGGTCGCCCCCAGGCAGAGTCTCTCCTTCCACCTCTGCCGTGTGACTGGGCGTGAGTCCCCTGCTCCTTGGCACCATGTGGTCTCCATTCGTGAGTGGGGATGACGGCCCCAGCCGAGCCCCTCTCCCCCTATCACAGGGCTGTGGGGAGACTGAACCAGAACGGGATGGGAGGTCGTGTTGCAGTGACTGGGAGGTCAGGCTCCCTGGGTTCACCCTCCCAAGGCCCTCGGCCTAGACCTGCCACAGAGGGGTGGCCTGGGCTTGGCTGCACCTTTCTCTTTTGAGACCTGCATGGGAAGAGTGTGGAGCCTTCTCTACCTCCCCACGGGCCCTGCTGGCCTGGGAGGGGCCCCAGGTGCGCAACCTTACACTGGCCTGGTTTGAATCCCAGCATGTTGGGATCCTCACGCTTGTAATCCCAGCACTTTGGGAGGCCGAGGCAGGCAGATCACGAGGTCAGGAGAGTTCAAGACCAGCCTGGCCAACATGGTGAAACCCCATCTCTACTAAAAGTACAAAAATTAGCTGGGTGTGGTAGTGCACGCCTGTAATCCCAGCTACTTGGGAGGCTGAGGCAGGAGAATCACTTGAACCTGGGAGGCGGAGGTTGCAGTGAGCCGAGATTGCGCCACTGCACTCCGGCCTGGGCAATAGAGTGAGACTCCGTCTCAAAAAAAAAAAAAAAAAAAAGAGCAAACTCTCTCTGCCTTTCTGCCTTTAACAACATGTGACCTGGCCAGATGGCCTCTCTCTTTGGCCTCGATTTCCTTATCTGCAGTGGGCTGTTGGGTGCGTTCTGGAAGAGCATGGCTGGCACATGGGAAGTGTTGGTACCAGGGGCTTTGAGTGGGGGACCAAGAAGCGCCTGCCTGCCCTGGCTGTAGGCAGTTGCTTCCGGGTGGGCGTGGAACAGCGGGATACTCACTCCTCCATGGTGAAGCACACCAGGCGCCGGCGGAGGCCTGCGGCCCGCTGCTGCTCCAGGGCCTCCCTCCCCAGGAAGGGCACCGGCGACTTGAGCTTGCAGGTGAAGGCCAGGCCTGCCTCCAGGGGGCTGTCGTCTGGCCGCAGGTCCGCGTGCCAGTGCCGGTAGCCTGTGGGAAGGGAATCCATGGGGTCGGTGCCACCCTGAGGGGGATAAGCCCTTCAGGAGATGCATGAGGATGCTGCCTAAACCCACCCCCTCCAGCCCCTAGCCACACTCTCAGAGCTGCTTAGTCACCTGGGCAGGAGGCAGGGGCATCCCCAACTCCAGAAGGTTCCCTGGGGCGACCGCTCCCCCGAGCAGACTGCCCATCAGCACTGCAGCCCTCTGCACCCTCAGGTGGGGGCGTCAGGGAGGGGCTTGTGAAGGGGGAGCTTCCCAATGCCCAAGCTGGGTGCCCAACACCCAGGGGAGCTGCCTGACGCCCAAGCTGGGTGCCCAACACGCTGGGGAACCGCCCAAAGCCCGCTCTGAGCCTTCATCCTTGCTCTGGACAGGGTCTGGGCTTCTTCCAGAGGCCACAGCACCTGCTCCCTGGCTCCATTCTTCACAGCTCTCAGAGAAACCAAGGCCCTCAATTCCAACCCAGCCTGGGCCTGACCCCCAGGTGTCAGGCAGCACCTCAGCTCTCTGAGTTCAGGTGTGTGTAGGTGTCGCAGATCCCAACACTGTCCCTGGGGCCCTGCACGAAGACCCTGGGCAGCAAGAGGTTTTGGGGAAATGGAGGATGTCAGGCGCTGGGGTGTAGGGGAGGAAATCATGGTGTGGAAAGAAGGAAGCCGGGTGACAACACAGGGAAGGTAAACAGCTTCTCGGCCTCCAGGTGTCTCGAGCGTCACTGCCCCCCACTGCGCCCGCCCCCGCCCCGTGCTGTCCAGACCCTGCACTCACCTTTCTCAATGCTCAGGGAGTCGATGGCGCGGTACCCTGCGTTGATGAGGCCGTGCTTGGCACCCGCGGCCATCACAGCCCGGTACACAGGCACGCAGGACGCCTTTGGAATGTGCAGCTCCCAGCCCAGCTCCCCCACAAAGGACAGCCGCATGGCTCGGACCTGGGGGACAAGGTCATGGCTTAGATGTGGCCATGTAAGATGGCTGAGGTCCAGGCCCAGGCCACCACTTCCTGGTGGCAGCTCCTACTGTCACCAGGATTATCAGCTGGCCCTGGGTCCCAGCCAGATTGCCATCAAGAAATGGGGTCTTCCAAGGAGAGCTGCTCCCTCCAGCTGCTCTGGAAATCTTTGAGGAGAAGTAGGGGGTCACCTTTGGGAAGGGGAGATGGCAGGTTTGCTATCTGCAGACCTCAGGTCTTCTCCAGGACTGGGTTAGTTTCCTACCTGTCATAACAAACGACCACAACTGGTGGCTTAAAACAATAACAGTAAACTCTCTCTCGGTTCTGCAGGCTCAAAATCCAAAATCACCATGTGGGCAAGCCACGCTTCCTCTGCAGGCTCCGGAGACGACCCTTCCACTCTCGAGGGAGCCTCCTCCCGAGCACCTCCCGAGCACCTCCCGGCACCCCTTGGCTTGTGGCTGCACCACTGCGATTTCTGCCTCAGCCCTCACAGCCTCCCCTTTGTGTCTCTGTCTTCTAAGGACACTTGTCACTGGACTTAGGACCTTCCCTAGCCCTAGATAATATCATCTGGAGATCCTGACCTTAATTACACCTGCAAAGATCCTATTTCCAAACAAGGCCCCATTCACAGGTTCTGACGAGTTAGGATGTAGATATATGTTTTGGGGGTCACCATTCAGTCCACAGCAGTGACCTGGGGCAAGCTTCTCACCCTTCCTTGTCTGTAAGATGGGGTTGGGAGCCCAGCTTTATCTGTTTCAGAAGCTCTGAGACACGTCTGCGAGGAGCAGGGGGAAGGCAGCAGCCCAGCTCAGGGGACACCACCCTGGCTGCACCAGGTGGGGATAGAGGCATCAGGGAAGGGGACAGCCAGGTGCCAAGCCCGTTGTCCGAGGAGCCCGTCACCCACCAATTCTGGTCAGCCCCGGCCCAGCACCGGGCTCTGAAGACAGCCATAGCCTCTGCCCTTCAGGACTCAGCTCGGCCGTGAGCACAACCATGTTCTGGGTGAGGAAGGGGCCGGAAAGCAAGACCCCTGCCTGGGACGCCAGACCAGGCTAGCAGGCAGACCAGGAGATTGCCGTCGCAGACGGGCCTTCCAGGTGAGGTGCAAAGGCCCAGCGTTGGGCAGCGGACATGGTGGGAGGCAGGAGAGAAAGGCCTGTGGGGCTGTGGATACCTGACTGTGAAAGACACGATGGCTCAAGCCCTGCAGAAGTGACAGTGCCGATTATCGGGTGCTCTGGGCTAAGCTTCATCTCGTCCCTCCACGGCCCTTGCAACGGTGGGAACACGGTCAGTAATGTCTGTGGGCTGAGGCGGACACAGAGGCTCCCAGAGGCACTGAGCAGGGCCTAGGCACACCCTGCTCCGCTGAGGACAGCTGGTGTCTTTGGGAGGGTGTGTCCCGCACGCCTGCACAACAGGCTAGCACTCGGCTGCGTGGAGGCCACAGACAGCATGGGGGGCTTCTTGCACAGGAGGCGTGATTTTCCTCACACACTTGGTTCAGGTGCGTGGCACGTCCACACCCAGTAACTGGAGTCTGCGTCCTCACCTTCAGGCAAACCGTTGAACCCACTGACTCCCATGGGAAGGCCTGAGTGCTCAGCCCTGGGACCAGAGAGCTCACAAAAGGAATGGGGAGAGCTAGGCTGACTGCAGGATCCCAGACAGCGGAGGAGCTGATTCCACCACTGCTCTGAGTGGAAAGGCCCTCCCTGTACAGCTCCCGCTGGGATACGCCTGTGGGAAGGAGGGCAGAGGCCGCTCTCCCAACCACAGGGGCAGCTCCTTATAAACCTGACACTTTAATCACATGGCCGCCGAGGGGCTGGATTCTAAAAGCTTTGGAAATAGCGCAAATTTGCTCTAAGTTGCCATTTGCCCAGGCCTCCTAAAAAACTCAAAATTGACACAGAAAATATACTGTTGACATTTCCCTGCTTCCCTGGTGCAAGCCGTAGGCCCCTGACAAAGATTGCCTTGTCAACGGGGTTCTAATTTTAGATAGCCTATGGAGGAGCTCGGGGCTCAAAACCAATCTCATTTTGAAACAGGAAAAATAATTTTTAAAGTGCACCTATGCACGGCCCTCCAATTGCGGATCCCTGTTCAGACAAAGACCCGTCACCCAGCTCAGGGAGAGGGTTGGAGTTCACGGGTGGAAGGGAGGGAGCAGTCCCATCCTTCCTGGCTCCAGCAGCTCAGCGAGGATGGGGTCAGCTGGGTCTGGGTCTCCATTGTACGCCGTGCACAGCCTGGCCCAAGAAACAGTCCCTGAACGAAGGAGCAAAACGGGGGCCACACCTGCTTCCTGCCAAAGAGAGGGAGGCTGGGGAAATCCAGGGGCCTCTCTAAGTTCACGGAATCACTAGTTGTTGAGGCGTCTTACATTTTTCTCCACCAAAGCAGTGGAGTGGGATCAGTCCCCAGTTCTTCCAAGTGGGGACCCACAAGGAAAGGGACAGGCCAAGCGAGGACATCCAGAACAAACACGGGCTCCCAGTCAGCCGGGCTTGGGTGGGAACAGCGTCTCCCAGCGCCCATGGGGGTCGGCCCACTTGGCCTCAGTGCCCTGCTCTGACCCATCGGCCAGGGTTGGGTGCGTGTGCACCAAGCACATGGTCCCGGCACGTCGTCCTTGGCCACTCTGACTCAGGTGGGCTCTGAAAGCCCCAAATTGCAAGATGGAACTCCTGGCCGTGGATGGAGTCACAGAATTATGGAAGATCAGCAGGAAGGGTCTTATGTCAGGTTTTGTTTAAACCCTTTCCACATCCTGAAAATTCCATGCCAAAAAAGCCTGCTGAAACTATTAAACGAAATCAGCAAAGTTGGAGAAAGTGAAGTCAAATGAACCGTCACGTATGTGTTCACATGATCTCTACAAGGGCGCTGAGGCCACTCATGGGGAAAGAGTCTCCAACAAGTGGTGCTGGGAGGATCCGATAGCCACATGCAGAAGCGAGAAGCTGGTCGCGTACCTTACATCTTGTCCAAAAATTAACTAGACATGGAACAAAGACACAAGGGTAAGATCTGTAGCTGTACAACCTCTGGAAGAAGGCATGGGGAGTTGGAAATGGCAAGGGTTTCCTGGAGAGGACACCAAAAGCACAGGTCACAAAAGCAAAAGTCAGATGGAAGGACATTGATCACAAGCACATTTGTGCATCGAAGGACGCTAACAAAGAGTGAAAAGGCAACCCACGGGATGGGAGAGAACATTTGCAAGTCTTACATATGATAAGGGCCTTCTACCCAGACAGAACAAAGAACTCCTACAACTTAACAATAAAAAGTCAAATACCACCATTAAAAATGGGCAAAGGGGCCGGGTGTGGTGGCTCATGCCTGTAATCCCAGCACTTTGGGAGACCAAGGTGGGAGGACCATCTGAGGTCAGGAGCTCGAGACCACCCTGGCCAACATAGTGAAACCCTGTTTCCATTAAAAATATTTAAAAAAAAAATTAGTTGGGCATGGTGGTGCATGCCTGTAGTCCCAGCTACTCAGGAGGCTGAGGTGGGAGAATCACTTGAATCAAGGAGGTGGAGGCTGCAGTGAGCCGAGATTGTGCCACTGCACTCCAGCCTGGGCAACAGAGTGAGACTCCATTTAAAAAAAAAAAAAATAGGCAAGGGACTTGAATCGACAATTCTCAAAAGCAAATGCAAATGGCCAACAGGCCCAGGAAAAGATGCTCCACGTCACTACCCATCAGAGGCACGCAAACCCAAGTCACAGTGAGTTATCACTTTGTGCCCATGAGGATGACAATTATAAAAACAAGAAAAAGAAAGTAACGAGTGTTGGTGAGGATGTGGAGAAACTGGAACCCTTGTGTATTGTTAGTGGAAATGGAAAATGGTGCAAGCACTGTGGAAAACAGGGTGGCAGTTCTTTAAAACTTTAAAAATACAACTTCCATGTGATCCAGCAACCCCACTTCTGGGTATACACCCAAAGGAATTGAAAGGAGGGATTCGAAGAGGTATTTGCACACTCATATTCACAGGGTTATTCACAATAGCCAAGAGGTAGATGCAACCCAAGTGTCCATCAGCAGAGGATGAACAAGCAGGGCATAGTGGCTCACACCTGTAATCCCAGTACTTGGGGAGGCCAAGGCAGGAGGACTGCTTGAGCCCAGGAGTCTGAGACCAGCCTGGGCAACATAGGGAGGCCCTGTCTCTACAAAAAAAATTTTAGAATTAGCTGGGTTTGGTGGCATGTGCCTGTAGTCCCAGCTACTTGGAAGGCTGAAGGGGGGAGGATCACTTGAGACCAGGAGGTTGAGGCAGTGAGCTGAGATCGCACCGCTGCACTCCAGCCTGGGTGACAGACTAAGACCCTGTCTGAAATTAAAAAAAAAAACACACACCAAAAACAGATGATGAACAGACAAAAAGTGTTCTATCCACATGAAGGAATGTTATTCAGCCTTAAAAAGGAAGGAACTTCGGATGCATAACACAACGCGGACAAAAACATTATAAACACATCACGCTAAGTGAAGGGAGCCAGTCACAGAAGGACAAATCCTGTCTGATTCCACTCATATGAGGTCCCTGGAGTCACCAAATTCATAGACATCAAGAGCAGAATGGAGGGCACAGGGGCTGGGGAGAGGGAAAGGGAATTGCCTCAATGGGGACAGAGCTTCAGTTTCACAAAATGAAGACATTCTGGAGGTTTGTTTCCCAACAATGTGAACATACTTAACACTACCGAACTGTACAATTAAATTAACAAACCAGCCAGCAAACCAACTCCTTTTCTTCATGGGAAACTGAGGCTAGGAACTAAGTGACCGGCACTTTCTCGACATCCTGGACCACAGGAACAGAGGTGCCAGGGGAGGCCGGGGGGTGTAGACACAGAGATGGGAATTCGGGGAATGTGAGGGAATGGCCCTGGGCCGGACAGGAAGCTGCAGTCTGCGTCCAACAGAAGGTCAAGGAGATACCAGAGAGACCGGGGGGAAAGGCGGTACTTAAACAGATAACAGCAGAGAATGTTCCAGAAGTGAAGATGGTCGGTCATGAGCAGTCAGACTGCAGAAAGCACAGTGGGTACCAAACAGGATAAATACCAGTGAATCCCTGCATGGAAATCACAGAAAGAGTCCGGGCGCAGTGGCTCACGCCTGCAATCCCAGCACTTTGGGAGGCCGAGTTGGGCGGATCACTTGAGGCCAGGAGTTTGAGACCAGCCTGGCCAACACAGCGAAACCCCATCTCTACTAAAAATACAAAAATTAGCTGGCTGTGGTGATGGGCACCTTTAGTCCCAGCTACTTGGGAGGCTGAGGCAGGAGAATTGGTTGAACCTGAGAGGCGGAGGCTGTAGCGAGCCAAGGTCGCCCCACTGCACTCCAGCCTGGGCAACAGAGTGAGACTCCATCGCAAATACATAAGACAGAGAGAGAGGCCTGAAACCCTGAAACCACCCCTTGGCGTGGCTCTAGTAGATGCTAATCTACTGTAGAACAGTATCTTCGAAGCACAGAGCTTCGAACATAACTGTCAGCCTGGAAACCCACATCCTCCAGGGGTGAGAGGAGTGAGGTGAATCGACAATGTTCTCAGACCCAGACAGAGCTTATTACGCACGATTCTTGTTGAAAGAATCCGTAGGGGATGCACCTTCAATCCTGGGCCCCTGACCTCACCTGGGTGCAGCTTGAGGGTCGGACCAGAGCAGATACCTGGCCAGGTGGGGGTCAAGCTGAGAGGGAGGAAGACCAAGGTGAGGGGAACTCTGCCTCCTGTTTAGGAATAGGTGCTTTGGAATCAAACCCATGAAGGGTGGGGCTACAGGGGACCTCTCCACCCATGGAACTAATCAGTCCCCTGGAGTGACATGTCTGTTATTATCAGATGTAGCTCTGCAAATAAAGGGTTGGGGCAGGGGTCCTTTGTGATAGCGTGGACCCTGCTGGGAACAGAGTCCCCTTCCTGCTTGGCCCTGGCTGGGGGCAAGGGCTCAGGACCCACAGGGCTGCCTGTTGCCCGTCTTCCCAGTGGCCAGGCGCTGTTCCCAGCCAGTTGGCCTGGACAAGAGGGGAATGATTCCTGAAGCCAGCAGAGCCGCCTGCCACTGGTGGCCTTCGCTGGGGCTCAGACTCCTGGACTATAGGTTGTGATGAGAGAGGATCCCTCTGTGGAATGAGATCATGTGGGGCGGGGCTGAGGCCCGCTGAGTCCCCCACACTTAGGCAAGCGCCACTACTATGACCATGGCTATCTCCCTCCAAATTGGCCTGAGGACCCTCTCTTTTTGGAAGGTTCTGGAGGTCAGACCCTTCCAGGCCCTGGAGGGAGTTCTGTGGGATGCCATTGGTCCCCAAGGATGAGAGGACCCCCCACCTTGCCTGTCCCATTCCATTCAGGCCACTTAGGTGGCAAGTGTCGGTCAGTGGGCAGGTGCAGGAGGCCTCCCTCCCTGGGCCACACAGCACTGGTACCCATTCCCACCAGCCTCCACCACAGTGGCCAGCAGGCTCGAGGCTCATCTGCGGCAAGGGTTCTAGGATTCAGACCATGATCCCCCAAGCAGGGCACCTGGCATGAGGACTCGGGACTAAAGGGGACCAGAAGGCCTCTGGTGCAGCCCAAATCTCTCTGACCTCCTCATCCCCTCTTGTCTCCCGCCCTCTTTCTCCCCTGCAGCAAGTCACAGAAGCCAGAATTCCTCTTTCCCCAGATGGGTCATGGACAGTAGAGGCCCTCTCCCCCAAAGCCAGCCATGAGACCTAGAAATACAACTCAAGCCTTCCCCACTTTTCTGGGGAGGAGCTGGCCATAAAGATGTTCTCCGCCTACCTTGTCTGACTGTGGGTCATAAGACCTTTGCTCCAGGGGTCCTGTCCCATGCCTGGGAGTGAGAAGCACTGCACGGAGAGGCCAAGGGGGAGCTGCACAGCTGGCCTCGCCAGCCTCCCCACAGTCCATCCCCACAGGCATCCCCTGCCGTCCAACACCTGTCCACACGGCTCCCCATTCTTCACCGACCTTAAGCATAGGAACCGTCTTCCCTGGGTCTCTGGGTCCCCCTTTCTGATGGCTCCCATGTCACATAAAGCTCTGATTAAATCTATCTGGTGTGCTTTTCTCTTGTGAACCAGTCTTTTGTTACAGGGCTGTCTCCCATGCCCCTGATAATGGGTGAGGGGAGGGCTCACACCTTTTCTTTCCTTACAAGGGCAAGATGAGAACCTGGAACCGATTGCCCCTGAAGTCTCCAAGGCCCCCAGCTCAGAGCCCTCTGCACCCAGTTCTGCCTGAGGTCACTTGCCCCAGACAGAAGCAGCAAACCCGGGTGGGGGTCGAAGCTTCCCACCACCCACTCCACAAACACCCTCGCTCCAACTTCCCCTTGGGGCCCAGGCCCTTCACACTATCGTGGCAACAGCTCGACCCGTGACAGGGAACACGGTGCCCCAGCCTGCGGCCACCAGTCTCTCTGTGCTGCATCAGGGAACCTGCCCATGATATCGGGTATCTGTCTCAGGCCTCAGCAAATCTGCACGGGTTCTGTAAAGCGAGTGTTTAGGCAGTGGCTGGAACTCAGCTGGTCTCTGACTGGCATGTCATAGTTATCTAACGTGTGTGGGTGCAGGACTGCTCCATCCTGAGCTAATCAAATCCTAACAGCGCCGCGACTAGGACTTCTCGCTGTCAGGAAAAGAGATTCAATTTCCTTTTGAGCTGAAATTAATTTTCAGAGAAAATCACTTGATCACCGTGCCCCACGGAGTGCTCCCAGCCCAGCATGCTGCTTCGCGGCGGGGCCCGTCCTCGGCAGGGGCCCTGGGAACACCGTGTCTGGCCGAGCGGAGCTCTGGGAGACACGCCGGGAGAGCACTGACCCACGGGGAATCTTGCTGGCCTCGAGGCAAGATATTTGGGGAGCAAGGACAGCTGGTCTGCTGGCTGCTGAGCGGACAATAACTTCTCCCCACCCTGCTTCCTCCTCTAGCAGTCCAGGGATCGTGGCAGCCTGGGTCAGATCCCAGCCTCTCGGAGAACAATCACTGCACAACAGCAGCAGTGCTCAGCTGGGAATCGCGCCCAATTCGTCTGGTGGTGAGGAGGGTCTTTGGGCAGCGGCAGGCGCCCGCTCTCGCACCCGGGGCCCGGGTCTGCAGCTCTGGCCCTTGTCCTCATCGGCCCTCACAACTGCTTTCAACCCAGAGGTTCCGCTGACTGCGCAGGCACACGCATTCCTCGCCTGCATCTGGTTGGCTGGAACCCAACTGATCGCCTATAAATACCTGGCTCAGGCCCACGCTCCAGCCCAGCGTTTCTTCACGTTGAGGGATATGTCATCAACACATTTTTAAGCCAGCACAAGATATTATTTAGGAGAATATGAAATTCTCCCTGGATTCAGAGAATCCAGAGTGTCTGGACAGACTTATGGAAAGGCCCGGAAAGAATTTTAGACATTGTGCTAGACTCCGTGCTACAGGTGGGGACACTGAGGCCCAGAGAGGCGACCCGCAGAAGGACCGGGCAGGATGGGAAGCCAGGCTTCTGGCCTGAGCTCCACCGAGCCTTGGGTAACATGGATGCTTTGGTCCCAAACCCCCCAGTGTCTGTGGCTGACTCAACTCCCATCTCCCACCTGCCTGTGAGGCCCCCTACAGGGGGAGCTGGCCGTGGCCAGTGGCTGTATCCCCACCCGTCTTGCTGGCCAGGAAATGGGGAGGGCACTGTGTCCCAGGCTGGGGCCACCTGGGAGCGCGTGGCCCTGGCCACTTTGAGGGACAGCCTCCCAGGTCAGCAAAAACTGTAACATTGACACTAAGGGCCCAGAACCTCTGCTCTCCTGGCCCACACCTCCCCAGGGCCCTCAAGAGGAGGCAGAGGTCACTGAGGACAGGATTCCTGGCCGCTCCGTCCTCCACACGCTCCTCGAGTCCCCGGCCTCATCTCATGGGATCTGGACCCACCGGCCACCCAGCAACTTCAAGCTCCTGAGGGCCACAGTCGTCCTCCAGACACACGCAGACCTGGCCGCCAGGCCCACACTGGCCACTCCAGACACACGCAGACCTGGCCGCCAGGCCCACACTGGCCACTCCAGAGAGCTGCCGGGAGGACAAGGAGGGAGAGGGACGAGAAGCCAGTGGGGCTGCGCTCAGTGCTGGGCATCAGGGTCTCTAGGTGAAGATGGTTAGCCCCAGCTCACCCCCAGTCTGTCCCCGATGGACCCCACGGACTCCAAGAACATGAGCATGGGAATGACCCCACAGAGCCGGCCACTCAGCCCAGGTGACAGTAAATCTGTGCGCTAAGGTCGTCTGTCTTCCTAAGGAGTGGGGCCCTGGGCCACTGGCTGTCGGCAGAGACGAGCTCCTGGCTGGGGCTGTGTGGGGATGGAAGCCTGCCCTCAGCACCGGGGACATCTGCCGCCCTGGTCCTGCCACGGGGGCTGGGAGGTGTCAGGATGGGGCCCACAGGGATGGGGAGAATGCTGGTGGGTAGTGGGTAGAGCAGGGGCAGCTGATGTGGGCTCCCGGCTCGTCCACAGGCCCCTGGGGTCAGTCCCAGGGCAGAGCCCCCCAACACGGGCCACACTTTTTTTCTAGCCAAGAGGTCGAGACACTCGGGGCCTTGCCCCACCCTGTCTGGTTCTTGCCAACACTCAGTTCTCTGTGGCCATCTTTGCGGGACTCTCGGTTCCATGAGAACCCGTTGGCCTGGGGTCACCCCTCACCCTGCCTAGGACCTCTTTCCAGTACAGGCTGGGCTGTGGCTGCAGGTCCCTTCCTGGGCCCCAACCTCACTCGGGGTCTGAGCCCATCGAGGGAAGGAGCCACATCTTCCATCCTGGGACCCCAATCCAGCACCCAGCAGGCTCCCAGGCAGCATGTCCAGAGTTCACTCCAGAGTCTCTCGAGCGCTAGTGAGGGAGAGGACGAGAAGCACAGCACTGGGAACGGATCGTTAAGTTTAGTAAAACACTAGTGCTTGACTGAGAGTCCCAGTGGCCCTACGTGAGCTGACGGTGCTGGGAGGTACACCATGGATAACTGCCACGGCCGGTGCGCGGCGTGTTTCCCAGCAGCTGGGCCTCCTTATGCGTGTAGCACCTCCCCGCCGCCTATTTCCTGTGTCCCCACGATCGCGCACGCCAGTTGACGCTCATGTCCCACCTCCCCTGTGTTTCCCCTCCCCCCCATCCCACACGCAGGGACCCCAGCCTAGAAAGCATTGTGCTTCTCTCCCACTCCGCCTGAGACCTAGGGTAGCACTGGGCAAGCGAGGGGCGCAGAAATACGGAAGGACAGAGAAGAACACACCACAGAGTGACCCGGGACCATGAACCGCACATACCTCCGACCTGGTGGGCCCAGCTCTACCCTCTCTCAGACCAACAGTCAGCATCTACTGGGAGGACGGTGTTCAAGGGAAGTTCCTCCCGGGGCCACTTCCAAAGCAGAGAGGTGGACCCGGTGTGAAACACATGAGCAGGGCACTGGAGACGCAGCTGAGGGCGTTCCAAGTGGTTCTCGGGGAACGTTCAAAGGAACAGGGGAACAGTCACGACATTCGGAGAATAAAGCAG
The DNA here is from genome assembly GCF_000001405.40 of Homo sapiens. NCBI lineage: Eukaryota > Metazoa > Chordata > Mammalia > Primates > Hominidae > Homo > Homo sapiens. The sequence continues at coordinate 133,682,308 of NC_000009.12, forward strand.
TGTGTACAGACTGCATGGGATGCCCTGATTACATTTTAAAATCCACAGATAGTCACAGATGACGGAAAGAAGATGGCGGGCAACACACTCAACTGTCAACCCTGGTTTCTCTGGGATGGGATTAGAGGGGTTTTCGCTAACTCATTGGCAGGCTATGAATGTCCCCAACGGTCCTCTGAGATGCCGCTGACCACCATGTCCCAGCCAGATGAGCTTCGTGCCGCAGCTCACGAGACCTGCCCACAGACCCAGCATCCTTGTTCTGAGGGGGCAAGGGTCGTGCCCAAAGTGGGCTTGGTAGAAGTGAGGTCTGCACTCAGCCCCTGTGCTGAAACCCACGCGCAGTGATGGTTGGAAACTGCTAGAAGCGAGGTCTGCACTCAGCCCCTGTGCTGAAACCCATGCGCAGTGATGGTTGGAAACTGCTAGAAGCGAGGTCTGCACTCAGCCCCTGTGCTGAAACCCACGCGCAGTGATGGTTGGAAACTGCTAGAAGCGAGGTCTGCACTCAGCCCCTGTGCTGAAACCCACGCGCAGTGATGGTTGGAAACTGCTAGAAGCGAGGTCTGCACTCAGCCCCTGTGCTGAAACCCATGCGCAGTGATGGTTGGAAACCGAGCAATGAGCAGTATTTTATGCAGCCGTGATGTGCTTTTTACAACACCAGTGATTTTACACCAATGAGCAGGAGACTGTGGGGAGAGGCGGCCCCTGCACCCCCTGCACCCCCCACGCTGTGTTTGGCCTGGCCTGTTCCTCTGGGGGATGTCATCCCGGAAGCAGAGCCTTTGGGTCAGCTCAGCAAGCACCTGGCCTGGCCTGGCTCCTAGGCCACACAGGTAGAGGCTGACCCAGGCAGCCACTGCCTAGGCTTGGGGAGGCTGCCAGGGCCAGGAAAGGGCCAGCCCCAGGAGAGGGGAGGCAGCTGGAGCCGCCTGTCTGAGAACAAGTCCCAGCAGCTTGCTGGAGTGGCCGTGCGGGTGGGGGCAAGGCTGCTGGGCCTCAAATGGGAGGGGACGTGTTCCCACCTGGTCGTCTCCCCGTCCTGTAGCCAAACCAGACAGAAGCAGCACCTATGCCAAGCCTCAGCAAGGTGGGAGAACCCGCAGCCCCCCTCCCCTTCTGCAAACCAGAACCCAGCTGCAGACAAAGCTGGATGCTGCGTGGACCCCGGCCTGCTGGAGCTGGAGTCGGGCCATCTGAAGGCCGTGTGGCCTGGATCCAGCTGTGCTGCTCTCTCTGAGTGCCCACCCTCTCTGGTCCCAGCAGGCAGCTTTGCACCACAGAGGCAGGAAGCAAGCTAGACACAGCCGGCCCTGCTTCCTGCCCCTGTGCAGCCTCTGGAGAGGGGAGGTGAGAGCAGAGCCGCTGGGATCTCCCTAGTTTCTGGCCGCCTCCTCCCTGACAGTCATCGCCAGATTGTTTATCTGCTAACAGAACCCAGATTTGTCCCCCAGGACCTCCAGTCCCTCTGCAGGCCAGGACCTCGCTCCTCCCCAACCTTCCTTAGCATTTCCCCACCCAAACCCCAGACGAACATACAGGAAGGAGAGACAGGGAGCTGCCTCCAAACGCGGCCGTGCACCCGCCCACCCCCTCCTGAAGGCCACATCCGTGTCACTGACACATATCGGGGGCTTTCTGGGTTTCTTTAGCCGGGCGGCCCTGAGCAGCCTGGCCCATCCAGCCTCTCTGAGCTCCATCTGGGTAACATCCGTCATGCAGGGCGACATCTCCTCCAGCATGAGCGCTGGAGGGCTCTGGAGGCCCGGCCCCCGCTGCCACTACATGGCTTACAGCCCTGCAAACAAGCAGGGTGGTCATGCACTGAGGTTCTCAATGGGCGATCCTGCCCCCAGCGGACCCTTGGCCATGTCTGAACACACTTGTGGCTGTCACGACGGTGGGTGCCACTGGCACCTAGTGGGCGGCAGCCAGGGAGGCGGCCACACACCTGTGTCACACAGGAGGGCCCTCACAGCAGAGAGGATCTCCTCCAAACGTCAGTAGTGCTGAGGTTGGGAGACCCTGTAACAGAGCCGCCCGCACTATGGCGAGGATTACATGGGAAAGTGTGCTGTGATGTTCTCGGAACAGTGTCTGGCACACAGGAAGCCCTCGGCAAACAGGGGCTGCTGTGTTTACCATCCTCATCTCAGCCTCGAGAAGTCAAAGCAGATGCCAAGATGCCTGTTTTCCAACAAGGAAACAAAGCCCAGAAGAGGGTCGTGCTGGCCCAGAACTAGAATCTGGGCCCCGATCCTGGTCTCTGAGGGAGCCTCCTGCCTGGGGCCAGGTCCCATGGAGTGCTGGCTCCGGACACTACCACCATCTCAGAAGGGACGGGCTCTGGCCCCCAGGATACAGGCTTTCTAGAGTTGGTGGGGGACATGTGGGGTGCTGTTTGGGGACTGGCTGTGCTCCCACCCCAGCAGCCCCTCCTCCCACGCCCACAATGGCAGCTGGGAGGCTGCCACACGGAGCTCTCCGGAGCCAGCTACTGCTCAGCAGAGCTCGGCCCTCCCGTTTCCAGGAGGTCACTTGGCCTCGGGAGGGCTGCCCCGCGCCTTTCAGGAGGGGATACAATAGGTGGCGATGCAGGCAGTGAGGCCAAGGCCACCTTCCCTGGGACTGAGTCCCTGGCATGCACCAGGCACCGAGGAGGGATGGAAGACGCTGTGACTTTGATCCACATGACCTCTCCAAGCTCCCAACAGCCTGTAGGAGGGCCGCCTGGTCCCACTGTCCCCCCTTCACAGTTGGGGACCGAGGCCCAGGGAGGCAAAGGAACCTGCCCGAGAGCCCCCAGCCCCCAGATCCCCCGGCGCACCCCTCACACCATGCTGCCACCCACGACCCAGAGGACGTGGCCAGCTGGAACCTACCAGGTGCCCTGCGGCTCTCAGTAGCTTGTGGGTGGAGAACGGGAAGGCCTCGTTGCTCAGGTCTGCGTCCAGCACCTCCTGCAAAATGGCTCGGCTGCAGGCAAGAGCAAAGTCGCTCAGTCAGCAAGTGCTCACGGGTGGGGCCTGGGCAGGAAAGGCCCCGGGGACCTGCCATGAGTGGGATAAGTCCCTGTCCTCATGAGACAGATGACAATAAACATGGATTAATAAAAATACACCAAGACAGATGTACGTTCCAAATATACATAAGACAGCCACCTTCCAACGGGGTAACGCTAGGGCTAGCAGGACCCCTGGGGGAGGCCAGACTTGGAGATAGCTCTAACGGGACTCGCGATTCTTAGATGGGGAAGTGAGGCCAGAGTGGTTATCTAACCATAGAATGCCCTTGAAGCCCACAGGCCAGGAGGAACAGAGCATCTGGACCAGGTCCACAATCCACAATCCACATCCCCAGGCCTCTCCAGGTTTCCAACTCTTCAGAGGCCAGAGGGGCCTCAGCTGCTGCTTTGGTAGCCACGGCCCGAGAGAGGAGCTGGCTATGGTGGCCTCAGTGCTGTACAGAAGAGTAGAGTAACTTGCCCAAGGCAGAGCCGGATTGGAGCAGATTCCGGCCTCCTCCCAGCCCACTGCAGAAAGTGCTCTTCCCAGACACCACCCCGCTCTGTTCCCTGACCTAACCCTCCAACTGGGCACCTCGGCCCCAAAGTCCTCTGCCTGACATGGGTGTGAGACGCTCAGGCTGCAGACTTGGAGGAGGTAGAGAGCTGGGCTTAGCACCCAGCAGGTGCTAAGAGCCATTTCAACCTCCTAGGGGACTGTCACCTACCGAGGGCAGGGCTGCACCTGAGTGCCACAGTGCTATGAGGGCCCGGGAATGTTCCTGAGCACTGGACACTCAGTCCATACTGGACAGTTTGCACAGACTTGCTGGGTCCACCCCTGCTTTTAAGCTCTGCGAGGGTGGGGATTCGCTCCCCACTTTCCCTGCTCCGTGGTACCCAGCACCACATCTACTCTCACACTTGCGCAAGTACCGGAGACCTCACTGGAGCCAACACCCATGGTCTCCCAGGAAGCCCTCACCTCCTGGGCACCGTGCCCACCTCCAGGCCTAGCCCTCTTGTGCCCCTTCGCATTCTCACCCCTTCCCCTGTCACCACTTAACCCTTTGTCATCCTTCAGCTCTTGGCTCAGCTGTCACCTCCCCCAGGAAGCCCTCCCTGACTCCCTAGGTCTTGGGCAGGTACTCGTTGTCCAAGATCCCACAGTCTCCTGCCAGGGTGTCTCTCACATTGGTTGTACCCACCCCCAATGCATCCACCCCCAGGAGCTCCGTGCCAACAGCATCCCCCTATCCCAATGTGCCTGGCACAGAGCAGGCTCTCAGTAAATAGAACTGACTGTGAACACCCTGGCTTGGCACAGCAGGGTGAGGCCCCCATTGCTAGGAGACGCCCCCCCACTTCTGTCCCTCTGGGATCCCAGCAGGTGTTGAGGCTGCAGGGTGGGCTGTCCAGAAGTACTGCTGACCCTAATCCCAATCGTCACAGTGCTGGGAGCCGCCACCCACGTCAGCCTGAGGTGCTCAGCTGTGGTACAGTTGGCCAAGACCCTTATGTAACCACTCAGCACCCACGTGGTGCCAAGCCCTGGAGAGTGATACCAGTGCCTCAGACCTGACAAGCACATGCTCTCTGCAGCCTTGAGTGGCAGCCGCACGGAAGGGACCCTGGGGCAGAAGCCTGGAGCTGCCACCTGGTCCAAGGCTTTGAAGGGCTCTGACCCAGGCTATGGGCTCAGCAACCTCAGGGGAAGCCCAGTTCCAGGGGTCCACGAGCTTCCCAGTCAGAGGCCCCGGTTCTAGTCCCAGGCCCTGTACTTACCCCTGAACCCTACCAAGCCCCAGTCCCTCATCTGTGATGCCACGGGCCACTGTGAGGAACCAGCAAGAAAGCACACAAAGCCCCTGGTGCTAACCATGACCACAGCGATGGCCAGTTCTGGGCTGCACGACACCGTCTCTCCCAGCCACGCAAGGATATTGGTTTTGGTTTGTTTTGTTTCATTTTGGCTTGAGACAAGGTCACCCTGTCTCCCAGGGCGGCTTGCAGTGGCACAATCACAGCTCGCTGCAGCCTTGACCTCCTGGGCTCAAGCGATCCTCCAGCCTTGGGCTCCCAAGTAGCTGCGACTACAGGTGTGCACCACCGTGCTGAGCTAATTGAAAAATTTTTTTGTTGTTTTTTTAGAGATAGGATCTCGCTATGTTGCTCAGGCTGGTCTCAAACTCCCGGACTCAAGCGATCTTATCACCTCGGCCTCCCAAAGTGCTAGGGTTGCAGGCATGAGCCACCGAGCCCAGCCTCTACCAGCACAGGGGGCTATTTGAGTTTACATCCACTAGTATTAAAAATGCAGTCCCACTAGCCACATTTCAAAGGCTCAGTAGCCACACAGGGTTTAGTGGCTGCGTGTTGGACCACTCAGTTATGGAGCATTTCCAGAAAGTTCCATGGGGCAGCAGCTCACACAGCCCCTACTCCATTGTCCAGTAGGTGTGCTGAGCACGTCCTGAATAACAATTCCGAAAGTGCAGCCTTTATCAGCAGCACCAGTATTATTATTCATCTAAGAAACTTTGGGTTATTTTTGAAAGATAGAGGACATTTTGGAGGAGAAAGTTAAGAAATTACCAGGAGGCAGCGAGCTCCTCTTCCCGCCCTGGCTGCCTCCCCCGCCACCGCCTGGAGCAGCTTATAATGAGGCTGGGCGCACCGGCCGCCCCCGGGCCGCACCTTGATCGGTCCATCTGCCACCTCCTCCCTCCACGGCCCACCTGCCTCCCCCACACTAAAAATATCCCCACTCCCTGTCCAAGGCTGGCGTGGCAATGAAGCCAGAGGATTCCAAGGACCAGGCCTTGACACCCCTCCCTCTACCCCAGAGATGCGGAGGTTGGGGTCACCCAGGTGAGAAATGAAAAGCACACAGCATCGCGGCTGCCTGTGGGCCAGGCTGGGGACTGCATGATTCCACCGCATCCCAGTCCCTTTCCCGGCAGCTGCGGCCAGCACCCTCCACTCTTCATCATGCACGCGGAAGCTGTCTCTGTCCCCTACCCTCCCCCGACCCTCTCAGCACACCCCATCCACTGTCGGGTGCTATGAGCCTCGCCCAGTCCATGGGAACCACCACAACGCCAAACCCTCGCCCGTGAGCCGCATGGACTCAGCTCATCACTCCCTCCTGGCATCCCTGCCTCGCCTGGCCTGAGGCTCCTCACAGGCCTGCTGGCCCCCTGCCCGCTGACCCAACAGCAGAGACCCCCCCACCAAAGCCCAAGCCCGACCATGTTCCTCCTCTGCTCAGCACCCCTCCCTCAGAGGAGCAGCTGCTGGGCCTCCAGTATCTCACCCTGCTGCCCTCTGAGCCCGGCTCCTGGCCTGCTCCATCCCAGCCTCAATGCGTGCCTCAGACATACGCACTGGCCTGCCACGGGGCCTTTGCACCTGCTGTTACCACTGCTGGGAGCAGTTCCCCCAGAACACCAAGGCTGGGTCACTCGTTTCCTGCAGGGTTCTGCCCAAATGTCTCCTTAATGCATGTTGGTTTCTATGAGCAGCCTCAAGTCAAACACTTGGCAGAAGCCAGTTAGTGTTAAAGCACTCGACCCTCTCCGATTCTATCCCTTCCTCAGCAAGCACGCGTCTACCGTGTGCCCCTGAGCACCACAGTGCATATGCTTGGACGGACAGCAACAGCTCGGTCCCTTGCAGCCTGAGAGGGGAGCAACTGGCCTAGGACTCAGCGTGGGGTGCCAGGGAAAGCGGACCCCATGGCAGAGTCTGGGCACTCCAGCCAGAGGTCTCGGCAGAATCCCAGGCTGACAGGATATCACCAGGACACAGCCCTGCTACGTCAAGTGCTCACCTCGGCGACCTTCAGGCTGGAGACTCATCTCCCCCCCACCCCTCCCTGCCTCTCCTCCTCTCCTTTCCCATCCTCTCCCCGAAGCTGCCACCATCATTTTCCAGAGACAGATCACCCCTTTGATATCCTCCATGTCCCCAGAAGCAGTGCCCTCATCTCGTGCCTCTTCCTCCTGCCCAGTCCAGCAGAGCCACCCTGTCCAGCCCCAAGGCAGATGTGGCGGCAGGAAGCACACCGAGATGAGTGTCCTGGCCCCTTAGCCTGGTGGGGGAGGGTCACCAATGGAAGGCCTAGACTAGGCCGTTTTCTCACAGAGGATTTTTAACTCTTGAAAAAGGGTGGCGGTGAGCGTGTGCAGGCTTCTGAGCACAAGGGGGACGCATCCCCATCAGCCCTGGCACTGACCAGCTGTGTGACCTTGGGCAAATGTCTCAACCTCTCTGTTTCTCAGTTTCTGCATCAGTAAAAATAAGAACAATTATGACCACCTCAAAGGGCTACCGTGGGGATGGGAGATGTTGGCTCAGGCTTGGCAAGTCACAGGTGCTCCACTGGTGGCTGCTAACATGATGTCCTTCCTCCCTGTCCCCCACCCCCAGTCCCTTCTCCCAGCCTCCGAAGCACAGTCAGAGGGGTCTTTCCAAGGTGCACACCTGCTCAGCCGTCCTTTTGCCCAAGACTCTTCTGTGGCTGTGTGCATGAGCCAGCAGCCGAGGGTCTTCCCCGGTCCTGGTTTCTCATGGGTGGGGAACACAGCCCGGCAGGTGTTTATAGAAGGAATGCACGCATGGATAAGCCTTAACCTTGTCATGGAGGGTGTTTCCGGAGGAGCCAGGGACCCCTCGGTATAGGATATTATTCTGCCCATGTGATCAAGGTGGCGTACAGAAATTACCAGGTAGCAGGGCGAAATCTGGCCTGGTTCTGCCCACTTTGGGATGGTGGACGGTAATTCCTAGACTGCACTGGTGACTCAGAGACTGCCCTCCCCTCTGGGATCCTGGGGTCCTCAGTGACTGAACAGCTGTAAATTTCAGTCTGACTCGTGTTACCGGCTTATCTGCATTCCAGTGCTTTGAAGATATTTATTCAGAATGGCATCTCTGGTTTACCAGAGCGCTTAACTATTCAGAATGGCCCATTCTGGACAAGCTGTTCTGCCCAAGGGCCTGTTGGAGGACCTGGGTCCAGGCAGCAGGTGCACCCAGGGGCGGGCTCCCAGTCCTCTCTCACCTGGCTGGGCCCTGGATACTGATCATACCCAGGTCCTCGGAGCTGTCGATGAGCTGGCACTGGGACTTCTGGTCCTGCAGCACGGTGGTGATGTGGGACCAGTTGTGCTGGGCCACGGCCCCGCCCATGGCCAGGTAGTAACCGTCCCCTGGAAGAGAGGCACCTGGACTTAGAGCAGGATTTCAGGGCCTGGGAGGTGGGGACAGAGAGGGTGGCCCAAGGGTCTCCCGGCTGAGAAAACAAATGCCCTCTCAGGGGCCTGTGCCTTCACAGTGCCCAGGAACCGTATCTGTCCCTCCCTGGGTCCCCCAGGGCCACGCCTTGCAGAGTATCCTCTGAGCCATGGGGGTTAGGAGAAGGACCTGCTTCTCAACCCCTACCACCCACCCCTCTGCAGACACCTCAAAGGGATGCCCCTACCCTGGGAGGACGGTGTCTTGGGAACACACAGGCCTAGGCCAGCCTGGCCCAGATGCAGTTCTGCGGCTCACCGGCCTTGCTTCTCACCTCTCTGAGCCCCCATTTTCTCATCTGTAAAAGGGGCAGACCCACAACATCTGGCCCCACAGGGCTATTGGAAGCACCCTTGGACGAGAGACCTCTCAGGGCCCCAGGCAGGCCCCAGCCAGGCTGCTCCCTCTCTTCTTCCTCTTGACACCATAAGCACAACAGAGAATGAAGGCAAAGAGACAAGCCAGTCCTCAAGGGGTTCCCCGACACCTGAACTGGGGCCGTTTCTGGATGGAATCCTCAGCTCTATTCAGACAGACACCCTACCTCACCTCCCCCAACACACACACACACACACACACACACACACACACACACACACACACGGCCACTCTCAGGCCCCTGGCTCCTGAGTGGCCCCCCCAGTCTGCAGCCATCCCAGGCCTCTCCCAGGAGGGCATGGGAGCTACTGAGGCCAACTGGTGCCCAGGGAGATGGCAGCTGATGGGCCTGGCCTCCTGTGGCCCTGACCATCCATGATCAACTTCCCTGAAAACAAGACGCCAGTCCTGAGGCCAGAGGTCAGTCAGCCCAGGTCCAGGCCTGGCCTGCAAAGCTGACATGGCAGAGAGCAGTGAGAAGGCAGGGTGGCCGGGGACTTGCACCATCGGCAGTGGGTGTGGGGGGAGCTGTGGGCTGTGCAGCTGATTTTGTGCTTTTCAGTATCATTGGAATGGTTCCCAGGAGCATGTATCCTTTTGTAATCTTACAAAAAGATCAATAAAGACCATTTAAAATTACTTTTGAGATTGACAGCTGCTTTGTATGCCACCTTGATCACATTGTGTAAATCATCACATTCTCTCGGCTCCGTGGTGATCTGATGCAGCATGGGTAGGTAGCGCACGTATTCAACACGCGCATATTTAATGCCCATGCATATTCATAACTCAAACAGTGCAGTTTTGAAGCCTGAAAGTAAAGCAAAGCCCACATGGTGGTTTTCTCCTGTTGAGTGGTGTCCCCAGGACCCGCAGAGCCCTGGGGGATGTGACTCACTGTGCTAACTCCACACCCACCAAGTGCAAACCTTCCCAGCAACCAGCACCGCCGATCCCCAGCCCTCAGCTCTAGGAATCCACCAGAATCCTCTGGAAAGCTAATTGTGCACCACTGGGAGATGGCTCAGCGTTGAAAGCACTTTCCTGACAGCTTCCCCTTATGAGGGGGGACGAGCAAGGTCCTCATTCCCCAGCCAGGGAAACTGAGGCTCAGGGAGGCTGCTCCCCAGCCCTCCCAGCACCCCCAGACTCTGACTCAATTCTCCATCGCAGCCCCGGGAGGCGCGTCTTCCTCACTCCATTCCACCAATGGGGGAAACTGAGGCTCGGGGGGGCAGGTCGCTGAGCCAGGTAGTGGCAGGACCTGGCCAGGATTTTTGGTGACCTGTGTCCTCATTTTGGCCCCTCTACTGTCTCCCTAGCTAGACTCACTAAGTCTGCGGCTATGGGCTGTGCCTGGGCCGCCCCTCTACTGGGGGCTGATGCCTAGCTCCTTACAGGCAACACTCCTCTCAGCTCAGAGATGCCATTTCAGCTGAATGACCCAGAGACGACCAGCGATGGGCAGGTCACACTGGTTCTCACCTCTACACCCTTGTAGCCAGTGGCTCCTCCCCATCCTTCCAAGCTCAGGCCGGCCCTCTCCTCCAGGAAGCCTTGCTCATCCCGGCTCGGCGGCTTCACATGGCCTTCCCTAACACCTCGCTCTTTCCCATCCCCTTGCATGTCCCCCTCCAGGTGTTACGGGGCCCTTCCTGCCCCCGTCTGGACATACAGCCCACTGTGGGGTCCCTGAAGCCCCACCGGCCTCCTTCACCTCCTCCCGACCCTGGCTACCTGGTGCTTCCACACAGTGCAGGCTCACGTGATGACTGTTGAGGGAACGAGCGAAGGAACGAGCTCATGGATCCATGAGGCACGAGCGCTGTGGCTCAGCCCATGGCTCCCTCAGCCTCCACGTCGCCAACGGCAGGAGGGAAGGGGTGGGCGAGCTCTGCGCACCCCATAGGACCCCTCACTCACGCTCTCAGCCTCATCTCCGCCACCAGCCTCCAGACCGCAGGGCTCACCTCACTACTCCCTGCTTTTGGCAGAACCGCAGAGGCCCAGGAGCCCCTGCCAGCCCCCAGCCCCGAAGACCCGCTGGGCAGTGAGGAGCGCTGTCTTCCCACCCTGGCCCCCAATATCCCACCCCCTCCGGTCTTCATTTTTCCTCTTGACCCATCTAACATCCTACACCTTCCACTTATTTTATTTTTTTAATCCTATTTCCTCCCACCAGAGATACAAACTCCACATGGGCCAGAACCTCCTGTGTTTGGCTCACTGTTGGGTCCTCCGTGCCTCAAACTGAGCCTGACACACAGTCGGTGCTCAATGACTGCTGCCGAAGGTGCGGGTTATGAGCTGATCATGAATGAGCCCCTTTCTCCCCTTGCCTCTCTCCCCCAGTGCCCAAGCTGGGGCTCGACACTGACCGAGTCCCAGTGAGGAAACAACTACATTTGCCAGCAGCACGGAGTCAGGTCAAGAACCAGGAGATGCCAGGTTTTCTGAATGGGCTGAGCCCTCCCCGCTGACTGTGCCCCTGCCCCGGGGACAGCACAGAGAGCTGCACGGTCAGCACCTTCCCCTGTGCAGGTCCCATCCCAGAGGTGGCAATGCCTCTTCCTGGAGAAAGAGAATGTTTCCCTCTCTGCTTCTTCATCCCTGGTGGGGATGGGTTACAGGACGAGAGATCAGATGGCTCCTGTGTGAACCCAGGGACAGGATCAGGGAGCTGAAGGGACAAGAGGCAGGTCCTGGCTCTGCGTAACAGTTGGGGCTGAGCAAACAAGGGATGAAGGTACTGAGCTACCTGTCCCTGAGGGTATGCAAGCAGACATGGTGGGACTGCAGCAGGCAATCAGGCATCAGCGTGGGCCCTGAACTGGACGTCTTCTAAGGGCCTATCCAAGCTCCAGACTAGAGGGTCACACGGGCCTGAGAAGTCAACCCAGCAAGGATGTCAGTGGCAGAAAGGAGCTGACTGCTTTGAGTGGGAGGCACGGCCTAGCATTGGTACGCTTTGTTCCGGGAAACCGAGCCGAGCACGCCCACACTGCAGCCACTCCGAACCGCAACAGCGTGGACAGGTTCAGAGATGCAATCACTGAGTACTGGGAGCTCCAGCAATGCCGCCTGAACAAAGCCCCCATTTAGCCTGAAACGAGACCTCTAATCTCCCAGCTCTGACCACAGCGGGCACAACAGCTAATGACAGAGCTGCCGTCAGCAGCCCATCCCGTCCATCCTGCCCTGTCCACAACCACCAGTCCACAGAGCAGGCCGCAGTCACAGCGCCGTGTGCACAGAGGCATCCCATACCTTCAAAGGCGGGGGCCAGCGGGGAGGCCTGGTGGCTGGGTGCCAGGCGGCTGACAGTCAGGTCACTCTCGGTGCCCCCACGGTGGTTGAGCATGCACGTGTACACGGTGGAGCCTGCGAGAGGGAGAAGGAAGCCGGGTCTGTGCTGAGGCCCCAGCCGGGTCTGTGCTGCCTCAGTTTCCCCAGGGCCGCTCACAGGGGCAGCTCCTTGTCACGGAGGCTGGATAACCCCCAGACAGGATGCCCTACTGGGAGGTGACCTGGAGAGCTCCTCAGCCCAGGGATGCCATTTCAGCTTAATGACCCAGAGAGGACTGGCCATGGGCAGGACATCCCATCACCGTCACCCTTGCGGGAAGGAAGCTTCTTTCTTCTTGAAATGCCTTGGCACTGGCCCCTCCCACCCATCCACCACCATGCTGAGAAGTTTCTAGGGACAGGATTCATGCCCCCCGTTCATTCTGGGGCTCCTAGCTCCGTGCCTGGTACCGGAGAAGACTCCATAAATGTCTGTGGCATAAATTACTTTGTGGATGGAGGATGGATGGACAGATGGGAAGGTGGGCAGATGGATGGGAGGATGGGAGTGGGTGAGCAGAAGGGGGAACAGATGTATGGAGAAACAGGGATGTGTGGGCTGGTGGATGGGTGGATGCAAGACTGAGTGGGTGGCTGGATTAATGGGAGGTGAGCAGCAGGTGCCTGGGAGTCTGGGGAGTGGGTTTGTTGGTTGGCTGGCTGAAGAGATGATGTTAGGGGTTGAATTGTGTCCCCCACAAAAGATATGTGAAAGTCCTCACCAGGACTGGGAGTGTGATCTTATTTGGAAATGAGGTCTTTGCAGATATGATCAGGTTAAAGTGAGGTCATGAGTGTGGGCCCTCATCTAATCTGACTGCTGTCCTTCTAACACGGTGGCTCACACCTGTAATCCCAGCACTTTGGGAGGCTGAGGTGGGAGGATCACCTGAGGTCAGGAGTTTCAGACCAGCCTGGCCAATATGGCGAAACCCCGTCTCTACTAAAAATAGAAAAAATAGTTGGGCATGGTGGTGTGCGCCTGTAATCCCAGCTACTCAGGAGGCTGAGGCATGAGAATCACTTGGACCCAGGAGGCGGAGGTTGCAGTGAGCTGAGATCGCGCCATTGCACTCCAGCCTGAGCGACAGAGCGAGACTCCGTCTCAAAACAAAACAAAACAAAAAAGAGAACACCTGGAGAAGGCCTTGTGACACAGGCAGAGACTGCAGTGACGCAGCTGCATGCCGAGGAAGGCCAAGACTCCCGGCCACCACCAGCAGCTGGAAGAGCAAGGAAGGGTCCTCTGCAGAGTGTCAGGTACAGACACCCTCATTTTGACCTCCAGCTTCCAGAACCGTGACAATAAATTGGTGTTGTTTTAAGCCACCAGGTTTGTGATCCTCTGTTCTGGCAGCCCAGAACACTCATGAAGATGGGGACGCATGAGCTGTTGGGTGGGTGGGTGGGTGGGTGACGAAAAGGCAGATGAAGATCCCAAGTATGTCCCAAATATGGCTTGGGACATACTTACATTAAAAATGAGTCATTATGTATCCAAAATTCAAATGTAGCTTAGCATCCTGTGTTTCTATTTAATTCTGGCAATCCCACCTGTGAGAGCATGGGGGGGACTGGGCCCCACAGTCCCAGGAGAGACGTGGCTGAGGGCCAGCTGCCACACATCCTTTCTGGAAGAGTAGAGAGGAAGGCAGAGGTAGGGAGGAGAAGGAAGGCAGGAGGGAGAGGTGGAGGAAAGTAATGAGGGCCTGGGGCCTGGGATGGGGCAAAGGGGGCCGGACGGGGGGGAGCTCAAAGCCAGGTGAGGGCAAGGAGCAGTGTGCTCAGGGTGCCCGAGGGGACAGGGTGGCTTGCCAGCTCATCTCAGTGCCTGAGGCTGTGCCCATGGAGTGACAGGAACATGCCCCCCAACCTCAGGCTCCATACCTGGGGGTCGGCTGACATCTGCGGAGAAGAGCCAGTCGGCAGCCTTCCTTGCATCCAGCCCCACCAGGTAGAACTTCCCGAAGTAGGACATGTCAAACACAGCGGCGGCCCCTCTGCAGGCCAGGCACTCCTTCTTGATCTGAAAAGTTCCAGACAGGTGGGAATGCCACGGGGGCCTTTGGGGTGTGCTTCTTCCTCAAGAACGTGGAGAACGGGGGCTGTGTCCAACACACCTGTACTGAGCCTCCCCTCCCTCTCTTCCAGCCCGCACCAAGCCCTTCTCAGCTCAGGTGCACACTGTGACACATGCTTCCCAAGCACAGGACATGCTCCCCAGGATAGATAATATGCTAAGCCACAAAATAAGGCTCAATAAATTCAAAAAGGTTGAAATCATACAAAGGATGTCCTCTGACCGCGATGTAATTAAATTAGAAATCAATAGCAGAAGAACAATTGGAAAATTCACAAATATGTGGAAATTACACAACACACTGCTAAAGAACCAATGGATCAAAGAAAAGAATCACAAAGGGAATTAGAAGCTACTGAATTAAATGAAAATGAAAGCACAACACACAACCACTTATGAGATGCAGCTAAAGCGATGCTCACAGGGAAATTTCTGCTTGTATGTGCTTGCATTACGAAAGAAGATCTCAAATCAATAGCCCAATCTTCCACTTTGAGACACCAGAAAAAGAGCATAATTAAACCCAAAGCAAGCAGAAGGAATGAAATGTTAGAACAGAAATAAGAATCGAAAAATAGGAAAAAACAGCAAAACAAAAAGTTGATGTTTTGAAAAGATCAACAAAATGGACAAACTTCTAGCTAGAGTGACAGAGAAAATGAGAGGACTCAAAGTGCTAAAATCAGGAATGAAAGACAGGAGATCATGCCTACCCCACAGAAATAAAAGGGATTCTGAGGGAACTCCGAACACGTGTATGCCAACAGACTAGACACGAAATGGACAAATTCCTAGAAACACACAAATTACTGAAACAGAATGAAGACATGACAAATCTTAATAGAACTAAAACAAAAAAGAGATGGAATTCGTAATTGAAAAATTGTCCACAATCCCAGGTCCAGATGGCTTCCCTGATGAATTTTACCAAACAGTCAAAGAACTAATACCCATTTTTCCCAAACTCTTCCAAAAAATATGAATAGGAAATACTTGCCAATTCACTCTAGGAGGCCAGCATTACCCTGATGCCAAAAGCAGAAAAAGATATTATAAGAAAACTACAGACCAATATTTCTTACAAATATAGATACAAAAAAATCCTCAACAAAATACTAGTAAATCAAATCCAACAACATAGGAAAGAGATTACACACCATGATCAATGGGATTTATCCCAGGAATATGAGGTTGGTTTAACATTCAAAAATCAATTGATGTAATGCAACATATTAAGAGAACAAAGGACAAAAACCATCTGATCCTCCAACAGATACAGAAAAGTATTTGACAAAATTCACCCGTTCATGATAAAAACGCACAACAAACTAGGACTATAAGGGAGCTTCCCTCAGCTGATGAAAGACACCTATAAAAATCACATTGCAAACATTATACTTCATGATGAAAGATCAGGAACAAGACAGGGGGGTCCATTCTTGCCACTCTATTCAACATTGCACTGGAGGCTCTAGCCAGGGCAATTAGGCAGGAAAAGAAAAATAAAAGGCATCCAGATCAGAAAAGAAGAAATAAAAACATCCCTATTTGCCAAAACAGTATCTTGTATATAGGAAATCCTAAGGAATCCACTAAAAAAAAAAAAGAAAAAAAAGAAAAAAAACTGTTAGAACTAATAAAATAGTTCAACGAGGTTGCAGGATACAAGGTCAATATATAAAAACACACAAAAAACTATTGTATTTCTATATTAGCAATGAACAGTCTCAAAAGGAAGTTTTAAAAAATTATATTTGTAATATCATCAAGATAATAAAATGCTTAGGAATAAATTTAATTAAAAAGTCCCAAACTTATATCCTAAAATCTAGATTTTTTGAAAGAAATGAGAGAAGACCTAAATAAGTGGAAAGACAGCCCATGTTCATGAAACAAAAGACTTACTATTGTTGAAATGACAAGATACCCCAAATTGATCTACAGACCTAACACAGTCCCTATCAAAATTCTCAGCTGGTTTCTTTGCAGAAATTGACTAGCCAATCCTAAAATTCATATGGAGATTCAAAGGGGCCAATAATACTCAAAACAATATTGAAAAGGAAAAACAAAATTGCAGAATTCACATTTCTTGATTCCAAACTTGCTATTAAAATACAAAGCCACATAATCAAGACAGTGAGGTACTAAATAAGAATAGACCTATAGATCAACGGAATAGAATTGAGAGTCCAGAAATAAGCCCTCATCTTTACAGTCAATTGATTTTCAACAAGGGTGCCAAGACAATTCCAAGGGTAGAGCAATCTTTTCAACAACTGGTGCTGGGCCAACTGGGTAGCCACATGCAAAAGAACGTGGCTGGACCCGACCTCACGCCATGCAAAAAAAATTAATTTTCATGGATCCTAGACCTAAGTGTAAAAGCGAAGATATAAAACTCTTAGAAGAAAACATAAATGTTTTTTACCTTCGGTTAGGTTCTTAGACATGACACCAAAAACACAAGCAACAAAACAAAAACATAGAGATGAATTGGACAGCATCAACATTTTAAAAGCTGCAAACAATGCCATCAAGGAAGAGAGATGACAACCACAGGATGGGGAGAGTGTGTGCACATTACAGATCTGATAAGAGACTTGTAACTAAACTATAAAAAAATTTGCAACTCAATAATAAAAAGACAGTCGGCTGCGGTGGCTCATGCCTGTAATCCCAGCACTTTGGGAGGCTGAGGCGGGTGGATCACCTGAGGTCAGGAGTTCGAGACCAGCCTGACCAACATGGAGAAACCCCATCTCTACTAAAAATACAAAATTAGCTGGGCGTGGTGGTGCATGCCTGTAATCCCAGCTACTCAGGAGGCTGAGGCAGGATAATTACTTGGGAGGCTGAGGCAGGCAGATCACCTGAGGTCTGGAGTTTGAGACCAGCCTAGCCAACATGGAGAAACCCCATCTCTACTACAAATACAAAATTAGCTGGGCGTGGTGGTGTGCACCTGTAATCCCAGCTACTGAGGAGGCTGAGGCAGGAGCATTGCTTGAACCCAGGAGGCGGAGGTTGCAGTGAGCCGAGATCACACCATTGCACTCCAGCCTGGGCAACAAGAGCGAAACCCTGTCTCAAATAATAATAATAATAATAATAAGACAAATAACCCAATTTTAAAAGGGACAAAGGATCTGAACAGACATCTCTCCACAGAATATATGCAAGTGGACAACAGGCCCATGAAAATGTGCTCAACATCATTAGTTGTTCCAGGAATGCAAATCAAAACCACACTGAAATGCCATTTCACAACCACCAGGATGTCTAGAATCAAAAAGTCAGATAATAATAAGTGTTGGCGAGGATGTGGAGACACTGGAACCCTCTCGCACTGTGGTGGGGAATGTAATGTGGTACAGTTACTTTGGAGAACAGTTGGCGTTCCCCCAAAATGTTAAACAGAGATACCACTTGACCCAGGCCTCGTTATATACCCATAAGAAATTATAACATACATGCATACGACACCTGGTACGTGGATGTTCACAGCAGCACTGCTCATAAGAACTCAAAAGTGAAAACAATTCCAATGTCCACCAACGGATCAATGGATGAGTAAAATATGATGGGTCCATACAATGGAATATGATTGGGATAAAAAGGAATGAAGTGGCCTGGCATGGTGGCTCATGCCTGTAATCCCAGCACTTTGGGAGGCCAAGGCAGGTGGATCACCTGAGGTCAGGAGTTCAAGACCAGCCTGGTCAACATGGTGAAATCCCGTCTCTATTAAAAATACAAAAATTAGTTGGTCATGTTGGCCTGTGCCTGTAATCCCAGCTACTTGGGAGGCTGAGGCAGAAGAATCGCTTGAACCTGAGAGGCAGAAGTTGCAGTGAGCCGAATTGCACCCCTGCACTCCAGCCTGGGGCAACAGAGCAAGACCCCATCTCAAAAAATAAATAAATAAATAAAAATTTGAAAAATTAAAAAAAAAAGGAATGAAGTGCTGACACACACACTACGACATGAATGTGCCTTGAGAATATCACGCTAAGTGGAAGAAGCTGATCACAAAAGCACACATCTTTTATGATTCTACTTACGTGAAACGTCCAAACTAGATATATCTACAGAGAGAGAAAGTAGAGTAGGGTTGCCCTGGGCTGGGGATAGGGTGAGGTGTGGGGTATCTTTTGCTGGGAGATGAAAACATTCTAAAACTAGATCATGGTGATGGTTGTACAATCCCGTGAACTCACTAAAAAACACTGAGTTGTACCTTTTAAATGAATAAATCATATAGTATGCGAATTAGATCTCAATAAAGCTGTTTTCAAAGCACACACACACACACGCACGCGCACACACACACACACATAAACAACATCACTCCCTATTTCCTTCCCCAGGTTTACAAATGCCTGGGTGAGGTTTTGAGAATCTTCTATTCTTCACTGTATGTTCTACTTGGTCTTCCCCTTCAGGGCTCAACATGCCCCCCACTGCTGAGCAGAGGTGCCCACCTCATTGTTGTTACAGGAAAAAAATAATCATGACAGCAACAACCACAGCTTCCTGAACAGCTGCCGTGTGTCGGGAAGCTGTTTCATCTCCTCCCAAACTCCCTTTGAGTTTCCACAAGGGAACTCATATTACCCCTCACATACTCAGGGAGGCCAGGGATGGTGGCACAGCCAGGCAGTGGCAGAGTTATGGTCCAGCCAGGCTGTGCAGGGGTGCACTGACCCTGACAGCTGGTCAGGCAGATCCCTGCCCAGCTCCACATTCAGTGATGCCTCATTGGCGGACTGGATTGAAATCAGCCATGGAGAAAGCATTTACATCAGGGAAATTGGCCGGTGCTACAGAGCCAGCTTCCTCCCCTCTGCCCCAGAGAGCTGGTTGTTAAGCTGTTACCAGCACACCACAGGGACCATCTGCCTCCTGAGCTCTCCATGGCTTCTCCAGCCCCACCAGGCATCACTGTCCTTCAGGACAGGGCTCCCCTTTGTCGGTTTCTGCTGTACCTTTGCTGATGCCACCGGGGCTGCCAACCAAAACCCTCAGCAGCCTCCCGCGCTGGGCTCCTCTAGCAGGCCGGGGAAGCTGCCAGCGCCAAGAACAAGCACGTGTTTCGTGCTTTAGGACGGCTTCAGGCGCGTTTGCGGAGGCCGGATGAAGCCACAAAGCCAAGTTGGCATCTCCCCCGAGCTCCCACATCCTCGAGGGCCAGAGTCCCACAGGCTTTAGAAGCTGTGGGTGCGGAGGTGCCAGACGGAGCCCCGAGCACTCCCTGGGAGGCAGCGACAAGGGACTCGGGCACTGAGCCGGCCCTGCTGCTGCGGCGCTTCATGACACACACGCCTCCTCCTTCCTGCAGGAGCCCCCTCTTCCGACGCCTTGAACAGATGTTCCACCACTAGAGCAAGCTTTCGGGGAGATGGTGGAAATGAACGGTTTATTCCCTTCAGAACTGGCTACAGAACCCAGTGCGGGACCCAGTGGGGACCTTGCTCAAAGACCATGAAGAGTCTCAAGGCACTGACAGCACAGCATGAACCCAAGCGGGGCCCTTCAAGGCAACGGACGACCGCAGGGTCAGACCCTACCCAAGCCGGACTTGCGACTGGCCTAGAGGCCCCAGGAAGGAACCCCCTCGTGGATGCCTCCTAAGCTGTCCCTGGGCTCTGAGACTCTGGGCTCAGGCCTTGGCTCTGCTCCTATGTCAGATTCGCAGTGAGGTGTCACGCGTCTCCCTGGGGTGGCACGGGGACAACAGCTGTGCTCCACCTGTGAGCACTTTACAACACGACTGGGCAGGCCAGGGCAGACGCTGGCCTCGCTCCTTCCCGGACAGCTGCGGGGGAGAACGCCCCTGTGTGGTGCAGGCTGCTGCGGGGGAGAAGACCCCCAAGACTCCTCACCTCCACCCCCTGCACGTGGGAGCCAGGTCCCCAGGCAGGGGCGACGGGCTGCCAGCTGCCCCGTGTGAGCAGCCTCGCCTGCCCACTTTGGAGCCAGAGGAACAGCAAGCAGGCTCCAGGCCACGGCCCTCCCGGCTCTGGTTCCCTCTGCTTGTCCCTTGGAGGGGCCCATACGGGGCCTGATGCCCAGGAGCCTGCGGCCCCCTTGTCCTGGATCTACTCTGCGCTGGCTTCCAGGAGGGAGGACCCCCTTCCCCCACCACGTCTCATGCCAGCCTCGGCGCAGCTCCGGAGAGCGGGAGGCGGAGGCTCAGAGCGGTGCAGCCCCACCGGGCCCCAGCCCGTTGCCTCCGCCCCCACCTCACCCCATCCCCAGCAGCACCACTTCCGCTCAGGCCTGGCTGCTGGCAAAATCTCGGCACAGAGGGAGGAGGGGGAGAGGAAAACGCATGATTCCTCCTCAAAATGGAGTCAGCCGAAAAAAGCGTGAATGCAGAGCCCGAAGAGACTCCTGGGGGAGGGGAGCCCCTGCAGGGCCAGCCGAGGGCCGGCGCAATGGCTTATCTGAGGGACAGGCAGAAGGACGGACCCCCACGGTGGACCCCAGCTACGCACCGTGTCGTGGTGGGGCGGGAAGGCGAAGGTGTACTCGTCTGCCAGCAGCCTGCGGTAGGCGTAGTCCTCGTGCGCGCGGCTCCCGTAAGCCCCGTAGTAGTCGTACTCGAGGACCTGGGAAGAAAAGACGTGGTCCTCAGCCTGCCTCTTTGGCCCCTCCCCGCTTCCCTCCCCAGAGCGGGGTCCCGCTGAGGCTGTGATGGGGTCAGGCCTGGCCCTGCCCTCGGAGAGCCCTGCACTGAGTGCCCGTGTGTTGTGGACGCGGGCAGGGGGCCCCCATGAGGTCCAGGCAAAACAGAGGCACAAAGGAGGCCGCAGGGTTGCCTGGTGGGTCTGAGAGCCCAGCCAGGGCCCAGGAGGCTGGAGGAGGAGCTGGATGCACCCAAGGTGGGGAACGACAGGGAGAGGTGGTTACCCAGGACCTCAGCCAGGGCTGCTCCCTGGAGCCACGGCAATCCCAGGCCCAGCTCCTGCTCTGGGCCAGCCCCTGCGGGAAGCGTCTTACACTCCTACCAGGTGTGCCCCTTTCTACAGATGAGGAAAGTGAGGCGCAGAGAAGTTATATCTCGCCCAAGGGCACAGACAAGTCCTGGACCTGGCAGTGGCACGAAGCCAGGCAGGTGCGTGGGCTCCAGAGTCCAGCTTTTCTGCCACTGCCTTGGCCTCCCTGGGATCTGCCCCCATCAGACACCCCACAGCCCCACAGCCCCATGCCCCTCCCTGGCCGCTGCTCCTGCAGACAACCCCCCACCCCGCCACCTGCCCTCCTAACTGCCGACACGGCACAGCTGTGAATGCAGGTGTGGGCAATTCTTAACCTCCCAGGGCTGCCAGCCCCGTCCGCCCAAGCCTCACCTCCTCTTCACACACAAGTGGGAGCCAGTGTGAGGTTGTAAGGGAGTCAGGCTTTGCTGGCATCTCTGCATGGAGTACCCCCCTCCCCAGCAGGGACATCCCACCCACTGCAGCCCTGCCAAGGTGTCCTGGACACCCAGGCTGGCTCCCGGGTGGGGGTGCAAAATCCGCCCATCTTGGGACCTGGGGTGTGTTCCTGACTCTCCTCTCCTCGCCCAGGGACAGGGGAGAGGGGCTTCCAGGGCCAGATCTGACTGGAACACAGTGGGTTGCACTTCAAGACAGGGTCTGCCCAGACCCCTCCTCCCCGCAGGGTTCATGAGGACGGCATGTCCCTAGGGGCCAGCAGGAGAAGAGACGATGACCTGCAAGGCTCTGACCCCAGAGCCGTGGCCCCGTTAGCCAGCTCTGGCTCTCATCTCCCCTCCCGATGCCCTGGAGCTCTGGAGCCTGGCCTGGGCTGTGGGTTGCCATGGGGATGGAAGGTGGGTGCACCAGAGGGGACTGGTGAGACGCAGCCCCGGGAAGGGGATTTCGATTTCTGTAAATCTGGATCAAATGCTACCCCTCAGCTGGCCTTAAGGCCTCGCGTCCCCTGCTCCCGAGGGTCTGGGTCCCAGGTTTCACAGCAGGACTGCCTTTGTTCCTCTCACTGAGGACCCAGGTCCCTGGGAGTCCCCAGAGGACGCCCAGAGTCCAGGCCACTGTGAAACCTCCACTGGGAAACTGAGCACCCTGGGTGCATCAACCTGCCCAGTGCCTGCCCTCCTACGGACATAAACCAACAGTCGGAGTGGCCAAAAATAGATGCACAGAATTAGGAGACGCTCCATTCCTCCTGCAACCTGGGGGAGTCTTCTTGCTGTCTCCCCACCGCAGGACACCCCTTCTGCTCTGCCTACAGCCCTTCCCACTTAGGCCATGGAAGGCCTGGCCACAGCGGACGGGTAGTGGGGAGGACGAGGAGTGGGAATTGCGTGAACGGCACAAAGAATGCACTGAGCCTTGGGGGCAGGTCGGCAGGGCTCGGCTTCCCGTGTGCAGAATAACTGATCACGACAGTGGAACCACCTGGGGAGGCGGGGCACACGGAGGGGCAAGGACGGGGCACGTGGAGGGGCAAGGGGGTTGTCAGGGCAGGGCCTCCCAGCAGCACAGCCCAGCAGGCACTACTCACCGGAGCTGGGCCTCGGGGATGAAACCATCCCGGTCGCTCCCAGCCATGCCGCTCCTGGAACACGCAGCCTTGTCCAAGGAGTTCCTGAGCAGGAGTGGGGAACAGGCATCTGTCACGCATGGCCTGATACCCCTGCGCAGGGCAGAGAGCCACATCCGCCACTTTACACCCAAGGGTGCGGAGAGCAAGGAGGCCCTGACTCTTGGAACCAGGCCTCCAGCCCAGTGTTTGCAGCTACCCTCACTGCCTCACCCTGAGAACCCCTATGTGTAGAATTACCACCTGCCCCATCTGCCCTCACCCTGAGAACCCCCATCTATAGAATTACCACCTGCCCCATCTGCCCTCACCCTGAGAACCCCCATCTATAGAATTACCACCTGCCCCATCTGCCCTCACCCTGAGAACCCCCATCTATAGAATTAATTACCACCTGCCCCATCTGCCCTCACCCTGAGAACCCCCATCTATAGAATTAATTACCACCTGCCCCATCTGCCCTCACCCTGAGAACCCCCATCTATAGAATTACCACCTGCCCTGATCTGCTCTTGCCCCAGGAATCCCATCTATAGACTTACCGCCTGCCCCATCTGCCCTCACCCTGAGAACCCCATCTGTAGAATTATCACCTTCCCCTATCTGCCCTCATCCTGAGAACCCCCAGCTACAGAATAGCACCTGCCCCATCTGCCCTGGCCCCGATAACCATCATCTGTAGAATTACCACCTGCCCTGATCTGCCTTGGCCCTGAGAACCCCCATCTGTAGAATTACCATCTGCTATGGACGGAATCACATCCCCACATAAATTCGTATGTCAAAGCCCTGACCCTGACGTGACTCTATTTGGAGATGGGATCTTTAGGTTAAATGAGGTCATCAGGGTGGGTCCTAATCCCATACGGCTGGAGCCCTTATAGGAGGAGGAAGCGACGCCAGGGCCCTCTCCCCGCTGCATGAGGACAGTGAGAAGGTGGCCGACTACAAGCCAGGAGAGCCCTCTCCAGGAACCCATCGTCTGACACCTTGATCTTGGACCTCCCAGTCTCCAGAAATGTGGGGAAAAAAAAGTTCTGCTGAAACCTCTCCACTTGTGGCCTTTTGCTGTGGCTGCCCTAGCAGAAAGATGCACCATACGACCCAGCAATTCCACTCCCAAGTATGCACAAGAGAACTGAGAGCGGGGTTGTAAACAAATTCCGTTCACGCATGTTCACTGAGCTCTATGCGCAACCACTAACCAGGGGAGAGAACCCCCGTGGCCCTCAGCTGATGAGTGGATCAACAAAGCATGGTCTGCATACACCATGGAATATTATTCAGCCATAAAAAGCAACGAAATTTGGACACATTTTATCACAGGATGAACCTTGAAAACATGCTACAGGAATGAAGCCAGACACAAAAGGTCATGTATTGGATGATTCCAGCATATGAAGTGACCTGAACAGGCAAATCCATAGAGACCGAAACAGCTTAGTGGTTGCCAAGGCTGGTGGGAGGAGATGAGGAAGGGCTGTTTACTGGGGATGGTGTTTCCCTGTGGGGTGATGAGAATGTTCTGGAACTGGGTAATGGGAACGGTTGCACAGCACTGCAAAGGCACTTAATGCCACTGAATTGTACACTTTAGAGCAGTTAAAATAGCTCATTTTAAGATCTGCCTACTTAATCACAACAACGAATGTAATGAACACACTAGAGAAACAGAGTGGGAGGTTTCTTTAAAAATAAATTTGGTTTGGGAAAAAAAAGAAAACCCACTCTCGGGTTTGGAAGGGCCCTACCCAGGGGCCACCCCCTCTGACTGGAACGAGGCCCCGAGCGCAGGGCTGAGAGGGCCTCGGGGGCAGCATCTGGTTCCAGATGGCCCGCTGAGGGTCTGTCCCAACAGCACTTGCCCTCCCCTCCACCCCCGAGGCCCCAAGAAGGAGGAGGCACGCCCAAGGCCACAGCATTCATCAATGACATGGACATGTCCTCCCTGCCTGCCTGGGATTCTGAGGGGATGGCAATCGAGGGCACAAAATCCACCCACCTCTCAGTGAACCATGGGGACATCCCATGGGCCACCTTTCTAAGGAGGCAAACTGTTCATCTCAAGAGCCCATTAAAAGAGGGCAGGCTCCCCTCTTTATAAAAGAAAGAAAGAGAACAAACTTAAGCGGCTGTCAAGTGTCGCAAGAAGGCTGCTAACTAGGAAGGGAAGTCGAGGCGTGGGTGAACCAAGATTTCCCTGGGGGGCAGGGGCGTGCTTCAGCCCTTGCCAAGTTTCTTCGGTAGAGCTGCTCAGTTCTGAGGAATGCGTCTGAGCTGACTGCGAGAGGAGCAAACCCTGCATTCACCCAGGGAGGCTTCTGAACTGTCAGGACTGGCAAGGGCGTGATTACTGATTACAGGCCCGGGGGCATGCTAGGGAGACCCCAGGGCCATGTGTGGCCTGAGATCATAGCTGGTCCACCAAGCCAGGCCAAAGGGCCAGGGCAGTCTGGGAGCCAGCCCTGTGACCACTCTGGGCCTCTCCCCAGGAGGTACAGCTAATACCAGGATCTCTCTTGGGGCCAGACACTGGAATCTCAGGTGAGGGAGGCCCCTTCTTCAGTTTAAACGCCACCTGCTCCCTGAGCCTCCCTCTTGCCTCCCCGCCCATCCATCTGTTCAACAAACATCCCCCGAGCACCTCAATGCTCAGGAACCAGAGTGCCTAGGACATAGCCCCTGTTCCCCAGAAAGCAAAGCGTCCAGCACGAGATGGCCAGGGAGAGGGGGAAGGAATGGAGACGGGGCTGGGAGCGCAGAGAAGGAGCTCCTTTGTCTTTGGGGGACCAGGGGAGGGCACAGGGGCAGACCTGAGAAAGGGGCACCTGACAGTGGGTTTCACTGAATGGGTGAGTCGAAGCTCACCAGGGCAGAAGAGCCTCCGCAGCAGGCTCTACAGGCAGGAGCCCCTCTCCAATGTACGCCGTGTTCTGGCTGCTCTCCCAATACGTGGCTGCATACACCCACCAAGACCCCGCCCCCAGGACCCCTGCCCTGTTGGCGCTGCTGCCAGCAGTTGGCAGGGGGCGGTTCCTGGGTGTGCGTTCCTGCTCCTCCACTACAACAGAAGCCCCCGGGTGGGAGGGAGCCATTTCCACTTTATTCCCTAATGTTCTTGGCCCTGAGCACTGTGCCCAACACATGGGGGTGCCGGGTTACTACCTGGGGAATGACAGACACCTTGTCACCGCACCTGACCTGCGGTTGGGGTACACCTTGCATTTCTGTCACTCCGCTGCCCTGAGGACGTCCCAGACCCTCGCTGCCAGTCCCCAGCAGGAGCTGTAGGGGCGTTACCTCGTGCAGCGGGTCTCTCCTCATGTTGCGCCCGGCCAGCGGCTCATCGTGGGGGAAGACGACGGAGTAGTTCTTGGCGTAGGACTCATGGCTTCGCTCTCGGATCCAGCGGGGGTGGTCCGTGAGCGAGTGATGGAAGCGCCTGCCGCAGACAGGGGGACGGGTCACTGCTTTGGGGATGGCCCGTCAGGGAAGGGCTAGCCTAGGACCCAGGGTAAGCCTGGACCCCGGTCCCCTGCACCAGAGTCCCCTTTGTGGCTCAGCATTGAGCGGGCCCCTGACTCTCCATTCGCCCCACCCTTGGGTGAACTCAGCTTTCTCCCCCAGAGCCACCCCACCCCAGTGGCCCTCAGTGAGTGGGCGTTGTGGACAGAGGGCCCAGCTGAGGCTCTCATCCCCCACAGGGACATGGGACTCCAGCCTCGCTCTCCACACATTGCTGTCTGCTGCCTAGGTTCCAGTGCTGGGGAGTCCTGGGGTGCCCCTACATGACTGGGGAGGGAGCGGCCCCTGGGAGGGATGGGCTCAGATCCCCAGAATGCTCTGGGGAGGGTCCATGTGAAGGGTCTTTGAAGTTTAGCCTGGTGATGCGTCAGAACACCAGTGTCCCCCTCCTCATCAAGGAACCCCCCTTTCCACCCGCCAGCAGGGGAGTGGGGGCAAGGGTGGCCGCCTGTCCCATCAGGCCTCCCCAAGTCTGTGATCCCAAAGCTGGGCCTCGTCTGTGGGTCAGACCAGGGACCCAAGAGGTACAGAGTCTCTGGGGGAAAATCCCAGCTGTGTCTGGGGAGCGGCTGCCCAATCCAGCGCCTGGGACCGGAGATGATGTGGCTGCAATAGTTTTGGGTTTGTTCCTTCGAGGCTGGGGACACAGTGTGCGGCCACGGCAGCCCCCGGTGGTGTCCAGCACGAACCCGGCGGGCCCCATGCTATTTCTCATGGAGCTACGGAGCTCTGTGGCTGCACCTGCGGCCTAGGCCTCTGCTGCCCCTGAGTGGGCAGAGCAATCAGTGCCCCGCGGCTTGTTCCCTGGTCTCCTCAGACCAGCCACCCGTCCCGAATCCGACAGTGCGGAACTGCTGGCTGGAGTGAGACCCGGGCCCAGCTGCATCAGGGCCCTGCAGCCGCCTCCCACGCACAAACCTCCCTGTCAGCCCCCGGCTTTCCCAGCACCCCGCCTCCCCCTCACGCTCCACCTGCTAGAACCTCACTCATCACTCAAGGCTGCCTCAGCAGCCACATCAGAGGCGTTTCTATCCTCAGTGACACCTGTCAGGGCTGATTCTTAGTCTGCACGTAATTCTAGCAAGCAGAATTTTCTGATCTGGATGGGTGGGGAGTAGAGGTGCAGACGTGAGGATTATTATTAATGATATTATCATTAACAGCTGCTGTCGCTTATGGCACCCAGCTCCAGTGCAGGCTCAGAGCTGAGTGCTGCTGTGGGAGGAAATCCCTCTCTCTTTGTCCCCAGAGCTGCCTTCTGCATGGGACCCAAGATTAACTCTTTCACGCAGGGGGAAACTGAGGCTCGGAAGGGTCTCACAAGTGTTCACAGTCACACGGCAAGGCCACGGCAAAGGCAGCCCACACCTGCGCCAGGCTATGCTGACCAGGAGCTGAAGGAGGGGGTGATGGAGCCAGTGAAGGTCTGGGAGGATTCTTGGGGGCAGCAGTGAGGTGCACGTCGGGTGGCAGGAGCAGCGAGTGACCTACAGAGTCCCAGCTGCCAATTCGGCCTGTGAGCAAGTGGGCAGAGGGACCAGGCCGGCCCAGACCACCCTTTTCACTTAAATAAAGAGCAACTCTTCCCTGGCTCACCTGGTCCCCAAGGAATTTCCCTGAAAAAACAGCCCAGCCCACACTCTGGCTCTGCCTCTGTTGGGTACTGGGCCAAGCGTCCACACGCATGAGCCTCGAGTGCGCTCCAAGAGGGTGGTACATTGTTCCCATTTTCCAGGTGGCGAAACTGAGGCTCAGAGAACAGGAGCGACTGACCAAGGGCCATGCAGCTGACAGATATGGGGCTGGAGAGACAGCCTCTTATCTGATTTCAAAAGGAACTCACGCGCAGGGCGGCTGCCATGGCCTGGAAGCCCCCTGGTGCCCGGTCAGCCCTGGGACCCTCACGCGCAGCCCGGAGCCCAGACAGGCCCCGCACCCAGGGACGGCTCAGGCTGCCTGGTCTCCCGGGACGCCCCCTCGCTGTGCGTGTCTCCCATGTGTATGATGAAGGACGACCCACGCGTGTTCTGGCTCTGGCCTGAGGGGAGCAACCAGGAGTCTCTGAGCAGGGGAGAGCTCCGTTCTGGCGCCGACGCTCTCTGTTCACTTTCTTTTCTGGGTCTTTCAACGACTTTCTCAGGCACCTCCTTCCTCTCCTCGCTCTGTCTCTCTCCTTCAGGGTCTGTGTCTTGTCTCAGTCCCCGGGCGCAGGCCCGAGGTGGCAGAACATTGCATTAGTGCTACAGCCCTTGGGGGCCGGTGGCTGGTCCTGCTGGTGGCGGCCGTCCACTCTGGCACACTGAAGGGGTTTGGAAGCCCCACGTCAGTGACGGCTGGGCTGAGGACGGCATTAGCCTGTGTGCCCTGGGTGCCACCAGCCAGGCTGCTTGGCAGGGGTCTGGGACCAACAGGGTGGGTGCTCCTCCTGCTGCTGTACTCCAGGGTGGGTGCTCCTCCTCCTGCTGTACTCCAGCTCTCAGGGGCTCCCCACCTGTGCCCTTGGCTCCCAGCCCCAGAGCAGCCCATGGCACACTCCCGCCAAAGTCCCAGTGATGGAAGGAAGACAGCTGACCGAGGGAGGCCCAGGCCTGCCCCCAACTTGCCAGGGGTCGCCTCAGGGCCTCTGCCAGCCCATGAGCAAACATCCTGTCTGCTGAGTGCGGGACTAGGCCCCAGGTCAGGAGCTGGGCAGGCTGGGCAGCTCCATTTTGCAGCCGAGGATACAGAGGCACAGAGAGGCCACACAGAACCCTGGTTGGTGGGTTCCAGAGCTGGAATCCCCAAGGGAGGCCAGGGCATGAAGACTGTCCCTCCTGGGGAGGGAGCTGGGTCCCTACCTGGCTCTGGTTCAAAAGCCGGGTGACTTCAGGCAAGTCACCTCCATTTTGCTGTTTGCAGCAGGAGGGGCCTGAATTGGCCCTTCCTTGAAGTCCTTTACAGTTTTATCATTTCCGGGACATTCCTCGCTTGGGAGAGTGCAGGGGCGCAGGCCCAGACGGGCTCTGAGTCAGCCAGAGGAGGCTTCACTGTGTCGGGTGCCATGGAGGGGTGGCAGCTGGGGGGCCTCAGTGTCACTGTCTCCGTGGGGTCAGACATTCTTCTCCACAGTGGGCGTAATGTCCTCATCAGGCCAGGAAAGGACTAGGTCAGCAGAGGCGAGGGGCGCACCGAGCTGAGCCAGGCCTTCTCCCTCCGGAGCCCACCCACCTACTGCCTCCCCAGGGAGGCTGTCCACCAGCAGCAGCAGCCGGGAGCAGAGTGGGCTGGAGAGACCCGGAGGCCGGGCTCCCTCCAAGCCGTCCTGCCTCGACAGCCACCCCACAACGCACGGGGAGTGGCCCGGGCCACAGGCCCTGCTGTGTGGGTCGGAGAGGCCACCGCCATGAGGACGAGACACAGGAGGAGCCTCCCCCCTTGCCGGGGAGCGCCTGCACCACTGTCCTGTGCTCTGCAAGAGATGGCCCTGACTGGCAGAAGGCCATCGGGATAGGCTGCCGTCACCGGCTCTGGCCACCAGCACCCCAGTCCATGCCTCGGCTGGGGATGACTTAGCGTTTCCATGTGCAGACCCCATGCTGGGTGCCTCACCAGTACAAATGCCCTCCCTGCTCCCAGAACCTCCACAGCCCCTCCCCATCACCCTGCATTAGAGACGAGGAAGTGGCTTGCACTGGGTCTCATTCCTGGCCGCTTTGTCAGTGTACGATTGAACGGGACAGCCGGGGCTGCCTGGCTGCAAGCCGCGGCATACACACTCAGCACAGTTTTCCCAGCTCAGCCCCGCTCCCTCCTGCCCCCAGGCCTCAGTCTCCCCATCTGTGAGGTGGGGTGATGCCATCCCACTGATGACTCCAGAGCTGTCCAGGGGCTCAGGCAGGACCCTGGGACAAGAGATCTTCAAAGCTGTAAAGGGGCGTGGACCTGCCCCCCAGCCACCCCCTCAGCACTGCCCACCTTCTGCTGGTGGCCTTCCTCCCTCACTGCTGCCCCTTCCAGGAAGCCACCTGGATTTCAGGCAAGGCTCCTTTCTCAGTAGCCCTCGCTGTTTACCCCACGCCACCTGTCCTGAGTGGCGGGCCCTGCCCTTAGGTCCCAATGGGCACTTACCTGATGTCATAGCCATGCATGTCCTTCTCCGGGCGCCCATGGATGATCCAGTGGGCCAGCTCCTGCCCACAGCCACCACCCAGCATCATTCCTGGCAGGAAGAGAAGCGCAGGGCTGCGGTCTGCCCCCCAGGGTCCCCCACCCATGTCCAAACATGTGCCCCCATCTCCACGGACAGCACAGACACTCCAAGCTCTGCTCTCACACCTGGGGTGCTGCACGCCTCCTGATTGGACTGCTGCTGGACTGGACCCTGGCACAGGTGCACTCTCTGGGAAGCAGAAGGGGCTGGACTCCCCAGCCTCTCCTGTCCCCACCACTGTCGGGGGCCACGGTGCTCCTGCGCCCGCCTCCCCCAGAGCTCTGGGAATGACAGGACCTCCCTCTTGGGGGCCAGGAGGGCTGCTGCCCGGACTCACCTGCGCTGTTGAAGCCACAGCCCAGGAAGAACCCTCGGAGCTCAGGTGCCTCCCCCATCAGGGGCTTGTGGTCGGGCGTGAAGGATTCTGAAAGAAGGAGAGAGAGGCCTGGAGTCCCTTTTGCAGTGCACATACTCTTGGGGTGAGGTCTTCCAAGAGAGCAGTGATCAGGCAGGGTCTGCAGGGGCCCCTCCACCCAACCCCCTCCCTCCTCTAGGCCCTGCTCAGCGCCACTTCCTCATGGGGGCCTCCCCGCTGGCTCCTGCCCGTGCTCTCTGAGCCCCTCCACGTGTGCTGCCAGAACCAGCTGACGGCGACCTGGCTGGGTTCTGCCTGGTGGGGTCCCGCTGTCTTGTGGCCGTTGTCCTGCCGACAAGGAGCCCTTCTCTGACCCTGGAGACCATGCTGCGGCTCCCCCAGTGCACCAGCGTCCTGCTGTGTCCCTGCCAGAGACTTGTCACTCCTGCCCACTGGACCTTGAGAGGGCAGAGACCAGTTTTCTCACTCCACTTCCCCCCGCCCAGCACAGGGTCAGAGCCCAGCAAGTGCAGGTGCTTGATAAATGTCTGTTGAGCCAACAAAGGCTCCCAACTTCTGCGGGGGAGGAGACCAATGTCCCACTCCGGCGGCCACAGCTGAGCCTCAGACAGAGGCCAGGACACGGTGGGAGGGGAACCCTGGCTCTCTGTGGCCACAGTCCTGGATTCAAAACCTGCTTCACCCCTTCCTAGCTGTGTGGCATTGGGCGAGTCACTTCGCCTCTCTGAGCAAGGCTTAGCGTCCTAGTCTATAAAACTGGGATAGCAGAACCTCCACAGAGCTGTGCGCTCGCCAGCCTACAGACGTTCATGTCCTGGGCTTGGCCCTGGGAGGCAGCGCTGAGCAGGACATGTCCCAGCCCTCGAGGAGCTGACGGAGGGAGGGAGCAAATACTTAAATAAGCAAAAAACAGACGGTCTCGTAAAGAAAATACGATGAACTGAGGGCCACGCGTCACTGAGGTGCCAGCTGCTACTGTTGGCACCCCAGCACCACACCATGTTAGACTCTAGATGAGGAAGCGGCCGGCCCTGGTCTGAGGGACCCCAGGGCACTTCGTTCGTGAACGATGATACGGGGATGGCTCCAAGTCTGGGGGGTCATCCTCTGCATGCAGATCAGGAGCAAGTGCCGTCCCGCTCCCTGGAGAGCAATCAGGGCCCCCACGCTAGGAGCTGAGGGGGCAGAGAGCCACGGGGAGCCTGGGCTAAGAGCCTGGCCAGGAGAGGCAGGGCTCCTTGAGGGGCAGAAGGTGGCAGGGCCACTGCAGGGGAGGGTGGAGGAGGCAGGCTAGAGGGGCAGGGCCCTACGTGGAGGGCCTGGGTTATCAGGGCAGAGGGCAGAGGCCGGAGCAGCCATCTGGGTGAGAGACAAGGAAGGCTCCAGAGAAGGTGACGATGGGGCAGAAAGAGTGAGCTGAGGCCGGGTGCAGTGGCTCACGCCTGTAATCCCAGTACTTTGGGAGGCCAAGGCAGGCGGATGTCTGGAGCCCAGGAGCTCAGGACCAGCCTGAGCAACATAGCGAGACGGCATCTCTACAAAAAAATCAAAAAATTAGCCGGATGTGGTGGAGCGAGCCTGTAGTTCCAGCTACTCAGGAGGCGGAGAAGGGAGGATGGCTTGAGCCCAGGAGGTAGAGGCTGCAGGGAGCCAAAATCGCACCACTGCTCTGCAGCCTGGGCAACACAGCAAGACCTTTAAAAAAGGGGGGATTGGGGAGGTAACCTGGGCTGGGTTTGGGGATGGCCCAGGGAGCACCTTGGGAGGGCTGGAACTATTTCTAGGCCCAGGGAGGGCAGGAAAGAAGCTCTGAACAACCTCACAGGGAATCTGCGGGGAGCGCTATCAAGAGCTAGCGGAGGGGCAGCTGCAGGGAACAAGGGTCTCTTGGATGTTTCACAAATGACTCATGCGGGTTGAGTAACCCGAGGACACATGGGACCTCCAGGCAACATGGCCAGGGGCCAGGCCTGCGGCTCCCACCCTGACCTTGGTGAGCTCCACCATCCTGGAATGAGAGCTCTGCCTGCCCTCCCAGGCGCTCCCTAAGTCACGGGGGCCTGGGACTTCCCTGCTCTTTCCTGGAGGCCAAAGGCCATTGGCCGTGCCTGGCAAGGAGAAATGCTGATTCCCCACCAGTCTCCCATCCAGCCGACAGACCAGATCCAAGATGTCCTTGCCTGCACATCTTCCCCAAAATAGGGCTTCGTGGGGAGTACCGGCTCCCCAGGCTAATTAAAACGAGAGGAAGAGAAAGATAGAGAGAGACAGAGAGACGCCTGGGGTTATCTGTGCCCCTGGGATTCTTCCGGGCCTGTGTTTCTCGCTGCCAGACCCACGCAAGCTGCGGGGTGGGGGCAGTGAGTCACGGCTGTGTGCTCCTACCCTGCACGCTGCCCCGGCCCCTGGGGCTCTATCTGCTTCTCCCCGGGGCTGCACTTCACTCCAAAGGCTCCCATAGGAGTCGAATTCATTCAAGTAGCCCCTGCTGACGGCTGAGCAGATGCTGAGCGTGCCAGGACAGAGGGGGCTGGACTCCTCGGTGGCCACAGCCCTTCTGTGTCGGGACTCTTCCCTGTCTTTAGGGCCCTCATCCGCTCCCTGCATGGCCCGTGGAAGTCCCTGGGCTCCCCGCTTTGTGCCGCCCACCTCTACTCAAATGCTCTCTACAGCTGCTGGGCCTGGCCTATGCCCTGCACCGCCCCTGTGGCTTCTGGTCCCTAGGCCACCCTGCCGAGTCAGTGCTCCGTCACCATCTCACAGATGCACCTACTCCAGAGGGCACCCATTCCAGTGCCCTTCACTAAAGGCACAGAGGGACTCACCAGGCTTCTGACACGAAGTTTCCCTGGGGGCAACACTGTGTCTTCCTGAACCTCTCTCCCAGCCCTGAAGCGGGGCCAGAGCTCCCCCTACCAGGAAGCAGTGGGGAACACCATGTGATTCTGCTGGAACCCCAATGTGGGGGATTGTCTGTGCCCACCTGGTGCTCCCCTGCTCAGATCACGTATCCGCGGCAGGCCCAGCGCTGACTCGCCCTCCAGGGCCGGGCTAGGCTGCCCCTCCTCCTGGCCGCCCGTCTGTGTCCTCAGGCTGTGGCCACCCAGTCACCCCATGCCTCGTGTCAGAGCACCCACCCACGGGCTGTGATCAGTGACTTGCATTGGGTCTCCCCTGCCAGAAGGAGGGCGCTGGCCCTGAGCGTGCCTGCCTCCACCACCGACGAAGTGCCACTTAATGTAGAATGAATGCCCTCATGAAGGAATGCTGGTGCTCTGGGGTCACCGGTAGCTCCTGGGCTGCCCCACACTCAACTCAGGGACGTCTGGCTCAAAGTCCCGTGGTTATAAACACTGGGGTGCCAAGGTCAGCTGCAGCCCCTCCTGCTTCCCAGAGAGTGCACCTTTGCCAGGGCCCAGGCCAGCAGCCTCAGCCCCACACCCGCCCCCTGGGGCAGAGCCTTCCGGGCTCCCCAGGCCAGCAGCCTCAGCCCCACACCCGCCCCCTGGGGCAGAGCCTTCCAGGCTCCCCAGGCCAGTAGGGTGGGGTGGGGCTGAGCTGCGCTGTGGATGACCCACGTGGGGCATCTGGGAGCTGAGCCCACCTTTTTGCTCCAGCCTCTTCCAGCTAAGTTCTCCTGGGGCTAGCAAGGAGGGCCAGAGTTAGGGGAATCTTGACACAAGAACCTTCCCCCGCTGAGCTGGCCTCCAGGTGCAAGCCGCCAAGAACAGGAGGGAGGCCAGCAGCATGGGGTCCTGGCCAGGGCAGTGCTCTCTGGGAGCGGTGGGGGCTGGGGCTGGAGGCAGAACTGGGACTCACAGCTGTATAAGCCTCTCATCAGGGAAGGTCTCAGCCCTTCCATTCCTGGCTCAGCCTCACAGGGTGCTGGGATGTGGCCCGCTATTCCCATTTTACAGATGAAAACACAGAATTCCAGGGACAAGTCAAGTCTAGGGATGAAGAAGCCCAGGTGGGGAAGCCAGGACCAGCCACCCTTGAGGCAGGAGGAGGCCCTGGCCTCGTGCTTGGGGCAGATGATGGCCCTTGTGAAGCCCAGGCCTCTCGCCCGTAGAGGGGAATAAAGGCCACACCTAGTACCCAGGGCTGCTGGAGCCAAGCAGCGAGAGGGACCGGGGACAGCCCTGGGTCCCCTGTGTGACACAGGCTGGTCTCACGGGGCATCACTACTAACAGTCATCAGACCAAAGGACCCATGGACGCCCACCCCAGCTCCGAGGCTGTCACTCACCAGGGCCGCAGACCGTGGACTTGATTCCTGTCTTCTCCAGCACGGGGACCCTGTTGATGGCGCCTTCAATGTGCTGGGTGAACACCTCCCAGTCCAGGTCAAAGAGGCCGAAGGCAAACTTGTCTGACACCTGCCAAGGCAGGGCAGGGGAACATCTCCGTTGTCCCCAAGAAGGCCATGCATCCCCATGCCAAACCTGCCTTGTGATGGCTGCCAGGCCAGCCTCTGCTGAATCAGATGCATTAGAGGGCTGGTGGTCACCCACACGTCCCAGCCGTTTGTCTCCCCCACCCACCAACCCATCAGCAAGGTCTGTCTGCTCCCCCTCCCCACCCCAGCCCAGGCCTCCACCCACTCCCCTAGATCCCACCATGCCCCTTCCCTACTCACAAGCCTCCTCTGGCCCCCTGCAGCTCACGATGGCCCCAAAGCCCTGTATGGCATGTGCCAGCCTGCCTACCTCTACCACTGGGCCCGCCACCCTGACCTTCCTGCAGCTCTTTGGGAAGAGCAAGCTTGTGTGAGCTCAAGGCCTTCACCCCTCAATGGGGCAGTTCTTCACCCAGACCTGGCACGCTGGTTTGTTGTCGCGGTGCAGGGCTCTGCTTGGATGTCCCCTCCCTGAAAAACCCTGCCCTGACCACCCATCTAAAGGATATCCTTCTGCTCCAGTCTCTCTAGGCTGATCCTTAACCTGCTAATTTTATTCAGTGCGCGATCATCTTCCAGAATTTCATTCCTTGTTCATTTGTTTGTTTGTTTGTTTGTAACAGTCTCACTCTGTCACCCAGGCTGGAGTAAAGTGGTGCGATCTCGGCTCACTGCCACCTCCATCTCCCGGGTTCAAGTGATTCTCCTGCCTCAGCCTCCCAAGTAGCTGGGATTACAGGTGCCCGCCACCACACCTGGCTAATTTTTGTATTTTTAGTAGAGTTGGGATTTCACCATGTTGGCCAGGCTGGCCTCAAATTCCTGACCTCAGGTGGTCCGCCCACCTCAGCCTCCCAAAGTGCTGGGATTACAGGTGTGAGCCACCGTGCCCAGCCATTTGTTTGTTTATTGTATGTCTCTCCACCAAAATATAGGCACCCAGAGTCAGGGACTTTTATCTTAGTTTCCCTCTTTCTCCAGAAATTAAAGCAGTTTTTAGCCCAAAGTAGCCACTCAGTCGTTCCATGTGTGGACTAAATGCATATACACATAGAACAGGGCTGCAGGGCTGCCCTAACCCCAGAAGCTGCCCGGGAAACAGCCCAGGCCAGGGGAAATGCCGCTGCAGCAGCTGGTTGGGAGGGCAGTGTCATTTGCTGAAGGACGTAGGACTTGTGTGCTCTCATGCCCTTCTGAGGTCATCACTCCACACTGCGCAGACCTTCTCTGTGGATGTTTTGAGGCAAAGCCCTCCAGCTGCCCTGGGTCTGTATTTGACTGCCTGCCAGGACCGTCAGGGTAAGAGCAAGATGGCTTTGAGCTTGGTGGGGTCAGGGGACCGGCCACTTCTCAGGTGTGCCTCTGAGGAGCTTCAGGAGGATGGACTTCCTGAAAGAGGCCCTCTCCATGCTGAGATGCAGCCCCAACTCCCTCCCATTATCCCAGGGCCCTGGCATCTTACCTCCTCCCAAAAGATGGGGTTGGCCTCATAGCCACCCACAGACAAGGCATCCCCTTGGAGGCGGAGGTAGACAGAGGCATCATGATCACGGACATTGGGCATGTTCTGGAAGGCAGAGAGAGAGGCCTTGGCATCATCCAGAACTGGGTGGGGACTTGGTTCCCCATGCCCCGTGGTGGGCCAGCACCTCCACCCAGGGTCACGGGCTCGAGATGGTCCTTCTCGTTGTAGGACCCCGAGGACAGAGTGGACACGGGGCCTCAAGTTACACACAGTGAATGGGTCACTGCCATTCAAGCCTCTCCTTCCCCAAATCCCATAAAATAACAGCAAAAGGGGAAGAAGGAAGAAGGAATGGATCGAGGAAGAGAGCAAGGGAGGAAGGGAGGGAAGCAAAACATATAACCGACAAAGATGAGAGAACAGGCAGAGGCAGCAGTAGAGGATGGGAGATTCCAACCAACCCTGGAGGACGCAGAGTGGATGGAGGAGGGGTGAGACTTAGCTGGGGCTGGAGGAGAGGGAGACTGAGCAAGGCAAGCCAGTGTGCCCCTCCTGCCTCCTCTTGAATCTTCAGAGCCACCCCAGGTCCCTCTTCAGGGGGTGATGCGCTTGCTCATGTATGGAAGGATCTTCCTCTGGAGAGGTGGGTCCTGAGAGGCTCCAGAAGTGGGGAGAGTGGACTGCCATCCCCCCACCCCCCCACCCCAGGAGCAGATTGGAGACTCTTCTGTGAGACACTGAGAGGCCCAGGGAAGGCTTGAGATGTTGACACCAGGGTCTCTCTAAAAGCGAAAGGCTTGCCGCCCACCCTTCCTGAGAGGCTCTCCAGTCCTCCCCTCCAAGCCTCCAATCACACTGCTGCTCACTCTCTCCTAAAAACAAAACCACAGGCCAGGCACGGTGGCTCACACCTGTAATCCCAGTGCTTTGGGAGGCCAAGGCAGGCAGATCACGAGGTCAGGAAATCAAGACCATCCTGACTAATATGGTGAAACCTCGTCTCTACTAAAAATACAAAAAATTAGCTGGGCGTGGTGGCGGGCGCCTGTAGTCCCAGCTATTCGGGAGGCTGAGGCAGGAGAATGCGTGAACCCAGAACGTGGTGCTTGCAGTGAGCCGAGATCGTGCCACTGCACTCCAGCCTGGGTGACAGAGCAAGACTCCGTCTCAAAATAAATAAATAAATAAATAAAACAAAACCACAGGCCAGGCACTGTGGCTCACACCTGTAATCCCAGCACTTTGGGAGGCCGACATGGGTGAATCACCTGAGGTCAGGAGTTCAAAATCAGCCTGGCCAACATGGTGAAACCCCATCTCTACTAAAAATACAAAAAATTAACCGGGCGTGGTGGTGGGCAGCTGTAATCCCAGCTACTCAGGAGTCTGAGACAGGAGAATGGCTTGAACCTGGGAGGCGAAGGTTGCAGTGAGCCAAGATTGCACCATTGCACTCCAGCCTGGGCAACAAGAGTGAAACTCTGTCTCATAAATAAATAACCACAAACCACAACAAGAACATCAGGAATACAAGAAGATGGTGTATTAGTGTGTTCTCACGCTGCTAATAAAGACATACCCAAGACTGGGTAATTTATACAGGAAAGAGGTTTAATGGACTCACAGTTCCACATGGCTGGGGAGGCCTCACAATCATGGTGGAAGGCAAATGAGGAGCAAAGGCATGTCTTACATGGCAGCAGGAAAGAGAGAGAGAGCATGTGCAGGGGAACTCCCTTTATAAAACCATCAGATCTCCTGAGACTTATTCCCTACCATGAGAACAGTATGGGGGAAACCACCCCATGATTCAATTATCTCCACCTGGCCCCACCCTTGACACATGGGGATTATTACGATTCAAGGTGAGCTTTGGGTGGGGACACAGCCAAACTGTATCAGAGTGACAGACAGTGCTATGAGAAAGGAATCTAAGATGAAGAAAGAGGTCTTTAAATGAGATATGATAGTCAAAATTTAAAATTCAATGGAAGGGCCAGATAAGGCTGGGGCCATCATCCAGCGATTAGGCTAAAAGAAAAAGACAACAAAACAGAAATCAGGAGTGGAAAAAAAATAAGAATATCAGAAGGTCCGTCTTGAAAGTTCAACATCCATTTTACAGCGGTTCCAGAAAGAGAAGACAGAGAAAAATGGAGTCGAGAAAAATGTCCAAGCAACAGCCCAAGAAGAGTCCTCCGATTGAAAATCACGCATTCATATGGAAGGGCCCAAGAGTGCCCACCAAGCCCTGAGTCTGGACAGAGGCCTGCACCAAGGCCACGCCGTGGGAAACATCACAACACCGGATGGCCAGGAGGGCCATCAACAGGGGACTGCATCGCTGGAGGCTGGAAGACATGGAGCAAACTCTTCAAACGTCTAATGGATGATTTTCAACACAGAATTCTAGATCCTGTCAAGCCATCAATCGAGTGTAAGCAAAGAATAAAAGCTTTTTCAGACATTCATGGACACAAAACATATACTTCTCTCGTACTCCTTTGCAGTAAACAGCCAGAGAACACGCTGTGACAAAAGGAAGAAAATAAACCCAGAAAGAGTGAAAGCCATGGCTCCAGCGGGGAGGCGTGAAGAAGGCCCTGGAGTGACAGCTTAGACCATGCAGCGGTCAGTCCAAAAGGGAGCGGAAGATCTGAAGGCAGCAGGAAGTCCTCCAGGGGAGGGAAATGGGACTTGGGGGCGTTAGGTGGTTTATCTGATGTGTGTGCGTATTCAGAAAATAGTATCAATAGTATCAATATGTTTGACAGATCCCTTGACACAACTGGGGAAAAATAGTGACAGTTATATATACACATGCAAATACCCCCAACAAAACAATAGCAAACTGAATCCAGCAATATATAAGAGAGATGATACACCATGGCCAGACTGGACGTGGTGGCTCATGCCTGTAATCCCAGCACTTTGGGAGGCCAAGGCGGGAGGGTCATTTGAGGTCAGGAGTTCGAGACCAGCCTTGGCAACATGGTGAAACCCCAACTCTACTAAAAATACAAAAATCAGCTGGGTGTCGTGGCACATGCCTGTAATCCCAGCTACTCAGGAGTGGAGGCAGGAGAATTTGCTTGAACCCAGGAAGCGAAGGTTGCAGTAAGCCAAGATCACACCACTGCACTCCAGCCTGGGCAACAGAGTCTCACTCTGTCTCAAAAACACAAAACAAAACAAAACAAAACACCATGGCCAACTGGAATTTATCCTAGGAAGGCAAGTTTGGTATAATGTATGAAAACCAATCAATAGAATACCCCACATCAACAAAGTACAGGACAAAAACCACGTAATCATCCCAGTAGATGCATGAGAAGCATTTGACAGAATCCAACATCTTTAATGATTTTTTTTTTTAAAGCCTCAACAAACACTTAACAAACTTGGAAGAAGGGAACTTCCTCAAAGTGCTGAAGGGTATCTACAAAAACCCACATGGAATGTGATACTTCAAGGAAGAAGGATGGCTGATTTCCCCCCAAGATCAGGAATTAGAGAAAGATATCCATTCTTACCCCTTCTACCCAACATTACATTGGAGGTTTTAGCCAGGGCAGCAATTAGGCAGCAAAAGTAATAAAAGGCACCCAGATTGAAAAAGAAGAAGTAAAAATATTCCTATTTGCAGATAACAAGGTCTTGTATATACAAAATCCTAAGGAAACCACTAAAAAACTACTAGCGCTCTCTCTCTCTCTCTCTCTCTCTCTCTCTCTCTCTTTCTCTCTTTCTTTCTGACAGAGTCCTGCTCTATCGCCCAGGCTAGAGTGCAGTGGTGCCATCTCAACTCACTGCAACCTGCACCTCCTGGGTTCAAGTGATTCTCCTGCCTCAGCCTACCGAGTAGCTGGGACCATGCCTGACTAATTTTTGTGTTTTTAGTAGAGACAGGGTTTCACCATGTTGGCCAGGCTGGTCTTGAACTCCTGACCTCAAGCAATCCACCCACCTCAGCTTCCCAAAGTGCTGGGATTATAGGCATGAGCCACTGGGCTCAGCCAAAAAACTAATATATTTCTATACTCTAGCATTGAATAATCTGAAAAGGAAGTTAAGAAATAATTTCATTTACAATATCATCAAAAATAATAAATATGCTTAGGAACAAATTTGACAAAAGAATTGCAAAACTTGTACTCTAAAAACTAGAAAATACTTTCGAAAGAAATTAAAGAAGACCTAAATAAATAGAAGGACATCTCACGTTCATGAAATGAAAGACTTATTTTTGTTAAGCTGACAACACACCCCAAATTGATCCATAGCTTCAACACAATGCCTGTCAGAATCTCAGCTAGTTTCTTTGAAGAAATTAAATAGCTGACCCTAAAGTTCATACAGAGATGCAAGGGACCAAGAATACCCAAAACAATTTTGAAAAGGAAAAACAAAGTTGGAGGATTCACACTTCTTGATACCAAACTTACTGCAAAGCTACATAATCAAGACAGTGAGGTACTAAGTAAGGATAGACCTACAGATCAATGGATTAGAATTGAGAGTCGAGAAATAAACCTTCTTCTGCCAGGCATGGTGGCTCACGCCTGTAATCCCAGCACTTTGGGAGGCCAAGGCGGGTGGATCACAAGGTCAGGAGATCGAGACCATCCTTGCTAACGTGGTGAAACCCTGTCTCTACTAAAAAATACAAAAAATTAGCCAGGCGTGGTAGCAGGCACCTGTAGTCCCAGCTACTCGGGAGGCTGAGGCAGGAGAATGGCATGAACCCAGGAGGCAGAGCTTGCAGTGAGCAGAGATCACACCACTGCACTCCAGCCTGGGCAAAAGAGCGAGACGCTGTCTCAAAAAAATAAAATAAAATAAATAAACCTTCTTCTTCAGAGTCAATTGATTTTCAGCAAGGGTGCTAAGACAATTCCTTGGGGGAAGCAGACTTTGTAAAAAATGTTGCTGGGCCAACTGGATAGCCACATGCAAAAGAATGCAGTTGGACCCCTACCTCACACCATGCACAAAATTTAACTTGAGATGGATTACAGGCATAAGTATAAGAGCTAAAACTATAAAAGCCTCAGAAGAAAATATTAGAAGTAAATCTTTATAGTCTTGGGTTGGGAAATGTCTTCTTAAATATGACACCAAGAGCACAAATGACAAAAGAGGAAAAAAAGAGATGAATTGGACGTTATTAAAATTTAAAACTTGTGCTACAAACCATACCATAAAAAAGCGAAAAGGCTATGTAAAGACTTCTGGATTCTGGGGGAAAAAAAGAAAGGGAAAAGACAACCACTGAATAGAAGTTTCAATCACTGAATGGAAGAAAATGTTCATAAATCATATATGTAACAAAGGACCTGTATCCAGAATATTTAAGGAACTCCTACAACTCAATAAAAAGATAAGCAACCCTATTTTTAAATGGGCAAAGTGTCTGAGTAACCATTTCTCCAAAGAAGATACACAAATAGTCAGTAAGCACATGAAGAGATGCCCCACATCATGTCATCAGGGAGATGCAAATCAAACCCACGGTGAGACACCACCTCACACCTTCTAGGATGACCGGCATAAAAAAAGACAAAAAATAACAAGACTTGGTGAGGATGGAGGGGAGCTGGAACCCCTCCGTATACCTCACTGGTGGGAATGTAAAATGGTGCAGCTTCTTTGGAAAATAGTCCGACAGTTCGTTGAAATGTTAAATAGAGTTACCATATGACTCAGTAATTCCACTCCAGTGTATAGACTGAGTATTCCTTATCTGAAATGCTTGGGACCAGCAGTGTTTCACATTTTTAATTTTTTTTTTGATTTTGGATGTTTGCATTATACTTACCTGTTGAGCATCCCCAAACCAAAAATCAAAATCCAGAATACTCCAGTGAGCATTTCATTTGAGCATCATGTTAGTGCTCAAAAAGTGTTGGATTTTGGAGCATTTTGGATTTTCGGATTTGGGGTGCTCAACTTGTTTAAACTCAAGAGAAATAACAACATAGGTCCCCACAAAAACATGCATATGGATGTTCACAGCAGCACTATTCAAAATAACCAGAAATGAGAAACACCAAATGTCCACCAGTGGGTGAACGGATAAAGTGCATTGTATCCATACAATGGAGTATTATTCAGCTGCAAAAAAGAATGAAATACTGATACATGTACTACACGGACAAAACCGTAAAAAGAAGCCAGACATCATGTGATTCCATTTATACTAAACGTCCAGAATAGGAAACTCCATCGAGGCAGAAATCAGATTTGGGATTGCCTAAGTCTGGGGACAGGGTGGGAAATGGGGAGTGATTGATAACGGGTATGGGTTTTGGGGCATGAAGATAATGTTACACACACACACATAACAGTTACAAAAGAAACTGAGCAGCTGGGACAAAAACTGTTAATAACTCCAAGAAACACAAAAAGTTGGACACTACTTGCTCAGGTATTAACAATGTTTACATAATCAGCTAAGCATGGTGGCTCACGCCTGTAATCCTAGCACTTTGGAAGTCCGAGATGGGTGGATTGCCTGAGCTCAGGAGTTCGAGACCAGCCTTGGCAACATGGTGAAACTCCGTCTCTACTAAAATACAAAAAAAAATCAGCCGGGTGTGGTGACGGGCACATTTAATCCCAGCTACATGGGAGGCTGAGGCACGAGAATTGCTTGAACCCGGGAGGCGGAGGTTGCAGTGAGCTGACACTGTGCCACTGTACTCCAGTGTGGGCAACAAAGTGAAACTCTGTCTCAAAAAAAACAAAACAAAACAAACAAACAAAAAAGCAGTGTTTACATCATCATAATATTGCAGAGAGGAACCACTGATTTAACCAATAAACAAGCCAAACCAAACAAGACCGTTTAGAAAGCAAGCAGGCATGGCGTGTGGACTCCTCTGTACCCGAGGAACAGCCTTCTCTCAATCCCTCTGTCACCTGCCCCAGAACTGGAGATGAGCACAGGGAGATACGACCCCTGTCCTGTCTCTGGGAGCAGGAAAGGGGATGTGCAGAGACCAGAAGGGACATTCTGGCAGATGCTTCCTCCCTCTCCGCCAGGATCCCAGGAGTCCTGTTCATTGGAATGAGAATATCTGCACCAGGGGATCGTTGTCAGGTGGCACATAGAAGTTCCTAGTAACTGAGCACTGTTTAAAAATAATCACAGCCGGGCAAGGTGGCTCACACCTGTAATCCCAGGACTTTAGGAGTCTGAGGCAGGAGGATCGCTTGAGCAGTTTGAGACCAGCCTGGGCAGCATAGCAAAACCCCATCTCTATAAAAATACAAAAATTAGCCAGGAGTGGTGGCACATGCCTGTAGTCCCAGCTACTCGGGAGGTGGAGGTGGGAGGATCGCTTGAGCCCAGGAGGTCAAGGCTGCAGTGAGCTATGATCATGCCACTGCACTCCAGCCTGGGAAACAGAGTGAGACCCTGTCTCAAATAATAATAATAATAATAATAATAATAGTAGTAGTAGTAGTAGTAGTTATATCCTTACCTCTGCTAGCACTACTACTCTAAAAACAAAGCCAGCCCCAGAGTTCCATAGAGCAGGACAGTGGGGACACCTGGTGGCCAGGGAAGCCCCTGATGTTTGTCCCAGCAGGATCCATGTCTGGACTTACCTGCCCCTTGCACAGATCCTGCTGCCTCTGAGCACCCAGCGGAGTGCCCAGTTCAGCATCAGCGTCCAGTGGAGCCCTGGCCTTTCTCTCCAGGCAGCAGCCTCCTGCTCTGGCTGTCCCCAGTCTGGCCCTGGTGCCACTGACTCCCTGCCTCCTGACCTCAGCCCATGCCTTCCATCTGCCTCTTTCTTCCATCTGATCCCTGCCTGATTGCTCCTGCCCTCCGTGTTCTCTTCCTCCGAAGCGCCAGCTGGTGACGACTTCACAACCCTCTGTCCTTGTCCTTGTCATCACACAGCTACCACCTCATGAGCACCTGCTGTATGCCGGGCACCACTCCCAGCTGCATCACTCTGTCCTTCCTGCAGC
Source organism: Homo sapiens (assembly GCF_000001405.40). Lineage (NCBI taxonomy): Eukaryota > Metazoa > Chordata > Mammalia > Primates > Hominidae > Homo > Homo sapiens. The sequence continues at coordinate 133,726,924 of NC_000009.12, forward strand.
ACAGCCTGAGGCAGTAGGGATGGTTATGACCCATTTTGCAGGAAAGGGAACCAGAGCGGTGACAGACTTGGCCAGCCTGGGTAATGGAGGAGTCAGTGTTTAAACCCAGCACCCAGGCTCTTACCCACAGCTCTGCCCACGGATGGAGCAGCCGCTCCTTGCCACTGCAAAAGTACGCCAGAGCACGACTGTGAAACCCCCTAACAGCGCCCGAGCCACCTGCTTTAATGATAGCTCAGAGAGGGAAGAGATGAGCCCTAGCCACAAAGGAAGCTGTGGGCAGAGCTCTCTAGGACCCAGGCCTGGGACAGATCCTCAGAAAAGGGAGGTCCTTGGGGCCACACAGCCCTCCAGCCACCCAAGAAGAAAGATGAACCACACGTGAGACCTGAGCCCTCACCTGCCAGCTGGAGCCCCCAGGCCCCAATGTGTGTGGCTGTGTCTGATCAGGGTAGACAGCGTCCTGCTGCACGAGGCTGCCACGCCCAGGGAGCTTCCTGAGCAGACAGAAATGGGCTGCACAGGTGCCATGCGCCCAGGAGAGGGCCCCCTGGCTTGTTCTGTGGCCCATCCAAGGGTCAGACCACAGCAGGTGGGCAGGTCAGGGCCAGCGGCCTGGCTCCTTCCTCAGATTCACACCAACTGCCTAGCTGCAGCCTCTGGAAGGGACAACTTCCAGACACCTGCACATGGCCAGGTGTCAGAGGAACATGAGGGGCTTTGTGCGAAGCCCCAGATCTCCACTTTTCTCCTACCAGGTCTCAGAGCTGCTGGGGCTGATGGCCCTTTTCCTGTGCTCCGGTACCAGAGGCACGCTGGGATCTGGACTGGCTTTGTAAGTAACACCCCCTAGCTTCGCTTGAATCTTGACATACACAGGAGGGGGCAGCTGCAGGGACCTAGGCCAACTCTGCCTTGCTTCTTCCCTGGAAAGGCACCTCAAAGGCAGGCCTTGGGAGGAATTAGGGATGGAGGATGGAGCCACAGTCCTGGGCTCGGTGGACATTCTGTGGCCACCCTCCCTGACGCCCCAGGACACAGCTCTGCCCGCCCTCCCAGAACCCACTGAGACCTGAGCGTGACCCCTGGCGGCCACCTAGGGGAGGAGGCTCTCCCCAGGGACCCGGAGCCAGGGAGGAGGCCTCAGCACTCAGCTCCGACACCCACCGTGTGACTACTCTTAGTCCCTAACCCGGCACATGGCACCAGCCACCTGCAGTGAGAGGCTCATTCTATGAACAAGAGGTCTTGTGTCCAGTGGGGCGTGGCTTGCCCAGCGCACAGGAGTCAGAGGCAGCAGCGCACTGGGACCCAGGTTCCGGCCCCATTTCGCCACCCGCTTCACTACCCTGGTCTACGAAGCAGCCAAGCCTGGTACCTCCCCGGTGACCATAGGGAAGCCAGGCTGGCACAGGGTGGCAATGGGCAGCCCCCAGGGACGAGGCTCCCAGCTCAGGGGCCCAGGCTTCCCTCTCACTGGCCCTGACCCTAAACAAGGGCAGTCTGTTCTCACACTGACCCTGCCCCACAGCCTCTGGCCCTGGCTCTCTGAACGGCCATGCTCTGTGCACGCTCCTTGTCCACCATGCCACCCTCAAGAGCCTCACCTAGATGCAGCTGCCTCCTCCAGGGAGCCTCCCCTGGTCCACTAGGGCTGGGAATTCCTATAGCCCCTGAGACCCCATCAGAGCCCTTATCAGCATGTTCTGGAATTGCACATGTACTTGTCTGTACCTCCCCCCAGCTCTACCCAGCAAGAACTAGGTGTCTGTCTGTGTTATGGCCACAGCTTCTAGAATAGGGCCTGAAACACCAAGCTCACCCATCAATGTCTGATGCAGAGAGGGTTCAATGGAATGTGAATGGTTGGATTAATATGTGGGTGGATGCTGAAGGAAGGGCAGAGGGAGAGATGAGTGGCTAGAGGGAGGGAGGGAGGGATTGATGGGTAGAAGTTTAGGTGGGTGGGTGGATGGAAGGATATATGAAAGAAGGGATGGACAGATGAACATGTGGATAAATAGATGAATAGATAGATGGAGAGATGGAGGACGGAAGAATGGATGGCGAGATGGCAAGATGAATAGAGGGAGGGAAAGAGTGGAGGGAGGAATGGATGAAGGGAAGGGGGATGGGTGGAGGGATGAAGGAATAAATGGGAGAAGGCATGGATAGATACGGGAGTAGATGGATGGAGAGACGGATGGAGAGATGGAGGGCTGGACAGAGAGAGGAATGAGTAAGGGAGGGTTGCATGATGAACGGATGGAAAGAGGGGGGTCAGTAACAAAGTGGCAGGAAGCTCCCAGCCACCATCCCTGGAGGGAGGAGTTGAGGACAGGAGAGAAGAGAGGGCAGGAGGCACCCAGCCCCAGGTGCCAGGAGGTGAACCCAGGCCCCCAACCTCCCTTGGCAGAAGGCTCTCAGGGAGGTTATTCATGCCAGGAACCAGCACCCTCTGAGACAGGCACCCCAGGCACACTGAGAGCATGCAAACATTCGGGTCTTCCCCGAAACTCCTGGGCACAGAACATGGCAAAAAGCTAGGCTGCCTGCACCACGCAGGACAGGCTGGACTGTGTTCTGGGCATCAAAGAGAGGCCAGGTCCTGAGGAACAAGGGGGTCAGCCCCAACAGGGATACGCCTGTGCTACCTAGTTTAATCCTCATACCACCCGGAAATACCCCATGTTACAATCCCCATTTCACAGATGAGGTGACTGAGGCTTGGGGCAGTGAGGGGACCCACAAGGGTCACACCACCTGGGTTCAAGCTGGGATTCAGAGCCAGGTCTCTGTGCCCCCCACAGACTGACACAGAACCCGGGGCTGTCCACCTACCTGAATCCCCTCGATGCGCTCGGTGACGACATAGGCATGGTGCATGGCCACCAGCGGGACCTTGACTCCAGCCATCCGGCCCACAGCACTTGCCCACACTCCTGCGGGCAGAGCACAGACAGCTCAGCTCTGCTGACACCTGGTGGGAGCTGCCTCTCAGGTGTGCACAGGCTGCCTCTGCAGACCTGTCTGCCCTAGCAGGGGCTCCCCACCCCAGAAAGAAGCCCTGCAGAGGTGGGAGCAGGTTTAGGGAGCAGCCAGCATGGCCACACAGGAGTCAGGAGAAATGCCACTCGCACCTGCACAGTTGACCACGCAGGGTGTCTGGATGGAACCATGCTGAGTCTCCACACCCGCGACCCGCCGCACCCCAAAATCATCCGTCCACACACGAATGCCGGTCACTGGGCAGTTCTCAATGACCTGGAATTGAGAGGAACTGCTTCTAAAATCCCACGGGACTCCCCGGGGGTGCTTCCCACCCCACTCCAACCAACCCCTCCTCCCAGAGGGGAGCTGGGGACACTATTTCTGCCAGCAGCAGGTCCCCTGCGACACTGTCAGGGAAACCGGATGACCACAGCGCCAGAAAACTAGACCCACCCATGCCTTGACTTGGAGAACTTGAAAGTTGGGCAAGTTCTTTCACTTGACTTGTGGGGGGAACCCTCTTTTCATAACGTGAAAAAGTAGCTGACTTTTTTTTAAAAAAAAAAAGCAAGATATTTGATTAACAGAAAGATGTTTGCAGTCTACTGCTTGGTAAAAAAAAAAAAATCACAAAATAACAACAGCTTGGTTCTATTTTGCATACATATATATTTTCATAGAAAAATATTTGGAGTAAAACATACTAAAATGTCAATACTAGTTACTGCTGGGTGATCTTGACTTCTTTTTTGCTTATTTGTCTTCTTAAAATTGTTCTACAGGCCGGGGGTGGTGGTTTACGCCTGTAATCCCAGGACTTTGGGAGGCCGAGGCCGGTGGATCACGAGGTCAGGAGATCAAGACCATCCTGGCTAACACAGTGAAACCCTGTCTCTACTAAAAATACAAAAAATTAGACGGGAGTGGTGGCGGGTGCCTGTAGTCCCAGCTACTCAGGAGGCTGAGGCAGGAGAATGGCATGAACCCGGGAGGCAGAGCTTGCAGTGAGCAGTGATCATGCCACTGCACTACAGCCTGGGCGACAGAGCGAGATACTGTCTCAAACAAACAAACAAAAAAATTGTTCTACAATGATGTGCGGAGTTGAGACAAACACAGATACAAATTATAAGAAGGGCTTTTGATACGATTTGCTTGTGCAGCAGAGGAATGGGTGCACCCACGGCACGACCTGATGTCTGTGAACAGAACGAAGGCATAGCCTCCCCTTGGCAGGAGTGGACCAGAAGGCTCAGAGAGGTCCTCACTGGCCCAAAGTCACACAGCAGTCAGAGAATGGCTCTTGTTCTCTTCCCTTCTGCTCTCAGGGTTCTAAGGCAGGAGGAGTGGGCTGGGAACAGGGGACCCAGAGCCAGGCGGCCATCAGTACCTGTGCTCCTCGGGCAGAAGCTGCCCTGGCGAGGGTGGTACAGGTGCCAGCGGGGTCCATGGTACCGTCGTGCGGCACATACAGGGTCCCGTAGAGGTCGTCCACATTCATCAGCGGGTACAGAGTCTTGGTCTCTGCCGGGCTCAGCACATGGGATTCCACACCATACGCCTTGCCCAGCTAGGGGGACCCAGGGGAGGTTAACTGAGTCCGTGGGGAGCAGACCCCTGGGCCACTCCCCTCCCCAACTGGGCATCCACCGCAAACCCCAGCCTCACTTTCTCCCAGAAGCCTTAGCCGGTCCCCACGCCCCCGGAGCCTGTCCCTTGAATCCGCTTCAGCATAAGAGTTAAGGAGCAGGGCACTGAGGCAGGCTCCGGGGCCAGGCCGCCTGTGCCAATCCGACCCTCGCCAGCTGTGTGACCAACCTGGGGCAAAGTCGCTTCAGGCTCACTCAGGTGAAGTGGGGGTGAGAATAGTGTATGTCATTGACAAAGAACTTAGACCAGTGCCTGGCACAAAGTGTCTATTATATAAGATAAATAACCCCACAGGTCTAATACTTTGGGCCTGAGAGGTTTCCCAGTCAGACCAGCTGTCAAGAGAGGCCAAGATCCTGTTTCAGACTGTCAGATAGACCACGCCCCCACATTTGATTGGCCCAAGAACAGCCAATCAGTGTCCTCAGGCGTGGACCACTGGGACAGGGAGAAGCTGGGCCAATCAGATTCTCTGTCTGGGAATTCTGAATGAAGCCTGGCAAAGTCGCTTTCTCCAGGTGGCACAGCCAGCAAGGGGCAGCGCAAGGGCTGGAACCCAGATCTGTCACCTGCCGGGGCTCCTTCCCTGTGGCGTGTCCCCTTCTCTCGCGGCAGAAGGGTGCCCACCGACATGAGCCCCACTCCCGACCCCACAGGAAGCAGACTCATCCACACGAGCCCCCCACCCCAGCCCCCCGCAGGGGATGCGCACACGGACATGAACCCCCAGCGTACCTCCACCCTCACAGGGAGCCCACCCTACCCCCCCACAGGGGGTGCACCCACCAATATGACCCCCCAGGGAGTGCACCCACCCACCCAAGCCCCCCTCCTTGCCCCCCGCAGGGGAGCACACACCGACATGAGCCTCTTGTACTCGTCCAGGCGCTGCCGGTTGGACGCGATGAAGAGGCCCCCATTCTGGATCCAGCCCGTGTGTAGTCCCGTCTCCTCCTCCAGCTCCCGGCTCACCACCCGCCGAGTGTGGGCCAGAAGCTCCACCTCCACGTCACTGGGCCGCAGCTGCCACAGCAGGCCTGCCCGGGAGGGTGGGTGCCATCACTCCCCAGGGAGTGGACTGCACCTCCTTCCCCCAGACGAATATCAGGGGATACCCTGATATTCAACCATGGGTGTCTTTCTCTGCAAGGTCTTTCTCTGCAGGACCTGGGGGGCCTGGAGAGGTTGTTGAGCAGAAAATAACTGGACCAAGATGAATGTGAGGGAGGTCCCGCCCTTGGGCAGCTCAGAGAGTGACATAGCAAAGGCCCCCATTTTTGGAGCACCTACTGTGTGCCAAGCCCCGTGCTAAGCCTGTCATGCCCTATGAGGAGGGCGTGATTCTCTTATAGATCAAGTTCAAGTGGCACCAACAGTTCTGTGGCCAAGATCACAGAGCAGGTGAGTGGAGGGGGCGCCGAGACACCAACCCACTACTGAATGAAGCTTAAATCTGCACTCTCCCCAACAAAGGATGCCCTCCAGCAGCTGAATGTGAGAGGTGGCAGGCCAGGGGTGTGGCTGGCGAAACGTCAGGGAAGAGGCTATGACAGCCCAGCTAGGGGGCCAGTGAGAAGGCAAGAGCAAGAGTTGGAGCAGTGGCTTGTGGGAGCCGGCTCGCATCAGCTCTCAGGAGCCCAGGGATAAACCTCTTCCCAACTCCACAGTCAGTGACCTCACACTGGTGGCTTTTGCTATTGGCCAGGGTGGGAGTGTTCACACCACAGGAACTGGCCAACACTGCAGGTCAGGAGATCCAGTTTGCCAGGACACCCATGGCTGAAATGGTGAAGGCAGAAGGTTGGCTGTCCTGGGACATGCACACCATAGGTGCTTAATATATGCCCCCTGGTTAGTTAGGAGAATGAGAACTGTAGAAGCCTCTGGTGCTCATGGAGGACACAGGTCTGCTTCACCCTCAATGGTCCCCGTCCGTCCTTCTCCACTCCCTGGAATGCCCTCAGTCCTGGTGGCTCTGTCCAGGAAAGGGGCTTCTGCCCTCTGGACAGCTGCCTGGAGTTTCCAGCTCTGGCCCCAGCTTCACTCTCCAGGCCACACAAGCAGCATCTGCTCCCTCCTCCCACCACAGCTCTTCAGCGACTGGGAGGGCAAGCAGTGCCCCCAGCTCCGCCCACCTGCAAACTGGCCATGCACCCTTCCCCAGGGTCTCTTCCCCAGGCTGGTTGTTGTGAACCAAGAACTGTCCCAGCTAGCAATGGGCTGTGGCCCCTCGCTATGTCCTATCCTTCCCTGCCCCTACCTGGCCCCCGGTCCCTACCTGCCGTGTGCCAGGTGGTCCCGGAGGTCAGCCGCTCCCGCTCCAGCAGCACCGCCCCACTCATGCCCAGCTTGGCCAGGTGGTACAGGGTCTGGCAGCCCAAGCTGCCTCCACCAATGACCACCACGTTGGCCGTGCTGGGCAGGGGCCGGCTTGGGCCTTGGGCCACCACCGAGGTGCCCTGTCCCTCCTTCAGGGTCCGCTGATATGGCACACTCTTCTCGGCTGTGGGGCCAGCTGCGCTGGACAGGTTGCATGGCCCCATGCCCCGGGTAGGGCTCTGGCGAGGGTGGGCAGCAGCCACACGTAGGGCTCGGCTCAGTGAGGCCATGGGGGCTCCAGGCCTCAGCGAAACAGGGAGCTGGGGAGAGAATCAGAGCTGGGTGGGGTGCAGAGGGGACACGCTGGGGGCTGTGCTGAGTACCCAGGGAAATAAGGGCCCTATGGTGTTACCTCCCAGGGCCTTCCTCTTGCCACTTCCCCATGGCATTCATTCATTCACTCATTCATTCATTCATTCACTCATTCATTCATTCACTCATTCATTCATTCACTCATTCATTCACTCATTCATTCATTCATTCACTCATTCATTCACTCATTCATTCATTCATTCACTCATTCATTCATTCATTCATTCTGTGTGTATGTATTAAGGGCCTGGTATGCAGCAGGCTCTGTCAGTGCCCGGGAGCAACCTTGGTGAGGATAGGTCTCTGCCAGCCCACAGAAAAGACAGGGAGCGCCAAGCTCTGGGTAGAAGTGGGGGTCGGGGCCACAAGGGGAGGTAGAGAAGAGTGGGTGGCGTGGCTGGCAGAGATCCAAAGTGAGACCTGAGGAAAGTGGGCTGCCCCGTGAGGCCGGGCAGGGAGGATGGGGAGGGGACTGAGGACAGAGGACCAATAGCTGGAAAGGAGGGGCTCCGGTCTCAGGGACACTCACCCCCAGATCACAGACAGCGAGAGGCTGGGGCTGGGCGGGGGCCGTCCCGCCAGCCTTGAGAGCCCTTTCGGAGCTCAAGATGCTCCTGAGGGGCCAAGCAGCCCTGCTGCCCCACAGGTCTGTGCTGGGGCAGACCCCAGGTCCTGCGGGGTGGGGATGGGACCTGGGAGGCAGGAGTGCCCAGAGAAGGCGGTGGTAGTGGCACAGCAGGGCAGGGAGGGGGTTGTGTTGAGTGATGGAGACACTTGCGCTCCCAGACAGAGAGCCAGGAGGAGGGAGAGGCATCGTGGATGCTACAGCAGTGGCCGCAGGGTATCGGCAGGCAGCCTCGAGACGGGGCACCCAACCCCCAAGCCTGGAGCCAGCACCTCCTCCTGGGCAGGCCCCTCCCAAACCCAGACAAGAGGGGTTGCCCCCTCATCAGCCCCAAAGCTCGGTGGGACTAAGGCGGAAGCTGATGAAGGATGTGGTGTCCCGGCTCTGCTCCCTTGGGGCCACCTGGGATTGCAGAGTAGGGGCTCAGAAGCCGGGTTAACAGGCCTTCCTCCCCTCTGCTCCTTCCCAGCTGACCCACCCCGACTCCCTCCTCCTTCAGGAAACCCTCCCAGATCTGCCCAGCCAGAAAAATCCAATAACAATGAGAATGCAAGAGGGAGCCCTCCTTCTCAGGAGAGAAGGCGCTGATGAAGACGGATGTCTCCTTGGGTGCAGGCGAGGCAGGACAGGCAGTCAAAGGAGTCACCATGTCCTGGGGACGCAGCAACCGTGGTGACTGCAATCCACACAATCAGCCTCCACGTTTGCACTGTAACTGAGCTCGTGTTAACTGAGCTCGTTCAAGCAAAGCTGTCTGCAGTAGGGCCTTTCCCCTGGAGAGGGCATGTGCACATTGATTTTACCTGTCCTCAAACTGACCCTTTGCTCATTCTAATAGTAAAAAAACACACCCCTCGGTGGAGATTTTAAGATGCTAATGAGGCCGGGCTCTGTGGCTCATGCCTGTAATCCCAGCACTTGGGGAGGCCGAGGCAGGCGGATCACCTGAGGTCAGGAGTTTGAGACCAGCCTGACCAACATGGAGAAACCCCATCTCTACTAAAAATACATTAGCCGGGGGTGGTGGTGCATGCCTGTAATCCCAGCTACTCTGGAGGCTGAGACAGGAGACTTGCTTAAACCCGGGAGGTGGAGGCTGCAGTAAGCCGAGATTGTGCCATTGCACTCCAGCCTGGGCAACAAGAGTGAAACTCCGTCTCAAAAAAAAAAAAAAAAAGATGCGAAAGAGACATGTGACGTATGAACAAACATGTACAGCTACCGCATGTGCACCCAGAGGACCAGCCATCACATGCTGCCTAGTAACCTCTTCCTCTCTTTCCACCCACTTATGAATAATTGTGGAAGACTCCCTGAAAGGGGGTTTCTCCAACAATCATCAATGCTGCCTCACACTCAGGAGCAGCCCCCCGCCTGGAATCCTCTCTCTCCCAGGGTGCATCCGCACCTAACTTTCAAAATGTTCTTTTTCTTTTGCAATAAATTGCTCTATGTTGCAGCTCTTTTGCTGTGTGTCTCATGTTTAAATTCTGTTTTGTTGTTGTTGTTGTTGTTTGTTTGTTTGTTTGTTTTGAGAAAGAGTCCCACTCTGTCTTCCAGGCTGGAGTGCAGTGGCATGATCTTGGCTCACTGCAACCTCTGCCTCCTGGGTTCAAGCGATTCTCCCACCTCAGCCTCTCGAGTAGCTGGGATTATAGGTGCATGCCACCATGCCTGGCTAATTTTTGTATCTTTAGTAGAGACAGGGTTTCACCATGTTGGCCAGGCTGGTCTCGAACTCCTGACCTCAGGTGATCCGCCTGCCTCGGCCTCCCAAAGTGCTGGGATTACAGGCATGAGCCACTGTGCCCAGCCTAAATTCTTTAAACTAAGAAGTTAAGAACGGAGGTCTCACAACAGCCCTCAATGGAAGGGTGGGGTGGTGTCCTGCCCAGTGTGGACCTCCACTGCCCTTTTCTGGGATCTGCAGGAAAAGTGAAAGGGATGTGGCTGTGATCCAAGATGTGAAGTGCTGTGCCACCTACGTCAGTATGAATGACTGATATAATTATCTAAGAAAGTCAGCATCCTTTTTCAAGAGTGGACCATAGCTATGCACGTTCGTTCACTCTCATTGAACACCTATAGACACATGATAATGTCTCTACTTCACAGCGGGGGAGTCTGACACACGGAGAGGCTCCCTGAGGTGACCAGGGTCATAGGGCCTCCATGTGGCAGTGCCAGGGACTCTCTCCTGCCCCCTCTTCTGACCATCCCAGGGGGACTCAGGACCCACTGCCACACTCTGTCCCACCTGAACTGTGGGCACTGCCCAAGCCCTGACGAAGCCCAGAACCCTGTCCTAGGCACAGTGGGGGATGTGAGGGGGATCCCAGCTCTCAGGCTGGTCAGGGCTGCCCCCCATCTCCTGCCCCAGTGCCCCATCCCAAGGGAGGGAGCAGGGAGTCTGATTGCAGCGGCGTAGGGGAGTGAGGAGGTGTTGGAGCTTGTCCTCAGCCTCTCAGCCCTCAGTGTGTCAGCCCGCCTGGCTCCTGCCTGCAGAGGTGGCCCCGGACAAGGAGGCATGCCTCCTGCATGTGTCTGTACATACCTTCAGTCCTTGAAGGTCCACAGTCTTCCAGGAGCCCCCAAAAGTGGTGCCCCACCAGGGGAAAGCCAGCTTGAGTGGCACCGAGGAAGGCCCTCCAAGGCTGAACACCCCCACCCCACCACCCACCACCCACCACGGTGCCGCATGGCACAGCACACCTGGTCAGCTGTGGGCAAAAGCCTCCCTCCTCCTTCCGACTGTGCCCAAAAAGCGACAGCTGCTGGCGCCGGAGGCTGCCACGTGCCCCTTCACCACCTGCCTGGTCAGTCAGGGCTCTTCTGACTGTCAGACTGGGGGCTGGCAGCGGCCCCAGCGGGGACAGCCCAGAGCCCCTCCTGCCTGCCACCTCCCTGGAAACAGCTGCCTCCACATTAACCCACTCTCTTGCCCCCTCCAACTCTGTCTCGTACCTGAGTCAGCTTCCCAGGAGTGAGGGCTGAGGACAGCCCTGGGCTTGGGATCAGACAGATGGGTGGGGGTTTTGTCACAGGACTGGGGCCTCGAGCAACAACTTAACCTCACTGCAAAGCAGAGGACCCAGGAACGCCCTCCTCCTCCCAGGCTCAGGGGGTGGTGGGGGTCAAGCGAGGAGAGCGCCTGGCACCTTCGCCTGGTGAGGGTAGGCAGACTTGTGGGGAGGAGCGGCAGGGGGCGGGGAGGCAGCTGCCCATATGGTGAACCCTGGTCCTGCTCATGCAGCTGGATGGTCCCTGCAGCCAGAGGCAGAGGGAGATCCCAGCCAGATCTGACCAGGCCCAGCCCCGCCCACATAGGGGAGGCCCCAGCCTCGTCCCTCCCTGGGGGTGTACCTCCAAGTACCTCTTGTCAGCTGCAGTGCCCCTCGGCCCTAAGAGTGCTTGGCCCAGCAGAGGTGCCTTCACCTTCTTGCTTCCCAAGCAGTGGCCTGGCCGGAACTCCAGGCCTCCCCCGCCCCCCACCCTCGCTGCCAGCCCCATGTCTCCGCCCAGGATCTGGGCGGAGCGTACCGCCCACCACTGCGGCTTCTAGGCCAGCTTAGTTGGGGCTTCTAGGCCAGCCCTGTGGGCAGCTCCCTCTGAGGGCGGCAGAGCAGGGTTGTGAACCCCATGCCCCATTACCCGTAGGCGACCTGGCAGTCACCCTTCCGCTCCAACCCTCATTTCCTCGTCTCTGAAACAGGCGCCTCAGGGTTGCTGCAGTAGACCCAGGCACCACCTGCCTGCTGGAGCCGCCCGAGCTCCCCGCGCCCAGAAGGAGCTATGCACAGGCAGGGTGGGCAGGAAAGGTGGGGTCAGCAGCAGCTTGGGCCAGGGGCCCGTCCACTGCAGGGAGGCTCCTTTGGTGAGGTCATCTCAGCACATGCCCCAGTTTGCTCACCCCCAGGGACAGGATGCTCACTGCCTTCAGAGGCGAGTGAGAAGGCCTGGGTCAGCTTCCCAGGGACAGGGTCTCCTGGTCTGTCTGCGTCCTGCTTTCCCGAGCTCCCAGACCCCTCTGGTGTTTGGGGAGATGCCCCCAAGCCACTGGCTACTGCACAGCACGTAGCCCCCAGGGCAGGGATTCCAGCCTCCATTGACTGTTGGGGACAGCAGTGCCCAGGGAGGGGGCCACACAGCAAGCTGGTGGAGGAGGCAGACCGGATGCTGCAGCCTGACTCTGGGCTGGGGCAAGTTACCCCTTCCCAGACAGAAGTAGACACCCAGAGGAGGGGTGTGGAGGAAACCCAGAAAGAATACACCTCTGGATGCCCAAAGAATCAGAACAGGTGCTGATGGAAAGTCACATCTCCTCCTCGCGCTGGATCAAAGACGGGGCATTTCAATGGCAGTCTGTTAATATTGTAATGATGCCAGCTGCCAATACCGGAAGCGATCGTATAGTAAACTGCTGTAATTAATACCAATCAAATCATTGTGTTCTTATTCACACCGAGGATGTCCGACTGTCTTGTTGCCAGCTTGTCTATCCTCTACATTTACTGAATGCCCAATGTGTACAAAGCACTGCTGGGAAACCTATAGTGACATCTAAGACCCAGCCCCTGCCCTCGAGGGGCTCAGGGTCCACGAAGCAGACAGATCCAGGGAGAGACACGACACCACAAGGCTGGCTTCCTTCCAGCAGGGAATCCAGGAGGACCTCTTAGAGGAGGGGGCCTGGGCTCTGGGCCTGACCACGTGCTGACACCATTCTCAGTCCCTGCCTCAAAGGCAAAGGGCCCACTGGCTTAGGCCCCTGGCTGCCCAGTGGAAAGCTGGCCCCGCCAGTTTGAGGCTTACCTGGGGTGGTGTGGGGGTCCTGGGGCAGAGGACCTCCTCTTTGGATGGTGTGGCTTGCCCAGTGGCCTGAGCTAGGGCTGTGCTCACCCAACAGGGTGACGAATGAGCTCAAGAGGGCAAGGAAGGAGTGTGGCCCAAGTTCTCCCAGGAGTCCTGGACGTGCAAGTGCATGGGAGAAAAACGCAGCAGTCACCACAGCTCCAGGGCAGTGGCCGGGTAGCCCACACTTCTCCTGTCCCTGCACTCAAAGACAAGTTGCAACTGTTGCAAAACTGTTACAAGCCAAGAGGGCAGCACAATGAACCTGCACTTTGGACAAGGGGTGGTGGCTGGGGGCCGGTCCCGGCCTGTTAGCTGTCTGTTAGTATCGTAGGATTTTCATCCGGCAGGGCCTGTTAGCACCCAGCTCCGGTCTGGGAGAGGTGGAAAGGCTGTCTCCCCCCAGGGACTAGTAGTCACAGCTCTGGAGAGGCCAGGCTCCGGACAAGGAGGCCAAGACAGGGTCCTGTACGATCTCGGGCTGGTCTTATCACCTCTCCCTTTGCTGAGACTTAGTTTTCCCATCTTGGAACAGGAGGCTGGAAGCCCTGCCATGTCAGTTTCACAGAAGCCTTGTAAATTTCCCTGAGTAAATTTCCTTCAGTCCTGCTCTAGATCACACCAACAGAGGGGCTGCCACCTCAAAGAAGTCACCCCACCAGGGATAAAATCTACTTGATCACGGTGCATGATCTTTTTAATGTGCTGTTGAATTTGGTTTGCTAATTTTTTTTTTTTTTAGACGGAGTCTTGCTCTGTCGCCCATGCTGGAGTGCGGTGGCACGATCTCGGCTCACTGCAACCTCCGCCTTCCCGGTTCAAGCGATTCTCCTCCCTCAGCCTCCCAAGTAGCTGGGATTACAGGCACGCACCACCGTGCCCAGCTAATTTTTTGTATTTTTAGTAGAGACGGGGTTTGACCATGAATGGCCAAGCTGGTTTCGAACTCCTGACCTTAAGTGATCCCCCCACCTCGTCCTCCCAAAGCGTTAGGATTACAGGTGTGAGCCACCGCGCCCAGCTGGTTTGCTAATATTTTGAGAGGATTGTTGCATCTATGTTCATCAAGGATATCGGTCTATAATTTTCTTTCTTGTAATGTTATCTGGCTTTGGTATCAGGGTAATGCTGGTCTCGTAAAATGAGTATGACTCTATGTTTAGTGCACTCTGAAGAAAACTGTGGTGCAAATCAAAGTCACAGTTGACTCTACATTCAGGAGTGAGGGGCTGCCTCCAGGTTCACTGCCCTCCCCAGCCTCCCCGCCACCGCTCCAGTGGGGACTGTGGTAGACTTGTTCCTCTGCCCTCATGGCCTGGACATACCTGAGCCAACCCCAAGACTCTTCCTCTGGCTCAGGCTGGCCCTCTCTGCAGGCCCCCACCAGCCCTTGGCCCCGACTTGCTGGCCAGGCTTCCAGGACAGAGAGAGGTGCCTGCAGGCTGCCCTCTGACGGGGCAGAAGTCCAGGGAGGAAGAAGCGGAGGCGTTGGGGGAGGAGGCTCCTCCACCGAGCTCTGCGTGCAGCCCTGTGAAAGAGGACATGAGCAACAGCATCCCAACCCAAACTATAAGAGCCAACATCACCACTGACCAGGAGGAAGGCAGTGCCCCAGTCACCTCTGAGGGCCTCCTGGGAGTCAGGCAGCGTGCTAAAGGCTTCACACGTGTCATCTCAAATGAGACAGCAACAACTGCTACCCATCGTGGAGATGGGAAAACTGAGGGAGAACACAGCCAACAGGTGCCAGACCCAGGTGATTCATGGGCCAGGGAAATTTCCAGAACAATTTTCAAGGGCTGAATTTACACTGCCAAGATTTTATTTTTTCAATAAGAACCTGAAAAAGAAAACTACCACTGAATATCCCCGTGATTTCATGAAGACAGAATGTTTTCTATCCTCTGTCAAAGTAGAAGAGATGCCCTCCCAGGGTAAGGGTGGTCCTTCCTGAGAAGCAGGTGGCTGCCCCCATCTGCCTGACACCGATGCACAGAGGCAGGTGGAAATTGCTCCAGGCCTGAAGCCATCTGGGCACAGGCATTCCCAGGAATGAGCTGCTGAAGTGACCCCCACCTGGCAGTTGTGGCCTGGGGCCGTTGTGGGCTCGGGCTCCTGAGGGCCGGAATGCAGATCCTCATTCCCCGGAGCACCCTCTCCACTCCATGGCCTAACACTGTTTGTGAGTGAAAGAAACATGGTGGATGGAATCCGCGGTGGAATCCATGGAAACATGGTGGATCCCGGCGGCTGAGCCTATGCCAGGCAGGTGCCAGGAGTGCTTCAAAATCATCTCGGGGCCGGGCACGGTGGCTCACGCCTATAATCCCAGCACTATGGGAGGCCGAGGCAGGTAGATCATGAGGTCAGGAGATTAAGACCATCCTGGCTAACACGGTGAAACCCCGTCTCTACTAAAATTTTAAAAAAATATTAGCCAGGCGTGGTGGTGCGCGCCTGTAGTCCCAGCTACTTGGGAGGCTGAGGCAGGAGAATGGTGCGAACCCGGGAGGCGGAGGTTGCAGTGAGCCGAAATTGCGCCACTGCACTCTAGCCTGAGACTAGAGCTAGACTCTGTCTCAAAAAGAAGAAAAAAGAAAAGAAATCATCTCGGGGCACTGTGTCCATGGCCGCAGGCACTGCCACCGTCTGATGGGGACACAGGACATGGGGCTTCAGAAGGACTTCCTGCCCACAGTGGGGAGCTGACCTCAGCCCTGGCGTAGGGCCCCAGTCTGCACTGGGGATTTGGAGAGAAGGATGGAGAAGCAAGAGGGAGGGCAGAAGCTGGAAGCCTGGGCTCACCAGGGTCTGAGACCCACAAGCACCGCCTAGACCCCTCAGCTAGTCAGCCAAACCTTCCAGGGCTCTCATGTGCCTGCCCAAGGGCAGGGGATCCCTGGCATGACCCATGCTGTGCTTTGTGTCTTTGTATGTGTTGCCCTGGAAACTCCCTGTAAAAATCCAGATTTCCAAGCTTCAATCTTGAAAAGCTGGCCACATGGGGCCCAAAACCCACTGGACACACTTAGGTGGGTCACTCCTACTCCAGCTGGCCACAGTTCTTACCCTGCATTTTGCCCTTTTGCATTTCCCGCTGGCATCTGGGAGCTTTGCCCTTCCAGCACTGACCAGGACTCCCAGCACTGACCAGGACTCTCCATCCAGCTGCAGGAGCAAGAGTAACCTTCAAAGGAGATGCTGGTGCTGGCTGGGCAGCCAGGGAACTGTGCGTCTTGCACAGAACGGAGGGTGGGAGGACTGTGCAGTGCTCTCTTTGGGCCCCAGAATCTGAATGCCCTTCCAGATACTCAGGTGAGGGCAGCAGCCCACCACGGATGAAAGTCACTGGTCACCTCCAGGCTGTCTGCCCTGGAAGAGTAGCCTTGGCAGGAAACACCGCCCCTGGTGGCCACACGTGAGTATTACAACCTGGCGGAGCTGGACCCAGTCTCAGAAGGGGACTAGCAGGCAGATAGGGGGTGATCTTACACTGGTTGGGACTGACAGCCTAGGCTCAGCCTGGCTCCTATCTTCTCTTCCAGACCACACCAGCAGAGGGGCTGTCACCTCAAAGAAGTCACCTCCGCCAAGGATAAAATCCACTTGATCAGGATGCATGATCTTTGTAACGTGCTGTTGAATTTGGTTTGCTAATATTTTGGTGAGGATTTTTGCATCTCTGTTCATCAAGGATATTGGCCCATAATTTTCTTTTCTTGTAATGTCCTTGTCTGGCTTTGGTATCAGGGTAATTCTGGCCTCATAAAATGAGTTTGGAAGTGTTCCTTCCTCTTGAATTTTTTGGAAGAGTTTGAGAAGAATCAGCATTAATTCTTTCTTAAATGTTTGGCAGAATTCACCAGCGAAGGCATCAGATATCCTGGGCTATTTTTTGTTAGGAGGTGTTTGATCACTGATTCAATCTCCTTACTCATTATTGGTCTGTTCAGATTTTCTAGTTTTTTGTTTGTTTGTTTTGTTCTTGTGTGTTTGTTTTTTTGAAGTGGAGTCTTGCTCCCGTCACGCAGGCTGGAGTGCAGTGGCACGATCTCAGCTCACTGCAACCTCCACCTCCCGAGTTCAATTGATTCTCCTTCCTCAGCCTCCTGAGTAGCTGGGATTACAGCCTGCACTACCATGCCCGGCTAATTTTTGTATTTTTAGTAGAGACGGGGTTTCACCATGCTGGCCAGGCTGGTCTCCTGACCTCAGGTGATCCACCCGCCTTGGCCTCCCAAAGTGCTAGGATTACAGACGTGAGCCACCACGCCCTGGCCGATTTTCTAGTTTTTTTTGGGATTCAGTCTTGGTCGGCTGTCTGCTTCTAGCAATTTATTCATTTCTAGGTTATCCAATTTGTTGGCATAGTTGTCTATTATTTCTTTGGTATCAATTGTAATCTTTCCTCTTTCATTTATAATTTTCTTATTTATCTGAGTCTTTTTTTATTTTAGTCTAGCCTAAGGTTTGTGGGTTTTGTTAACCTTTTCAAAAAAACTCAACTCTTAGTTTTGTTGATCCTGTCTATTGTTTCTTAAGTCTGTATTTCATTTATTTCTGCTCTGATCTTTCTTTCTTTCCTTCTGCTAACTTTGGCCTTAATTTGTTCCTCATTTTATAGTTCCTTGAGGTGTGAAGTTAGGTTGTTTATTTGAGATCATTCTTAACGTAGGCATTTATTGCTATAAACCTCCCACCTAGAATCACTTTTGCTGCATCCTATGAGGTTTGGTATGTTGCATTTCCATTTTCATTTGCCTCAAGATATTATTTTATTTCCCTTTTGATTTCTTATTCCACTCATTGGTTGTTCAGGACTGTGTTGTTAAATTTCCACACATGTCCGGCCGCCATCCCATCTAGGAAGTGAGGAGCGTCTCTGCCCGGCCGCCCATCGTCTGAGATGTGGGGAGCACCTCTGCCCCGCCGCCCCGTCTGGGATGTGAGGAGCGCCTCTGCCCGGCTGCAACCCCGTCTGGGAGGTGAGGAGCGTCTCTGCCCGGCCGCCCCGTCTGAGAAGTGAGGAGACCCTCCACCCGGCAGCCACCCCGTCTGGGAAGTGAGGAGCGTCTCCGCCCGGCAGCCGCCCCTTCCGGGAGGGAGGTGGGGGGTTCAGCCCCCTGCCCGGCCAGCCGCCCTGTCCGGGAGGGAGGTGGGGGGTCAGCCCCCCGCCCGACCAGCCGCCCCGTCCGGGAGGTGAGGGGCGCCTCTGCCCGGCCGCCCCTACAGGGAAGTGAGGAGCCCCTCTGCCCGGCCACCACCCCGTCTGGGAGGTGTGCCCAGCAGCTCATTGAGAACGGGCCATGATGACAATGGCGGTTTTGTGGAATAGAAGCGGGGGAAAGGTGGGGAAAAGGTTGAGAAATCGGATGGTTGCCGTGTCTGTGTAGAAAGAAGTAGACATGGGAGACTTTTCATTTTGTTCTGTACTAAGAAAAATTCTTCTGCCTTGGGATCCTGTTGATCTGTGACCTTACCCCCAACCCTGTGCTCTCTGAAACATGTGCTGTGTCCACTCAGGGTTGAATGGATTAAGGGCGGTGCAAGATGTGCTTTGTTAAACAGATGCTTGAAGGCAGCATGCTCCTTAAGAGTCATCACCACTCCCTAATCTCAAGTACCCAGGGACACAAACACTGCGGAAGGCCGCAGGGTCCTCTGCCTAGGAAAACCAGAGACCTTTGTTCACTTGTTTATCTGCTGACCTTCCCTCCACTATTGTCCTATGACCCTGCCAAATCCCCCTGTGCGAGAAACACCCAAGAATGATCAATAAAAAAAAAAAAAAAAAAAAATTTCCACACATGTGTAAAATTTCCACTTTTCCTCCTGTTATTGATTTCTAGTTTTATACCATTGTGGTTGGAAACGATACTTGATATGATTTCAATCTTCTTAAATGTGTTAAGACTTGTTTTGTGAGCTAACATATGATCTTTCCTGGAGAATGTTCCATGTGCACTCGACAAGAATGTGTGTTCTGCTGCCATTGGATGGAATGTTCTGAATCTATCTGTTAGGGCCATTTGGTCTGTAGTGTTGCTCAAGTCTCCTGTTTTCTTATTGATTTTCCAGCTGGATAATCTGTCCACTGTTTAAAGTGCTGAAGTCCTCTACTATTATTGTAATCTATTTTCCCTTCAGTTATGTTAATATTTGCTTTACAGAGTTAGGTGCTCCCATGTTGGGTGTATATATATATATAGAGAGAGAGAGAGAGAGAGAGAGAGAGACAGAGAGACAGAGAGACAGAGTCTTGCTCTGTTGCCCAGGCTGGAGTGCCGTGGCATGATCTCGGCTCACTGCAACCTCCGCCTCCCAGGTTCAAGCGATTCTTCTGTCTCAGCCTCCTGAGTAGCTGGGACTACAGGCACGCACCACCACACCTGGCTAATTTTTGTATTCTTTTAGTAGAGACAGGGTTTCACCATATTGGTCAGTCTGGTCTCGAACTCCTGACCTTGTGATCTGCCCGCCTTGACCTCCCAAAGTGCTGGGATTACAGGCGTGAGCCACCGTGCCCAGCCTAGTGCATGTATTTTTTGAATTGTTATATCCTCTTGATGAATTGATCCATTTATCATTATATAACAACTGTCTTTGTCTCTTGGGATAGTTTTGATTTAAAGTCTATTTTGTCTGATATAAGTGTAGCCACTTATGTTCTCTTTTGCTTCTCATTTGGATAGAATAACATTTTTCAGCTTATCTGTGTCCTTAAAGCTAAACCAAGTCTCCTGTAAGCAGCATATAGTTGGATTTTGTTTTGTTTTGTTTTTTAATCCATTCAGCTGCTTAGTGGCTTCTGAGTAGATAATTTAATCAATTTAAATTTAAAGTAATTATTAATAGGTAAGGACTTATTACTGCCATTTTGTTAATTGTTTTCTGATTGTTTTGTAGTCTCATTGTTCCTATCTTCCTCTCTCACTGTCTTTATGAGATTTTTTTTTTTTTGTAGTGGTATGCTTTGACTCCCTTTTATCTTTTGTGGGTCTACTACAGTTATTTTTCTTTGTGGTTACCAGGAGGTTTATATACAACATTTTATAGTTATAACAGTTTAAGCTGATAACAACTAAACTTTAGCCACATACAAAAACTCTACACTTTAATTTCTCCTCTCCCACATTTTATGTTATTGGGGTCATACTTTACATCTTTTATATATTGTGTATCCATTAACAAATTATTGCTATAATTATTCTTTAAATTTTATACTAGAGTTAAAATAATTTATGTATCACCATTACAATATGCTATGCTTTGGATGTTTTTGTCTTCTACAAAATTCATATTAAAATTTAGTCCCCAGTGCAACAGTATTGGGAAGTGTGTCCTTTGGGGTGTTTACTTCATGATGGCTCTGCCATTATAAAAGGGATTGATGGAAGAAGTTTGTCCCCTTTTGCTCTTCTACCCTCTGCCTCTGCCGTGTGAGAATGTAGCAAGAAGACCCTCACCAGACACCAGATGCTGATGCCTTGATCTTGGACTCCCCAGCTTCCAAAACTGTGAGAAATACATTTTTGTTCTTTATAAATTACCCGGTCCGTGTCATCCTGTTACAGCAGTGCAAAATGGACTAAGACACAGTGGCAGAGTACTCCCAATTTGACTATATTTTTATCTTTACAGAGTTTTTATACTTTTGTGTCTTCATGTTGTTACTGTCCTTTCATTTCAACTTGAGAAACTCCCTTTAGCATTTCTTGTAAGGCAGTGATAATGAACTCCCACAGCTTTTGTTTGTTTGGGAAAGCCTTTATCTCTCCTTCATTTCTGGACATCTTTCCCAAGGTTGACAGTTTTATCCTTCTAGCCCTGTGAATATATGATCCCACTCTCTCCTGGCCTATGAGATTTCTTCTGAGAAATTCACTGATAATCTCCTAGGGGTTTCCTTGTATGTGATGAATTGCATTTCTCTCACTGCTTTCAAATTTATCTCTGTCTTTGGCTTTTGAGAATTTCTCTTTTTTGAAGATTTTTATTTTTAATTTTTGTGGGTACACAGTAAGTGTATACATTTATGGGGTACATGAGATGCTTTGATACAGTTATGCAATATGAAATAGGCACATCATGGAGAATGGGGTATAAATCCCCTCAAGTATTTATCCTTTGAGTTACCAAAAATCCAATTACACTAAGTTATTTTAAAGTGTACAATTAAGTTAATTTGACTTCTACCTTTCCATTGTGGTTGCCCTTTATATCTTTCTCTTGTCTGATTGTTCTAGCTATGACTTCTAGTACTATGTTGAACAACAGTGATGACAGTGGCATCCTTGTCATGTTCCAGATTTTAGAGGAAAGGGTTTCAGTTTTTCCCCATTCAGTATAATCCTAGCTGTGGGTCTTTTGTATATGGCTTTTATTATGTTGAGGTATGTTCCTTCTATCCCCAGTTATTTTTTTGTTTGTTTTTTGGTTTTTTGTTGTTTTTTTTTCTTTGAGATGGAGTCTCGCTCTGTTGCCCAGGCTGGAGTGCAGTGGCACGATCTCCGCTCACTGCAAACTCCGCCTCCCAGGTTCATGCCATTCTCCTGCCTCAGCCTCCTGAGTAGCTGGGACTACAGGTGCCCACCACCACACCTGGCTAATTTTTTGTATTTTTAGTAGAGACAGGGTTTCACCATGTTAGCCGGGATGGTCTTGATCTCCTGACCTCGTGATCCACCCACCTCGGCCTCCCAAAGTGCTGGGATTACAGGCGTAAGCCACTGCGCCCAGCCCTTCTATCCCTAGTTTTTAATTTTTTTTTAAAATTATGAAGGGACATCGAATTGTATTAAATGCTTTTTCAGCAGTAGCAATTGAAATGGTCATATGGTTTATATTCTTCATTCTGTTGATATGTATCACGTTAATTGATTTGCATATGTTGAACCATTTGCATATGATGTATCCCACTTGGTCGTGATGAATGATCTTTCTAATGTATTGTTGAATTTGGTTCGTTAGTATTTTACTGAGGACTGTTATATCAATATTCATCAGAGATATTGGCCTGTAGTTTTCTTTTTATGATGTGTCTTTGTCTGGTTTCAGTATCAAGGTAATACTGGCCTCATAGAATTACTTTGAAAGTATGCTCTTACTGAATTGACCCCCTCATCATTATATAGTGACCTTGTCTCATACTATAGTTTTTGTCTTGAAATCTATTTTGTCTGATATAAGTATAGCAACTCCTGCTCTTTGGTTTCCATGGAATATCTTTTTCCATCCATTTATTTTAAATCTCTGTGTATTTTTATAGGTGAAGTATGTTTCTTGTAGGCAACAGGTCAATGGTCCTGTTTGTTCATCCATTCAGCCAGTCTATGTCTTTCAATTGGAGCGTTTAGTCCATTTACATTCAGTGTTATTATTGATAAGTAAGGGCTTATTCCTGCCATTTTGTTTTCTGATTGTTTTGTGGTCTTCTCCTTCTTCTATCTTTCCTCCCTGTCTTCCTCTAGTGAAGGTGATTTTCTCTGGTGATATGATTTAGTTTCTTGCTTTTTATATTTTGTGTACCCATTGTATGTTTTTTGGTTTGAGGTTACCATAAGACTTGCAAATACTATCTTATAACCCATGATTTTAACCTGATAACAACTTAACACTATCTGCATAAACGAATAAGCAAAAAGAAAACTAATAAAGACTCTATGCCTTCACTTCATCCCTGTTTTTTAACTTTTTGTTGTTTCTATTTATATTTTATTATACTGAATATGTCCTGGAAAGTTATTGTAGTTATTCTTTCTGATTGGTTCATTGTTTCATCTTTCTACTTAGGATAAGAGTAGTTTACACACCACAGTTACAGTGTTATAACATTCTGTGTTCTTCTGTGTATTTACTATTACCAGTGAGTTTTATACCTTCAGGTGATCATTTATTGCTCATTAATGTTCTTTTCCTTCTGATCAAATTACTCCCTTTAGCATTTCTTGTAGGACAGGTCTGGTGTTGGTGAAATCCCTAAGCTTTTGTTTGTCTGGGAAAGTCTATTTCTCCTTCATGTTTGAAGGATATTTTCACTGGATATACTAGGGTAAAAGGTTTTTGTGTTTTTTTTTCCTTCACCACTTTAAGTATGTCATGCCTCTGTCTCCTGGCCTGTAAGGTTTCTACTGAAAAGTCTGCTGCCAGACGTATTGGAGCTCCATTGTATGTTATTTGTTTCCTTTCTCTTGTGGCTTTTAGGATCTTTTCTTTGTCCTTGACCTTTGGGATTTTGATTATTAAATGCCTTGAGGTAGTTTTCTTTGGGTTAAATCTGCTTGGTGTTCTATAACCTTCTTGTACTTGGATATCAATCTCTTTCTTTAGGTTTGGGAAGTTCTCTATTATCCCTTTGAATAACTTTCTACCCCTATATGTTTCTCTACCTCCTCTTCAAGGCTAATAACTCTTAGATTTGCCCCCTTTGAAGCTATTTTCTAGATCCTGTAGGGGTGCTTCATTGCTTTTATTCTTTTTTGTCTCCTCTGACTGTGTATTTTCAAATAGCCTGTATTCGAGCTCACTAATGCTTTCTTCCGCTTGATCAATTCTGATGGTAAAGGATCCTGGTGCAATCTTCAGTATACCAATTGCATTTTTCAGCTTCAGAATTTCTGCTTGATTCTTTTAAATTATTTCAGTATCTTTGTTAAATTTATCTGATATAATTCTGAACTCCTTCTCTGTGTTTATCTTGAATTTCTTTAAGTCTCCTCAACACAGCTATTTTGAATTCTCTGTCTGAAAGGTCACATATCTCTGTTTTTCCAGAATTGGTTCCTGGTGCCTTATACTTAGTTCATTTGGTGAGGTCATGTTTTCCTGGATGCGGTTGATGCTAGTAGATGTTTTTTGGCGTCTGGGCATTGAAGAGTTAGGTATTTATTATAGTCTTCTCTGTCTGGGCTTATTTGTAGCCATCCTTCTTGGGAAGGCTTTCCAGATTTTGAAAATACTTGGATGTCGTGATCTAAGCTGTATCTGCTTTAGGGGGCACCCCAAGCTTAGTAATTCTGTGGTTCTTGCAGACTCGTAGAGGTACTGCCTTGATGGTCTTGGAAAAGATCCAGGAGAATTCTCTGGATTATCAGGCAGAGACTCTTGTTCTCTTCCCTTTCTTTCTCCCAAACAAACAGAGTCTCTCTCTCTCTGTTCTGAGTCACCTAAAGCTGGGGATGGAGTGACAAAAGCACCCCTGTGACCACCACCACTATGACTGCACTGGGTCAGACCTGAAGCCAGTACAGCACTGGGTCTTGCCCAAGGCCTGCTGCTCTAAACTCCATGGCTATTGCCTATGTTCACTCAAGGCCCTGGGGCTCTACAATCGGAAGGTGGCAAAGCCAGCTAGGCCTGTGTCTTTCCCTTCAGGGCAGCAAGGTCCCCTAGGCCTCAGGTGGGTCCAGAGGTGCCATCTGGGAGTCAGGGACTAGCGTCAAAAAGTTTAGAAGTCTACCTGGTGTTCTACTGTATTGTGGCTGAGCTGGCACTCAAACCACAAGCAGCAGTCCTTCCCACTCTTCCCTCTCCTTTCCAAAGGCAGAGGAGCCTCACCCCATCCACCACCACCCCAGGCCGTGAGGAGTACTGCCAGACTACCAGCCAATGTTCCCTTAAGACCCAAGGTCTCTTAAGTCAGGTCGTGGTGAATGCTGCCTGGCCTGGGACTCACTGTTCAGGGCAATGGGCTCTCCTCTGGCCCAGGACACATCCAGAAACGCTGTCCAAGAGTCAAGTCCTGGAATCGAGGACCTCAAGGGCCCATCTGGCGCTCTACCCCACTGTGGCCGTGCTGGTACTTGAAGCCAGCAAGTCTCAGAGGCTCACCCAAGGCCCTCAACTTATAGTACCTGGGTATCACTGCTGGTTATTGAGGGCCCAAGGGCTCTTCAGTTAACAGGCGATTGAGAATGCTTCCAGGACTGGGTCCTTCCCTTCAAAGTAGCAGGTTCCCTTCTGACCCAGGGTGTGTCCAGAAATGTCATCTGGGAGCTTGGCCTGGAACAGGGACCTCACGACTCTGACCAGTGCCCTATCCTGTTGTGGCTGAGCTGGTATCCAAGATGCAAAACAAAGTCCTCCCCACTCTTCCTTGTCCTCTCCTCAAGCGGAAGAAAGGGGTCTCTTTTAGACCCACAAGCTGTGCAGCCTAGGATTAAGGGAGGGCTGACGCCAGAACCCTCTTGGCTGCCCCAGCTGGTGTCTCAGTATGTTGCATGCTCCCCTGCCCCCTGCCCCACGAGTCCACTGTCTCTGGGCCTAGTTCAGCACTGGGACTCACCTAAGAGTTGCAGTCCTTATGTTGAAGACCTAGATTACCTCTCAAGTTTACTTGCAGACACAAACCCAGTGTCTCTTCAAATATTGCTTCTTATCCATTCTACTTCCTCATCCATTTTACTTTCTTCTTCTGGAATTTGTCTAAATTATATGTACATTGGAACTTCTCCTTCCATCTCCGTCTTCATTAGTTTCATCTCTGCATCGTCAAGGATGTCATTAGAACTATTTTCCAGTTCACCGATTCTTTCTTGTCCAATCCAAGGTTAAACCCATACATTATGATGTAAATATCTGTGGTACAAAAGGGCTGCTTGACCCTGAGAGCTCACTGTGATAAACAGCGAGACACCAAGGGCCATTTTCCTTCTCTCAGAGAGGCTGCTCCAAAATCCAGCTTCCCCCAGGACCAAGAACTTCCTTCTGTTAGCAAAGGGAGCTACAAGTTCCCCTGCACTCCAAGGTCCTAGGGGGCTGGGCAGCAGGCATTCTCTGAAAGCTCCCAGAAGCCACTGGAACCCAAGTCGTTTCCTGTTTCCTCCACCTGACAAGCCATTTTCTCATGTTTGCGCTATAAGAAGGTAGTCATGGGGTGGAGGCGACAGTGTCTTTCTCTGGAATGCAAACCCACTGTGTGTCTAACAGTGGCATTGGCCTTCCTGCACGCCTAGTAAATGTCCCCCCAACTGCACCTCTTCCTTGGGCCACACCATGCGATGTGGCATCCATTCCAAATCCAATTTCCTGCCAGTTCCAACCGAGATTTTGCAGCACTAGAAGTTCTGCTTGATCTTTTCCCAACCGACTTGGTTATTTTCAGAGTTTCTTGCTCTTTACACGTATTTCCAATCCTTTCTATTCTGCATCACACACAACTATTTTGTATTCTACTTCTGTGGATCTGATTCTGCACCCCGTGGTTTTTGCTGCCACTGTGCGGTGCATCTTGTTTCCTTGGATGATCTATGCTTTTTGACAGTTAATGTGTATTTCTTAGAACATTACCTCTGGGGATTATTTGAGGCTGAAAGTGGATTTGCATTTCCTTTTTCCAGGCACCCAGGAGAGCCAAAAATCCCCGTATTCTACTTTAAACTCTTAGCTCCAGGTTTTTCGAACCAAAGGAAGTGTAATTTCAGGCTGGAACCTTCTTAGGTGTCAAATCAGAGTTGCACATCGTATTACTGGTGCAGTACAAAGTACCACACACTCCATGGCTGGAACAACAATTTGTTGTCTCATAGTTCTGGAGGCCCAAAGTCCAAGATATGAGTGTCGGCAGGGTTGGTTCCTTCTGGAGGCTCTAGGGGAGAATCTGTTCCATGCCTCTCCCTTAGTGCCTGGTGGTTGCTGGCAATCTTTGATGTTCCTTAGCTTGTAGATATGTCATCCCAATCTCTGTCTCCATCTTCACACAGTGTTCTCTCTGTGTGCAGGTCTCTCTCTGTGTCCAAGTTCCCCCTTTCTACAAGGACCCCGGTAAGACTGGATTAGGGTCTGCCCTAATGACCTCATCTTAAATTGATTACATCTGTAAAGACCCTATTTCCAAATACGATCACATTTACAGGTATTGAGAGCTAAGAGTTTCAAGATGGGGGGTGGGGCACAATGCAATCTGTAACACGTGCTCTCAGGTTAGTTCTCTTTCCACCCACTGTCAATAAGGAAGGAGACCACTACTACTTCTGCTGCCCTCCTCCCCCAACTTTGCCTAGTTCACAAGACAGGAGGAAAGAGAGAAAGCAAAAAATTAGAAATAAACAGAAGTAAGATAAATAGCCAGACAACCTTGGCACCACCACCCGGCCCTAGGAGTTAAAAAAAAGTAATAATAATAATATCAACCCCTAACCTAAACTACTTGTGTTATCTGTAAATTCCAGACATTGTATGAAAAAGCATTGCAAAACTTTGTTCTGTTCGCTGATGCATGCAGGCCCCAGTCACGTTTCCCATGCTTGTTCGATTTATCACGACCTTTTCACGTGGACCCCTTAGAGCTAGCTATAAGCCTTTAAAAAGGCCAAGAATTTCTTTTTCAGGGAGCTCGGCTCTTAAGACGCAAGTCTGCTGATGCTCCCGGCTGAATAAACCTCTTCCTTCTTTAATTCGGTGTCTGAGGAGTTTTGTCTGCGGCTCATCCTGCTACATCAAGGTACAAGAAAGAGAATTTCCTGTGCTACATCAAGGTACAAGAAAGAGAATTTCCTTTGCAATCCCTTGGTGGTGGTGGTGGCAGCAGTGTGTGTATGGAGGTGGGTATTTCTACTCTTCCTGATGTTGGGGGTGAGGCCTGTTGGGGTCCCGGCTTTAAAGAGGGGCTTGCCTTGGGTGGGCCCTGGGTTTTGTCTCGCTCGCACGCCCAGCCAGGTGATAAAGATTGGCCCTTAAGCTCACCCAGTTGGGCAAACACCCATAAGGAGGAAGCCAGCCCCCCCGTCTGGATTCCTGCCTTTACTTCGGCATGTGTTTTTCTTTATCACCAGCTCATTGATGGAATTACAAATATGTTCCCAGTGTTTTTGTTGTCTTATCAGAAGGGTTGATCAGGATATGTAACCTACTGCAAAAGACAGAATAATGGCCCCCCCGAAAGATATCCATGTT
Organism: Homo sapiens; assembly: GCF_000001405.40. NCBI lineage: Eukaryota > Metazoa > Chordata > Mammalia > Primates > Hominidae > Homo > Homo sapiens. Next base: position 133,754,624 of record NC_000009.12, read on the forward strand.
CCAGACTACGTCACAGTCTGGAACCTGTCAATGTGTTACCTTTCACTGCAAAAGAGACTTTGAAGATGTGATCCAGGGAGATTGTCCTGGATCATCTGAGTGAATCTAATCATATGAGTCCTGAAAAGTGGAGACCCCTTCCCAGCTGTAACCCGAGGGAGACAGCTGTGACTTTGGAAGAGGGGCCAGAGAGATGCCACTATGCTGGCTTTGAAGATGGAGCATGGCGCCATGATTCAACAGATGCAGCAGCTTCTAGAAGCCGGAAAAGGGAAGGCAATGGTTTCCCCCTGGGGCCTCCAGGAAGGAACGTAACTCTGCTGACACCTCCATTTCAGCCCAGCGAGACCTAGGCTGGGCTTCTATGACCTACAGAACCATGAGATAATAAATGTGTTGTGTTAAGCCCCCACGTGTGTAATTTGTGACACAGCGATAGAAAAATGAATGCACACACTGCTGGAGGCAGAAGGCAAGCCTCTGGAGACAACACGCATTGCTCCTTCCCTGGCCGGAAACTGTATTACTATTTTTTTATCTTCCTCACCCTTCCTTTCTCTCATCTTCATCCAACTTTAATTCATTATCTTTCTTGGTGTTTGTATTTGTGCCGTGAAGTCTACTTATGCCTCCATCACTCGATTTTCCAGGTAAAAGTCAAGAAATATCATTGAAGCCCGACAAACGGAGGAAACCAGTGCCTCTGTCCTCCCCAACCCGCTCCTCTTTCCCTTCCCCACTGTCTTTATCTCTTTTTGTCTTGTTTTCCTCTAATTTAGTCTTGAGGCCTCTCTCTGGAGAGGTCATATCCATGTCATCCACCTTCCAGGAGAGGCTGGACCCAGAGGAGAGTGAGGCTGGGGCGTGTGGCTCAGGTGGACACAGAGGAGGCAGCGGCACAGGACACATGGAATCAGAGCAGCGCACTCCTTCCAGATCCAGAGAGAGAGGGCTGTGCCTCTTGGGGCTGATAAGAGGGGATAGTCCAGAACACACATGCTAAACCACCAGTGGGGAGAGGGAGAGGGAGAAAGAGGGAGGGTGGGGGAGAGAGGGAAAGGGAGAGAGGGAGACAGGGAGAGAGAGGGAGAGAGGGGGAGAGGGGGAGAGGGGGAGAGAGAGGGAGACAGGGAGAGAGAGAGAGGGTGAGTGAGAAAGATGGAGAGGGAGAAAGGGAGAGAGAGACACCTGTGGGCCAAAGTCTTTATTGGGGTCCAGGGTGTTACCCAAGCAGCTTTCCCACAAGGGTTCTGATTGGTGGGGTTAGGACAGGCAGCCTCAAGGTCTCTGGTTGCCGACTGACTGAGAGGCCATCACTGTGGCCTGCCTGCATGGCCACACAGTGGGTGGGTCGGTCCAGCAGGCTGTTCCAGCTGTTCCACAGCGAGGTGGTCACCAGGAGGCGGTGGCACAAGACAGATGTCTGGATCGACCACACTGAGGAACTGGGGGAGTGCTGCAGGCACAGAACTATAAACTGTGGCCGGGCGCGGCGGCTCACACCTGTAACCCTGACACTTTGGGAGGCTGAGGCAGGTGGATCACCAGATGTCAGGAGTTCGAGACCAGCCTGGCCAACATGGTGAAACCCCATCTCTACTAAAAATACAAAAATTAGCTGGGCGTGGTGGCGGACGCCTGTAATCCCAGCCACTTGGGAGGCTGAGACAGGAGAATCGCTTGAACCCAGGAGGCGGAGGTTGCATTGAGCCGAGATCGTGCCGCTGCACTCCAGCCTGGCAACAGAGCAAGACTCCGTCTCAAAAACGGAAACGAAAACAACAATAAAAAAACTGTAAACTGTGTCGAGGGTGACGAGCCCTGCTTCTGGTGTGAGAGAGTTAAACTTATATTCAAAATGGACATCAAAGCAACAGGTATAAGAACTCACTATACTTCTTTACATTCGTGATTGCCTTCTGCAGGGCTTACCACAGCTGCCTAGCAGCAGCACCTCTCCCACCGCGTTGAAGACTTGTTTCTGTGCTTTCTCCAATTTCTTTCTTTCAAATCTGGTATTGAAGACATGGAATGCTCAGATACACAGACGAGGCTGCACAGGCCCATTCAAGAACCAGAGCGTCCAGAAGCAATTCACATGCTGTAAACCGGCTTTTCCTTTCTTCCCTTTGACTTTTTTCTCCTTTTCTATTTGAAGTCTTTTATTTTCACGAGAGTCTTGCAGGGTAGAAGTAATCTAAATACCTATGTGTCCGGAAAACATAATCTTTTTTTTTATAAAAATAAATATTCTGCACAATTTATAAAAGGCTAATTTCTGAAATTTTAAAATCTTCAGGTTATACTTCTTAAGCTATTCCGAGCTGTCTGTTTTCGAGGTTTTGGAGTACTGCTATGATGTTTTGGAGTACTTTCGAGGTTTTGGAGCACTACTAGAAGTTTGGAAAACTACTATGATGGCCGGGGGTGGTGGCTCACGCCTGTAATCCCAGCACTTTTGGAGGCCGAGGCGGTCGGATCATGAGGTTAGGAGTTCAAGACCAGCCTGGCCAAGATGGTGAAACCCCGTCTCTACTAAAAATACAAAAATTAGCCAGGCGTGGTGGCGGGTGCCTGTAATCCCAGCTACTCAGGAGGCTGAGGGAAGAGAATCACTTGAACCCGGGAGGCGGAGGCTGCAGTGAACTGAGGTTGTGCCACTGCACTCCAGCCTGGGCAACAGAGCGAGACTCTGTCTCAAAGAAAAAAAAGGAAACTATTATGACATGCACTTTTCTAATCATTGTACATTTCCCAGAGTAGACAAAAATGTTTGACAAAGCCTTCACTTTTAAGGAACGCAAAAAACTTAGAAATCTCTTTTGTTTGATTAAAACAAATAAAAAAAAGACTTGTTTCCAGAGATTCCGGTTCCACACTCTGCCCCAATCCTTGGGGCAGCTTTCCAGTCATCCAGCCGGAGTTTGCCCCTGGTCATTGTTCTAACAAGTGCTCCCTGAGTAACAGCCCCTGAGTCTTTTTTTTTTTTTTTTTTTTCAGATGGAGTCTCACTCTGTCGCCCAGGCTGGAGTGCAGTGGTGCAATCTCAGCTCACTGCAACCTCCACCTCCCGGGTTCAATCGATTCTCCTGCCTTGGCCTCAGAGTAGCTGGGATTACAGGCGCCCACCACCATGCCTGGCTAATTTTTGTATTTTTAGTAGAGAAGGGGTTTTGCCATGTTGGCCACGCTGGCCTCGAACTCCTGACCTCAAGTGATTCACCTGCCTCGGCCTCCCAAAGTGCTGGGATTACAGGCGTGAGCTACCCCGCCGGGCCGCCCCTGAGTCTTTACATGTGGCAATGCGTTAGTTGCTGCCTGACAAATGAGCAACTATTTGAGCATCAAACTCTTGGGTCTCTCTTGCCATGAAGACCTTGTGTGAATTGTTCATTGCCTTCTAGCATTGAGCGTTACTGGGGTAATGTCGAGTGTTACTGGAGTAATGTCTAAAGCAAACCTGATTGGTTTTTTTTCTCTTAAGAGACTTGTTCTTTCTGCTTGGATGCCCAGTGGATTACTTTTTATCTTTGAACTCCAAGGTTAACCATTCTTGGTTCATTTGGCGTGGGGTATGGTGTGCCTTTTTATTCTATTTCTGTAACCTTTAAAAAATATTTTAAAACATTTATCCTTCTCCGTGATTTTGGCTTTGTTTTCCAGACACTCTCAACTATCCATGCGTGTCAGTCTCCTCTGCACAATGGGGATTCTCTGAGATGCTTAACTTTATGCAGGGGGCCCAGTGCTGGCTTCTGGCCTCGGGGGATCTGCAACTGTGGCTCCCAATGCCAGGAGAGTGTTGGAACCGGTCCCAGGCCCAGAGAGGCCAAGACCCTGGAGACTGCCCCGGGGTTAGCTCCCAATATCTCCTCGGGCTTCGATTTCTCTTTTTCTGGAATGGGCCCTTCTTTCCAGCTCAGCTATGCCTTCTGCATGTTTTTTTTCAAGGATTTCTGTGTTGGCAGTGGAGGAAGAGAGGCCTCCATGTTAGCTCAGCCTGATATGCCACTAGAAACTGGCTGAGACCTTGTTGGTCTTGTTCAACATTGGATCTCAGGTAAGGAATCAATACAAATTGATTGGATAAATGAGAAAAATCAAGCACAAGCACAAAATTCGTATTTTTTGCAACACTTAATAGATAAAAGAAAACACCTAGGCTGGGTGCGACGGCTCACACCTATAATCTTGGTTTTTTGGGAGGCCAAGGTGGGAAAATCATTTGAGGCCAGGAGTTCAAGACCAGCCTGGGTGAAGTAGCAAGACCCCATCTCTACAAAAAATTAAAAAAAAAAATTAGCTGGGCAGGGTGGCACGTGCCTGTAGTCTCAGCTACTTGGGAGGCTAAGGCAGGAGGATTGCTTGAGTCCAGGACCGTGAGGCTGCAGTGAGCTAGGACTGGGCCACTGCACTCCAGCCTGGGTGACAGAGTGAGACCTTATCTCTTAAAAAAAAGAAAGAAAAGAAAACACCCAAAGTGGGTCAAGTAGGGATTGTATGAGTCCCGTAGAAAACTGCAACACATTCAGGGAAAGAGGGGGAGAGGGACAAGCAGGGGGAGAGAGAAAAGGAGCAGAAAGAAAAACAATCCAGAGCTTCCTCAATTCTCCCCCCACCCCTCCCCACTCCCTGCATATCAGCTTCCCCGGCGGCGGCTTTTCCATTTGGTTTCTTCCCGGGCATCGAAAAGGCACAGAGTGGGCCCTCGCTAGGACTGTGGAGTGAGTGGAAGTGATTCTTGCTGCAAAGCCATCGTGGAGAACTTGCCGCAAATGTGACTCTGAGAAGGACTCGGAAGAGGTGACACGAGGTCCTGAGGGTAGGCCCTAATCCAAGAGGACGGGGTCCCCATGAGAGGAGGGAGAGACCTCTGAGATGAGCATGCAGAGGCCTCAGGAGGAACCAACGCCCTCCCTTACTGCATCTCCAACTTCCAGCCTCAGAACCGTAAGAAAGGAGATTTCAGAGTTGAGGCAGCCGGGTCTGGGGCCTGAGCCACAGCGGTCACGGCAGCCTGAGCCAACCAGGACAGGGCGAGGGCAGGGGCGGAGCGAGGGGGAGGGGCGGAGCGAGGGGGAGGGGCGGAGCGAGGGGAGGGGCGGAGCGAGGGGGAGGGACGGAGCGGGGCAGGGACGGAACACCGGGAGGAATGGAGCTAGGGGAGGGACTGAGCTAGGGGAGGGTGGAGCGAGGGGAGGGATGGAGGGAGGGCAGGGACAGAGGGAGGGCAAGGACGGAGGAAGGGGAGGGATGTGCTCGCCCAGAGCCCCCATGCCTGGTAGAAGAAAACACTCAGTAAATGGGAGCTATTTTATTTTCTCTCAGAACGCAAGGCCCCATCACTTCTCCTTGATTCACCCTTCTGATCACCAGCCTGGGACACCCACTCCACGGTCAGCTGTCCAGGGGTCGCCCTGCACCCACACCTGCCTGCCACCCCCAGGGGGCCAGGAGCAGCAGGGAGGGCTGCGTGAGGAGGGTGGGGCCGGCCCTGGGAAGGGGTCCCTCCTGGAGACTCGGCTGACGTACCAGTGAATGGGGGCGAGGGCAGGTCAGATGGGCATGGTCCAGCCTGCACATCTGGGAGAAGGCTTGGCCCAAGGGAGAGGTTCCTGGGGTTGGAAGCTCCTGGAGAAGGGGGCATTTTCACTCTGCCCATCGGGTTCGCCTCCCAGCAGCCTCAGTGGGGCGAAGGCTGGCCAGGGTCCAGTCTGCAGGAAGGGTGGGAGACCCAGGGGCTGGCCTGAGAGGCAGAAAAGTCATCGCTTAGGAACTGGGTGCTGCCCAAACAGAAACGTGGACTCTGGCATCAGACCGAGCTGTGCAAGGGCCACGTGTGACCTTGGATGAGTCACTTCACATATCTCAGCCTCAGTTTCCACTTCTAGAAAATGGGCTGTTTCCTGGCCAGAGCTGTAAGGGGATCTCTGTTCTCTCTCATGGCCCTGTGGCAGGAGCTCCAGCAGCCACCGTGGACCACGAGGCAGCCACAAGGAGGGAAGGGCATGCTAAGGACGGGAGATCAGGGAGGAGGAGCCTCTGAGGATGAGGGATCAGGAAGGAGGAGCTTCTGAGAATGGGGGATCAGGGAGAAGGAGCCCCTGAGAATGGGGGATCAGGAAGGAGCAGCCATTGAGGATGCAGGATCAGAGAGGGAGGAGCCTCTGAGGACGGAGGATCAGGAAGGAGGAGCCTCTGAGGACGGGAGATCGGGAAAGAGGAGTCTCTGAGGATGGGGGATCAGGAAGCAGGAGCCTCTGAGGACGAGGGATCAGGAAGGAGGAGCCTCTGAGGACGGCGGATCAGGAAGGAGGAGCCTCTGAGGACGAAGGATCGGGAAGGAGGAGCCTCTGAGGACGGCGGATCGGGAAAGGAGGAGCCTCTGAAGATGGGAGATTGGGAAGGAGGAGCCTCTGAGGATGGGGAATCAGGAAAGAGGAGCCCCCCTGAGACCAGGGGATCAGGGAGGGGGGAGCCAGGGTTCCTGATGGCTCTGGGACCAGGGCAAGGCAAAGGAGCTGCTGCCTCTGGATGGTCCTCCATGAGGGGAAGGAGAAATAAATCTCTCATTTTCTATTTTGGTTTTCTCTATCATACACCACAGAACCCACCAAAATGGAGAGGTTTTTTTTTTTTTTGTTCTGTTTTGTTTTGTTTTTTTTAGATTCATGGTCTTGCTCTGTTGTCCAGTCTGGAGTACAGTGGTGCAATCACAGCTCACTGCAGCCTCGACCTCCTGGACTCAAGCGACCCTCCCACCTCACCCTCCCGAGAAGCTGGGACCACAGATGTGCACCACCATATGCCCAACTATTAAAAAAAAAATGTTGTAGAGACAGGGTCTCGCCATGTTGCCCAGGCGGGTCTCAACTTCCTGGGCTCAAGCCATCCTCCCACCTCAGCCTCCTACCTCAGCCTCCCAAAGTGCTAAAATGACAGGTGTGTGCCACTGCACTGAGGCTATTTTTATCTTCAATATACATGTAAAGAAACAGGGGCTCAAGAGGTACCCAAGTGATGGGGCAGGAATTAGAATCCCATTTGTATGCCCGATGCCACCTGGAGAATTCCAGGGCACCGCATGGGAAACCCAGGGTGCTGTGCCAGCCGGGAGGTGGCCATGGCACCATTACCTCCGTATCTCTCAGACCCTGCTGCGGTTGGGCCACCCTGAGATCCAAGCACCCCAGTCAGACAGACCCTGCTGGACTTAGGCGGAAGAATCCAGCCATTCCCTCCTCCCCTGGTACGAAAGGCTGACCACTCCTGCAGAAAAGAACTCAGGTTTATTTGCAAGTAAAAACCATGGTCTGAAAAAAACCCATTGGCAAATGTACAGTTTGTGTCCATTTGGGGTTCCCGCCAGCTGGGGGGGCCCCCAGATCCCTGACCCACATGCATCGGGCTCCCACATGTTCACAGCTAATCTCAGGCCCCTGCAGTTTAGCCCCCTGCAGGGGACACCCCGTCTCCTGCTGAAAACCATCGGACTCCCAGGCTGCACCCAGCCCTCCAACCCTCCTGCCTTAGTGCAGTGCAAAAACCAAACCAAACACAAATCTCAAAACAAAGAAACACAAAACAAAAAAATTCACAAAAACCAGGGTTCTAAATTATTTTTTCTCAGTGTCCTTCGTGATCATGATGACTTATTTGTCAACAAACTAAAATATACATCATTTTCTTGCTATTATAAAATCTCTTATTATTCACAGATATATAACGGGAGATTTGGATGAAATAATTACAAACTTTTTTCCCCTTAAAAAACAAACAAGCCAAACAAAACACAAACAAAACAAAAACCCCAAAACCAAAACACAAGACCTTTCTGACGACAGTAAACACAGGGGCTGCTGGCTTCCTCCCCGCCATCCTCCGCGCCTGCTGGGCCGCAGGTCGCAAAGTGCTGGGTGTACCCCGACACGGAGGCCCCAGGGTGCTCTCTCCAAGGCTGACTCTTCGCTTCCCCTGCCCTGCCTCCACCTCCCCTCATTTCCCAAGCCTTTGTCGAGGGCCCCTCTCTCCCCCTGCCGCTCCCCATCCCCATGACTCCTCCCGCCTCTTCCCTACACCCCAGAGGCATACAGCCCAGAGGCCACAAGGCCAACCTCAGAAGGAGCCCCTAGGTCCCCAGCGCCACCCACAGCAGGGACCAGCTTCCCCCACACCCAGCCTGGGCCGGGCACCTCCCACAGGCTGTGCAGCTGGCCAGAGGGAGAAGGGGCTACAAGAAGCCCAGGTCTCAACAGAGGCTTTGGCAAGGAGCTGGGAGGGAGACACTGTTACCAGGTCTCATGCAACATCAGGGTAGAGAAACCAGGGTCTGGCTAACCCAGCCAGAAGTCGAAGGCCAGGAGTTGTGGCTGGGGGAGGTAATGGGGTAGAGCCACCCCCAAGAGCACTTATTTTGAGTCGCCCGAGGCCCAGTTTGTAGGCTGCAGGGGCCCTTGGAAGGAAGCCCTGCCAGGGGCTGGAACCAACCTCTCGTGCCAAGGCTGGGCAGACCCTCAGGGACCACCCTTCAGGAGAGCAGAGGGGCCTCCTGGAGAGGGACCTGGCAGGGATCTAGAGAGGGGAAATCCCTGTTTTCTTCCCTGCCCATTTCAGGGTTTTTACAAAAGATGTACTGATCTGGCAGCGCGGCCAGGCAGACACCTTCCCAGGACTCCAGAAAGGGCCTCTCAGAGAGAGGGCAGGAAACGGTACCGCTGACCGGGCAGCAGGGTTGGAATTTCATCATTCCAAAGGCCCCTCCCAAGAGAGGGGCCTGCCGTGTGGGGTCCGGGTGTGCCCCTGGCAAGGAGGGGAGTGGGGGAGTCAGGGAAGTCTTGGGAGCCAGAGTGGCTGCAGAGGGCGACCACAGTGCTCTCTCCTCCCGCGCCCTAGCACAGTGGGGCAAGTGGGCCCACAGTGAACAGCCTGGCTCTGGTCCCGTCTGCCTCCCGAGGTCTGACACCTCCCCCTGGGAGCAGCAGGAAAAGACAGGCAAGGCTGAGTCCAGGGGCTGAGCAGAGGGTGTGGGGGCAGGTCCCCTCCGATGTCCCTAGCCCTTCCTGGGACAGCATCTGCTGTTCAAACCTAGGCTCCTGAAGGCCATCTCAGTTGGACAGGGGCAGGCGATGGGCCTCTGGCCTCAGCCACTACCCAGAGCCTGGCTCGCAGCGCTGTCGGTGCCCCCTCCTCTGCGCTCTGGGTGGGGCTAGCCCAGGTTTCCTCTATGTACAATAGCATACCCAGTGATGGGTCGCCGAGGGCAGGCTGACAGTGAAACGGTTCGAGTTTAGGATTCTCAACACCCTCCCTATCCCTGTGGGCAGTGGAAGACTGGGAGGTTGGTATTTCCCCTCTGAGTCACAGAGGAGCTAGAGACAGACTTCAGGGCTGGAGTGACTCTCCCAAGAAAATCTGCGAGTCTTGTCCACGTTCCTGCCGTCACTGGATGCCCTCCTCTTCTACGTACGTTGAAGGAAACCAGCCAATCTGAAAAAGATGGTAAGATCGTGTCTGTGTGTGTGTGTGTGTGTGTAAGCAGGTGTGTGCATGTCTATGTTGGGGTGAGGGCAAGTAGAGGCTCATGAAGATGGGGGGCCCTTCGGAAGTCCAGAGTTCTCAGAAGGACCTGGTGGAACCATTGCCTGGGAGTAAGAGCAACCCAGAAAAACACCACCCTTGGCCAGTTTAAGATGATCTGCCCACCCTCCAGCTGCCAGTCAGAAAAAAAATAAACCCTCCTGAGGAAAAGAACATCACCCAGAACAACTACAGCTTTTTCTTAATACACAAGCTTGGCATTCAGTCAGGACCAAATGACAAAAACCAATAGAAAAAGCAGACAGTAGAAATCAACCCACAGGTATTGAGGTCATCTGTCAGGGGAGATTAATAACTCTAATTCATACGTTTAAGAAAACGGATGAAAAGGCAGACAATTTTACCAGAGAACCTAAATCGGAAATCAAATAGAAATCCTAGAACTGAAACATACGATGAATGAAATGAAGAATCCAATAGAGGGATTTAGACAAAGCAGAAGAGAAGACAAACTGTAAGACAGGTCACCAGAAAGTGACTAGATAGAAAACCAGAGAGAAAAAAGGATGAAAAACACATAAAATTGTGGAAATAATATGAGGCCATGGTAAAAAGTTCTAACATCCTTGTGAATGAAGTCCTACAAGGAGAAAAGAGAGAAAATGGAACAGACACACAGTCTGCAGATACTATGCTGGCTGAGAAATTTCCAAAAGTGATGGACATCAAGCCACAGGTTCAAAAAAATCTCTGCAAATCCTAAGCAGAATAAATAAAAAGAAAATCACACCTAGGCAGATTATAGTAAAATGAACTCAAAACTTCAAATGAACTTCAAAATGAACTCAAAACAACTCCTCACAAAAAGGAACTAGGTCTCCTTGGAAAAATGACTGATTCCTGGGGGACGATGAATAAGTACAGGAGAAAAGAAAGTTTTCCTTACAGTAGAATGCCAACTAATATCTATAGATAGTCAAAAAATCACTATTTTTCAGCCATAATAGAAATAATAGAATAGATAAAATTCATCAAGGGAAGATAAAACTAGTACATGAAAGTTTGAAGAGAAACAGGATATTTACCTAACCTCAAAGTATTACCCTGCAAATTACTTGCTAATTACAGTCAACAGTAACTTCACAGTAGAACATAGCAAATATAATCTTAAACACATGATCAAAGTTAATGTCACAAATAATGAGACAAACTGGCATAATTCATGTCCTAACAGGACACTACGGCACTGAGAAAGTGCCAACGTCCCCATTGTGGTGTTCCCAATGGAACCTCAATCTAATCATGAAGAAACATCAGACAAACCTAAATTGAGAGATATCCTATAAAAATAGCTGGCTCAAACTCTTCAAAAGTGTAAAAGTCATGTAAGGCAGAGAAAGACTGAGGAATATTCCAGATTAAAGAGAGTTAAGGATCACAGCAAGTCAATGCAATTCATGATCCTGGACTGGATCCAGGACCAGGAGAGAAGAGCTAGAGAAGACATGATTGGGATGACTGGTAAGATTTGAATATGGACAGTGGATTAGATAATTGTATTATATCAAAGGGGAATGTCCTTGGTCTTAGGAAATACTTAGGGGTAAAGAAATATGATTTCTGCAATTTACTCTCAAGTGAGTTAGAGAGAAATAGACAAACACACACACACACAGTGCAAATGATAAAGCAAATGGGGCAAAACATTCACAATTGGTAAATCTGGGCAGGTTACTGACACTTTTAAGTTGAAATTTTGAAATTGTACGTTTGAAATTTTGTTTCAAAATTATGTTACAAACATTTTACAATGTGAATATTTAAAAAGAAAGTGAAATAAGGATGGTTTTAGATTCAAAAGAAACTGAGAATTCATTAATAGCAGATATGCTTTAAAAAATATGAAAGAGAAGGGATGTCAGGCAGCAGGAAATGGTGTTGGGTGGAAATACAATAATGCAGGAGGAAATGGGGAGCCCTGGGAAAGGTAAACACGGGGTAAATCTAAATAAGCACAACAGCCTAAAACAAAAACAATGTCAAATGGTATTTCTAGTTCTAGATCCCTGAGGAATTCCCACACTGTCTTCCACAATGGTTGAACTAGTTTACAGTCCCATCAACAGTGTAAAAGTGTTCCTCTTTCTCCACATCCTCTCCAATGTATGTTTATTGCAGCACTACTCACAACAGCAAAGACTTGGAACGAACCCAAATGTCCAACAATGATAGAATGGATTAAGAAAATGTGGCACATATACACCACGGAATACTATGCAGCCATAAAAAATGATGAGTTCATGTCCTTTGTAGGGACATGGATGAAGCTGGAAACCATCATTCTCAGCAAACTATCACAAGGACAAAAAACCAAACACCGCATGTTCTCTCTCATAGGTGGGAACTGAACAATGAGAACACTTGGACACAGGAAGGGGAACATCACACTGGAGGGGGAGGGGGAGGGATAGCATTAGGAGACATACCTAATGTAAATTAGGTTAGTTAATGGGTGCAGCACACCAACATGGCACATGTATACATATGTAACAAACCTGCACATTGTGCACATGTACCCTAGAACTTAAAGTATAAATAAATATATATATATATATATATATATATATCCCAAAAACAAAAAAACAAAAACAATGTCTTCTAAGGTTTGAATATATATAGAATTAAGATACATGAGAACGCTTGCACAAAAGTTGGGAGGAAAATGGATGCAATCAAAAGTCGCAAGGTCCTTCCTTGCATTGTCTGGGAAATAGTAAAAAAGTACTCATTTAAGGTAACCTCTAGTCTAAGGTTACCACTTAAGAAAAAAAGTGTGTAACTAACAAACCAATGTAGGGCAGGGGAAGTAGAATTAAAAATATATTGATTAATTCAAAAGTAGGCAGGAAAGAAGAAAAAAGGAGTAGATGTGACAACTAGAAAATAAAGTTAGATAATTTAAACCCAAACAGCTCAGTAATTACATTAAATGTAAATGGGCTATATATGCCTATTAAAAGCCAAAGACTGTCAGACCAGACTGGCTTCCCCAACTATTTATAAGAAATCCATTTTAAATATAAGGAAATAGAAAAGTTTAAGTAGTATGAGAGAAAATAATATGCCACACAAAGCAGTAATCCCAAGAAAGCTGGTGTCACAAAAGCAGATCAAGGAGACTACAGCAAGAATAAATGCCAGAGAAAAGAAAAGACGTTTCATAATGGTAACAGGGTCAAATTGACAGGAATTATCCAGTAATACTCAAACTAGTTGTTCTAAAACTTAATGCTGTATAGAAAATACCTGGATCTGGGAAAGAGCCCAGGTATGTGCTTATTAAATTACAGCTTCAGGCACTTTTAATGCCAATCACACAAGGACCACTTTGAGAACCAGTGGTCCCAGCCCCCTAGGTGGGCTACCTAAGCCTCAGTAGCCTTGACACTTCTATAGGGCAGTTGGGTAAAAAATGGGTCAGACTTGAGGGCCTCCAAGGGGCAGACTGATAGGTGAAGGCAGAGCTGCTCCGGCCACTGGACAATGGAAGGGTCAGCACTGGGAGCCAAGGTTAACTGGCCCTCTGAAGCCCCATCCACCTGCCCTGTGCAGCTTGCAGCTCACAGAGAAAGCTGGGCATTTTCTAATTGGTGGCACAGGGAGCTCTGGTGCTTGGATGGATAGGTACTGAGAGACATGGGTCAAAGCTAGAGGTCCAGATGGGGTGTTGGGATGAAGAGGCCACAGACATATGCAGAATCTTAGGGTGGCCAGGGCACTCTTAGGCCCACCTGGCACTTGGGAAAGTGTGAAGGGATTGGGGACACACTGTGTCCCTACTGCCTCACCAGGGCATAGATAGGGCCTTAGAAAATGGCAGGAGGAGCCCAGCAAGGACACCGTGTCCTCCTCAGTCCTGTGACCTCCCTTCCCGCAAACAGAGCTTGGGGACTTGCAAGTAATTTGGCGAGTGCAGCTATGAGGGCAGCCCAGAATAAAAATGGAACAGGGTCGGGGGGTTCCTAGGAGCCTGGATCCGCATCAGACCTCTGTAGCCGATTTCTGGCTGTGTGACCTTGGGTTCGTGGTAAACATCTGGAGCCTCGGTTTCCCCCTGTGAATGCCAACCTTCTGGGCTGCTGTGAGGATGAGGGAGATTGCAGAGGGTGTCTGGAACAGGGCCTGGGGTGTGGACATAGGTGTGGTGCTAGTCTGCCTGAGCCCGACCAGGTAGGGGCTGCAGCGAGGCCAGCCCCACACCCTCAGGGTGGGGCCACTCACCCGTCCGTTGGTCTCGCCCTTCCACCAGCCCTGGTCTCCGCCGATGCGGCTGTAGATCCTCACCACGTCACCCTCCCGCAGCGAAAGCTCCCTCATATCTCGGGCGGCAAAGTTATACCTGGCCACAGCTGTGCCGATGACGCGGGGCGTGAACACTGTTGAGGGAGATGGGCAGCATCACACAGCTGCAGGAGGAGCCCAACCAGTGATCCAGGAGGCCCTTGGGCCAAGCTGGGTCTCTCCCCTGGTGCCCAGAACCCTGCTCTGTACCCAGAGAGGAAGGATGTCAAGCAGAAAGGCTCTGGAGGGACACACTGGCCTCCAATCCCAGGGCCCCTTGCCCTCTGGGTCTGGGGACACAGCACATCCAAGTCCCTGCAATGAGGATGTTCTTAGGGACAAGAGCAGGTGCCCAGGCTTTGACCATCATCATTCCAGTGGTCCCCCAAATCCAACCAGAAACCCAGTGGAACCAGCTTGGCCCAGATGCAGAATCCTGATAGACAGGTGACAATGACCATGGCTGAGGGCGAAACACACACAGCTGCTGGGAAGGGACTTTGACTCTGGCAGCCGAAAGCCATGAGGTCAAGGCTGACTGAAAACCCCTCCTCCCTGCACCCAAGTCCCACAGCTCCTCCTCGTGGCCACCTGCTTTCTGCTACCAGAGGCAAAGCTCTTGATGAACAAGGAGGAATGACAGTGGACGGGGCTGGGAAAGTGGCCATCAGGGTGGGCGTGTCCACAGGGGGTGGGTGGTGACAATGGCAGGGCCAAGCCTGACGTGTCCTCAGGTGCTCGCAGCAGCCTCTGCCCGGCCTCCCCAGCCCCTTTCTCCCCTCCACCCAGTGCCAGACTGCGGACAACTGTGGCCACGTCAGGCAGGGCTGTGGGGCCAGTGGGCAGCTCCGTGCTGGGTCTCCCAAGGCAGCTGCCACAGGCCCGGTCCCCCCACGCCCTGGGGAGCAGCGGTACCTGACCAGAAGGGAGCGGAGGGGCCCTGAGAAGCAAAGCTGAGGCCCTGAGGACTGAGAAAAGAAAAGTTGTAGGAAGCACAGGAAGCTGCAAAGAGGCGAGAGAGAACGTGAGGCGGGCAGCAGGGCATCCACGCACAGTCACGGTGGGCACAGCTACAGGCCGGGGGGCATGGGGTGGGGCAGGCCCTTTGGCAGGAGAGGCCCTACAGGGGGGCAAAGGAGGCAGGGGGCAGCACGGGTTGTCAAGCCCCACCCAGGCACAGGTGCCACTCGGCCACACCTGAGCTACCCTGGAACCACTCTATGCACCCGTGTACTCGAGAGCAAATTGGGACCACCTCCTCTCATGCCCTCGCCTGGCACATAGCAGGTGCTCACTAAGGCCAGCTGTTCCTCTCCTGTCCAGCTCGGCCTGTGTGAGACCCATGGCCCTGCAGGACCCTGCAGGCTGGAGGACGTGGGGTGACTCTGGAGAGAGTCCTGAGCGGGAAGCCGCATGCTCGGGGCCTGCCCCTGCCCCTGATTCCGTGTGGCCTTCCCTGTTCTGAGCTGTGGAGTCCAACCTGCAAACAGGCTGCCTCTCACAGAGGAGGCCCAGGGGCTGGGCACAGGGAGGGATCTGGGAACAGGTGGGCCTGCCCTTTTCTCTCCCACCTGTGACAGCTCCATGCGCAGGGGTCTCTGCCTGGACCTGGCCCCTCCAACCCCCACTGGTCTCTGGGTGAAGAAGCCAAGACACAGAGTAGCAATTCTGAGCAGGTGCAGAGTCCCCGCCTGTCACATGGCCCAGGAGATGCCACATGACAGCATCTGCGATGGCTGGGGGAGGGGCGGGGGCTGTGTTCCCCAGGGTGGGACTCCTGGTCTGGGTCTGTGAGGGCAGGATCTGAGCCCTGGGAAGTGGGCCAGGGCAGACCCCTCCGAGGAGTGCTGGTGTGCCGGCTGGGCCGGGGCGTTACCTGGGGACCGGCTGGAGGCCCTGGAGGCCGAACGTTCCCGGGACTTGTAGGGGTACTTGAGTGTGGTGTCCAGCTGCTTGAAGCTCTCCTTCAGTGAGTGGCACTGGTAGTACTCCACCAACTCCTGCAGGGCGTACACACTCACTGACAGCTGCTGCCACCTCCAGGAAGTCCTCCCCCAGTGACCTGGCCTCCCTCTCCCACCTCTTGGTTCATGTGGGGGAGACTAGCTTCCTGGACTCCTCAGAACTCCCCACATCCCGCCAGCCCATGGTGGGTGGTCAGTACCTCGAAGGTACCAGCAACTCCCCCAAATGTTTCTAGAAAAAATAATCTGCAAAAGATGCCAAGACTGACCAGCACGGACACTGACTGCAACAGCCTTTATAAAGGAAAGAATGGAAACACTCTGTACCCAGCACTTGGGGTAAGCTTCTAGAAATAACAGGATCTCCAAGTGACAGAGAGCCATGCGGCCATCAGCCAGGGGAAGATTCATTAATGGTGAATGTTTGTGGCCTTGAAAAGTCGCCTAAAAATCAGCTGGGGCATTGCCAGCATTATTATTTATATAATAGAAACCAGACCCAAGCTGTGTGTAGAGAGGTCCTGAGGACTCACTGAGATGCCAACGCTGGTTTCCGCTTTTGTTTTTTTGGAGGTGGGGATGGGATTATGGATTTTCTTTTTTTTTTTTTTTTTTTGAGACAGAGTCTTACTCTGTCACCCAGGCTGGAGTGCAAGGGCGCAATCTCGGCTCACTGCAATCTCCGCCTCCTGGGTACAAACAATTCTCGTGCCTCAGCCTCCCAAGTAGGGGGGACTACAGGCGTGTGCCACCATGCCCGGCTAATTTTTGTATTTTTTGTAGACATGGGGTTTTGCCATGTTGGCCAGGCTGGTCTCGAACTCCTGACCTCAAGTGATTCACCCACCTCGGCCTCCCAGAGTGCTGGGATTACAGGCATGAGCCACTACGCTCAGCCCGAGATTATGGATTTCTGCTTGACCTTGTGCTTTTCTGTGGCCATAGCGGGGAAGCTAAGAGCCTGGGGGCTCTAATCAGGAGTTCTCAATATATACAACTTTTGTAATTAAGAAAAGAAAATGTAGGCATAACTTTAAAATCATTTCAAGGACTATGCCTCTAACTGCATTCTGGCTGGGACAGAGGGTGGGGGTGAGTCGGAGAAGAAGCTGTTTGAAGCCATACATGTGTAATGGGGCTACCCGGCCAGGCCCCAGCTGGAAGCCCCACTGGGCGTCAGTTTCTGCTCTCGCAGGAGGATGGGCATGAGAGGAATCTGGGGCTGCTGGTGGCCTGGGCTGCCCCTACCCCACCCCTGCACTGTTTACCAGGGTCAACCACCTTGCTCAGGCTTTGGGGGTCAGAAGTCCCAATTCAGGAGGCTGGGACATAGCTCTAGCTGTCCTAGTGCCTTAAAAACCAATTCCCTAAATCTTGGCCACACTGGGAAGAATCAATCCTCACAGAAAACATGGCCACTCGCTCAGGGCCGGGAGGAAGCACCTGTCCCCTGTGGCTGGGGTGGGAGCCGGCCGGAGCCAGAAGTCACCTACCAGGAGGCTGTCGAATTTCTTGGCCTCTGTGATGTGGATCCAGTTGTCCTTCTCCACCACCTTGATGTGCTTCACCTCATCATTGAACCTGAGCAAACACACGGCCCCGGCGGTCACCGCGTGAGGGCCACACGGCCCCGGCCCCCTTGGCAGCCAGGCTCATTCTGTGTTTGCTGCAGCAAAGCCCCTCGTCCCTGGCCCCCAGGGCCACTCCCTGTCAGCCCTGTCCTACCCCAGCCCTTCGGGCCACCAGCCCCAGACAGCTCCTGCCACCTGCCTGCCTGCCCTCCTTGCTCGTTTGGGGCCCGGAACCCCTGGCTGCTCAGCTCCCCGCCTCTCCTGGCCTCTAGCCCTGCTGAGGCCTCCTGTCCTGGGCTTCTGCTCATTTGCTTTTCAGTACCAGGAGCCTCTCCTCCTCCCTGTGGAGCAGCCGGGCCCAGCCCTGACATCTCCTGACATCCTTCCCTGCATGTCCACTTGGCCGGCCAGGCCTCGGGCCTGCTCCTCAGAGGTGCCGAGCGCAAGCCTGTCTGGGCCTCGGCACCGGCTGCTGCCCCTGCCAGACACTAACCTCCTTCTGTCCTCAAGGCCCCCTTATGTCCTCACGTCTCAATTCAAATGTGACCTTACAGAGGAGCCCCCATATCCCTCCCCTGAATGCCACCCACCCCCTTGCCAGACACAGACATCACAAGAAAACTACAGCCCAATGTCCCTAATGACTATGGATGCAGAAATCCTTAGCAAGCAGCTGGCAGACCAAATCTCTCTCCCATACAGTCAGGCGGCGTTTAACCAGGGAGACCTGTCCTGAGAGATGCAGGCAGGTGCTTCCATCACTGTACGAACGCCACGGAGTGCATTTATATAAGTCTGGATGGCATTGCCTACTGCACACCCCACACCTAGGCTGGACAGCAGAGCCTACTGCACACCCCACATGTAGGCTGGACGGCAGAGCCTACCACACACCCTATACCTAAGCTGAATGATGGAGCCTACTGCACGCCCCACAACTAGGCTGGACGGCAGAGCCTACTGCACACCCCACACCTAGGCTGGACGGCAGAGCCTACTGCACACCCCACACCTAGGCTGGACGGCAGAGCCTACTGCACACCCCACAGCTAGGCTGGACGGCAGAGCCTACTGCACACCCCACACCTAGGCTGGACAGCAGAGCCTACTGCACACCCCACACCTAGGCTGGACGGCAGAGCCTACTGCACACCCCACACCTAGGCTGGACGGCAAAGCCTATTGCTCCCGGGCTACAGACCTACTGAATACTGTAGGCAGTTGTAACATGAGGTCAGCCTAGAAAAGGTATGGTAAAAACACAGTAGAAAAGATAAAAAACAGGACAGCTGTATGGGGTGCTTATCATGACTGGAGCTTGCAGGACTGGAAGTTGCTCTGGGTGAGCTGGAGAGTGGTGAGTAAATGTGAAGGCCTAGGACATTGCTGTGCACCACTGTAGACTTTATCAACGCTGGACACTGAGGCTACACTACATTTATTTTTAAAACATTCTTTCTTCAATCGTAAATTAACTTTATAAACTTCTTAATTTTTGTTAACTTTTTGAAGCTTGGGTAATAATACTTAGCTTAAAACACAAACATATTACACAGCTGTACAAAGATATTTTATTCTTTGTATCCTTATTCTATAAGCTTTCCTGTTTTTTTTCTTTGTTGTTGTTGTTTTTACTCCTAAGACAACAATGCCTTCTTCTAGAATGTCTCCTGAAGGACGTGCCTGAGGCTGTTTTACAATTAAGTATTTTTTTGCTGAGTAGAAGGAGTATGCTCTAAAATAAAAAGCACTGTATAGTGAATCCATAAACCAGTAACACATTCATGTATTACGATGATCACATACTATGTATGTGCAGAATTGTTTGTCCTATGCTTCTATATGACTGGCAGCACTGTAGGTTTGTTTACACCAGCATAACCACACTCACATGAGTAATGGGCTGCGCTATGATGTCACCAGGCCATGGGAACATTTCAGCTCCATTATAATCTTACGGGACCACCACCACATATGGGGTCCCTCACAGACTGGAATGTCATTATGTGGCCGATGACTGTATTTATCTACATAAACCAGACACATAGCAAGGACTCCACACCACAACCCAGTGGGACATTCCAGGAATGCAAGGTTGGTTTAACATCTGGAAATCAGCTAATGTAATAAACAGTCATTAAACAAATGGTGGCCTGGCTGCCTGGTCCTCTGTGAGGCCTTCATACAGCACCCATCTTGTTTCTCCCTGGATTTAATGTGCACCATGAGTGTGTGCGCCCTACCCCCAGCTCCTGGTCGGCAAGGCCCATCTTAGCCTCCTGCAGGCCAGGCACACAGAAGGCTTTCTGAGAATTTCTTTCAGGTGGGCAATGTCCCACCAGCTCAGTGCTTGGTGGGCTCCAGCCCATCAGGGTCGGTCTCCTGGAGAGTTAACTGCAGCCCCACAAGGAGGCGGCTCCCAGGGAGAGGGCATAGGGCAGGAGGATGCCCAGACTGTGCCAAAGCCGCAAGGCAGCAGTAGTCACAGGAGACACCCTCCTAGGCCCCTGGCTGCCTCAGAGCAGCACGACAGGTCCACTCTCTCAACCTGTGGGGCTGCTGGGAAATCCCTGAGCTCACACAGGATCTCACCCACCCACTTGTACCTGAGCTTATCTGGTTCCCATGACCCAGAAATGTCCAACCCAGCCCACAGGGCAGCCAGGAGTGATGTAAGCATGGACCATCTGTGCATGCCAGGGGTTCAGGCCCTGCCCAGCACACCTGTAGAGACCCCCTGACCCCTCAGCACCGCTTTCATCTCAATAATGTCCTCACTTGGCAACAGATGACATGTCCACCCCAACCCCACGAGCTCAGGACGTGGAGAGGATGGTGCTCTCCACTTCAGAACGGCATTGGGGGATGGGTCTCCTCGAGCCCAGAGCCGCCACTTACTTGATGCTTATTGCAAAGCGCTCAGCCTCGGCAGGCCGCTCCCTGATCAGGTAGGTCCCGCTGGCGTGGGACTTGAGCAGGTTGTCCGTCTGCTGCCTCTCCATGTTACCTGCAAACCTACAGGAGGGGGCCGGGAGGAAACGAGAGCCGCAGTGAGGACAGTGTCTGAGGGGTGCCCAGCCCTCCGTGCGTGGCAGGCCACATGAAGTACTCTGCAGTCCTCATCTGAGAGCTCATCTCCTAATGAACCCAAGAGAACAGGCTGGGTCCCTATGAGCGGGGCACCACTGTGGATGGGGTCTGGCATCTGACCCTTCCTACAGTGGGATACAGTGAGGCTCAGGACAGATCTTGAGAGGGGTTAAATAGAGGGGTGACTGTGGCCACCAGCCAGTCCCACATGCTGTCTTCTGCTCTACAGACCCCAAGGGCCTGCCAGAGGAGTTCAGCGTATTCAGTAGATCCAATTTCTTTCCTAAAATATATTTTCACTATTTCAAAAGCAGTAAAGGCATAACTGCTTATGTGGATTTTTTTGGTAACACATTGGAGATTGCCAACATCCATGTCAGTTGAATTTTGAACAGATTTTGAAACGAAGCTCTTCCTGCCACCTGTACTGCAATGAAGCCCACCCTGAGAGGGCAAGGCAAGCTCTCTCCCAAAATCTGCTGCCACACTGTCAGGACAGTTGGGACTTCTGTGATTTCAAACAGCCTCACTGTTCCCACCAAGCAACTGTATTGTCAGTAAGTGGATTACACCTGTGACCTCAAATATACCACTTTTATATAGTGCAGATAAAATTCAAAAAGGGTTTAATTCCCTGAAATATCTGAGCCAGTTGAGCTGTTTTAGAGAGGGTTAACAGCTGCCTACAGGAGAAGGACTCCCCCAGGCTCCTGGAGAGTTATAGGCCAGGAGGGAGAAGGCATTTGGGAGCCACTGGGCTCAGTGCCCTGGAGATGGCAACAGGCAGCCTGGGGCCTCCACCCTGCTGGGCCGCTCACAGGCACCACCCAGACCCGGCGGGCATGCCCCCATAACAAAGAGGCCACCAGATGCCCATGTCTGCAGCCCACGATCCACTCACCAGGGGTATGCAGTGTAGTCGATCTCCCGGGATGGCGGCCGGCTGATGGGCGGCTGGTGGCAGAGCACAAGAGTGTTAACGGCCCCCCAGGGCCACTCACAGAGCAGGGCTCAGAGGGGGTCATTGTCAGTGACTGCCCTGTCCCCACATTGGCTGCCCTGGAGGGGACTGTCTGTGGACTTAGCCCCAGCGCCCCTGGCCTGGGAGGTGCCCAAGGGTCGTGGCCAGGACAACCTCATCTCTGAGTAGATGCCCCGTGGGTCTGATGGAACAGATGTCGGCATAGCCACCAGCTAACACTGACTTGATCCCCTGGGACAGCAAGGACCGAAGGTGCGGGAAGTTTTCAGCCAGTGGATGTGAGACACCCACAGCCAAGCTCCCTGCTCCAGAGGTCTGGAAACCCCGGGGTGGGGGTCTGGTGGTGGCCACACTCAGGCAGGTGCTGCCGCTCCAGTGAGCAGGTAGGGCTCCCTCCCTGGCTACAGCCCCCCACCCTGGCCTCACTGGGCCACAGGCTGGGCACAGCCTCAGAGACTACCTCTTCCCTCGCACCCTATTCACCATGCAGATGGGGAAACTGAGGCCTGGGGAAGGGAAGGAACCTGCCCCAGGCCACCTAGTGAGTTTGTGACCCTTGTCCTCCCCTGCCGCCTGGTCCCCTTGGTCACGCAAAGTGCCCTAAGTGCTGAGCACCTGCCCTTTCAGCAGAGGTAGCACACAGGCGGACGGGACTGGGGCTGGGGTCGGGGAGCACCGGGGCTGCCGCAGTGGGGTTGGGAACCCACCCCTGCACCTTCAGAGGTTCCACGCTCTCACTCTGAGCTGTCCTTTCGGGGTGGAGGTGGGGTAACTCATTTACTCAAGGCTGCCTGCTGCCTTTCATCACAGAGCCGAGAATTCGCTCCATATCCCTCAGATGAAAGAAATACCATATTGCCTCTGTTTTAAATAGCATAAAGTCTAGCTTTGAATCCTTATGTTTGAGGGGAGCCTTTTTTTCTCTCTAAGGCTGCGCAATAGTCCAAGAGATCTTATAGAGTCCCCGAAATCTGGTGAAAGGCAGCTGGCTGGTCTTCACCCCATTACAGCTGCTGCAGAAATGCCTGTTTTGGTGTTTCTAAAACCACAACGAAACGACACCCGATCGGCTGAGCCCTTTAAACAGAGGAGAGCGTGCTGCCCCACAGCCCCCCACCCATCTTCTCTCTGGGCTCCAGCTCCAGGAAGCAGCTCACAGCAGCCTAAATTTAGCAAGGATGTCCTGAACAAGCCAAAAATGTCCACGTGAGGAGGCAGCTCCCAGAACCCTCAGCACCCAGGCCACCGTGCTCCAGAAGCTTCTGTGGGAAAGGACTCACCCTTCCATCCACAGGGCAGGGCTTCACAGATGAGCTGGGGAAATACCCTGACTTCCTGGTTTGTACCAGACGACCCTGGCAGAGGAAAGAGATGGTTAGGACAAGGGGGCCGAGCCTGGCCTATGGGAGTGTGGGGCCATTTAGACGGACTCAGCGTATGCCAATCCCGCTCCTGGAGGGTGGGAGAGCCAATGTCTTCTTTCCCAACCTCAGCTGACCCGGCAGCCAGTTAGGGCAGGGAGGTGCAGGGCCTCCCACCCTAGACATGAGAGCACTAAGGCCTGGCACAGCACCAAAGCACCTCCACAAGGCCCCCCCAAGAAGCTGGCAGCCCTGGTCATACCCGGGGAGGGACAGAGCAGGACTGATACTCTGCACAGCTCAGATGGCCTTTTGCACCCTCTGAACCTCCTGTTACATGAATGTAGGGTCTGGTACAAGAAATCCATCACCGAGTATGGACTGATAATGACCATGACAAAATGACCACAGCATCATTGTAACCTGAACATTAACAAACATTCGGCTCTAATGTCAGCTCCCGCGGGAAGCTACCTTGCTGGGCTAAGTGCCCTCGAGGCCCCGTGGCGCTCTGCTGACCTGTGGGTCTTGGGGCTCCCTTGAGCACTGGGGCTTGGTAGAGGGGCCGAGGACTGGGGGTCTGAGTCCTTGGCTCAGACGCCCGGGTGCCAGCATGCTCAACGACATGGGGTCTCAGCGTGTCAAGAGAAGGGCAAATGTGCCCAGAACCCTTTACAGCCCAGCCATCTGCTGAAGGTGGGGATGAACGCCCACAAAGGTCCCCGGGATGAACGCCCACAAAGGTCCCCACTCTGTGGGCCTTGGAAACAGAGCAGCACATTCCTGGCTCAGAACCATAAACGACATCACGATGACAACATCTGTGCCCACCTGGGGAAGGAGCGAACCTGCCCGCTCACCCCACGATCATGCGAAGGTTGCTGGCCTGAACTGAGGTAGGGGTGGGGAGGAGGGTGGGCATGGCATGGCCAGGGCAGAAGCCTGAGGGCCTATGAGACACAACAGAGGCAGGAAGGACAGAGGACAATGGAGAAAGGCCTTGGGTGCCAGGGCAGGAGGGCCTCTCCTGGGAAGGGACGCTGCATCGCCTACCATGTCAAAGCAAACACCCGGGGAGCCCAAGCTAAGGTTCCCAAGAACACATGCCATGGCGCAGAACGGGGCACTGAGGCAGGAGAGGCCTTGCTAGGCCCCCTGTGCCTCCTCCTCCCTGGTGGTCTCTCACCTCTCTGCCTCTGCCTGGGGATGTGCAGGACTTTATGCTTCTGCCCCAGGGAGCAGGGAGGAGCTGGAGCCGGGGACCCTCGACCCTCCCGGGCCCCAGGACCCACCTCCCACCACGGAGACTCAGGGTCGCCCCTCAGCAGCTCAAGCACGTCGCCCGTCTGGAAGGTCAGCACAGGCTTCCCGGGAGGGGCTGGGTTGCCATGGTAATTCTGCATGGCCACCATCTTGGGACCTGCAAAGGATAGGACAGCTCACTCAGTGACTCAGCAGCTCACTCGGTGACTGACTTGGCCCCGGCCCGCAGCCCACCCCATCACCAAGCTCGGCCTCCCCCAGCACACACAGCCTTGCGCCTGCATCTCCCTTCCCTAAATCCTTCCCATAAGCCTCATGTCTTTTTGATAAATATCATAATTATTTATGCAATAGACAGATTCAGGGGTCATCATGGAACAGCAACTTATTTTCAGATGGCACTTTGTGTTTTCTTCCAAACACCCTTCAGATCTGTGGCCCACAGGCAGCTGTGCGGGGCAGAAGACGGGGGATCCCTCGTGTCAGAGACGGGCGACGGGTCAGCAGGCCCAGCAGCTTGCCCAAGGCCACAGAGCTCACAGAGGTGCTCTGGGCCTGAAATGGGGGTCCTGGCTGTGCCTCCAGGGAATGTGGAGGCTGCTCTTAGACAAGCCTTGCTCTGACCCAGCCCTGCCTGTAGCTCTCAAGGAGCCCATGGCTCTCCCAGCCCAGCTCCCGCCTGGCCCAGCAGCAGCAGCAGCATTTTTCATCTTTTGTCCTCTGCCGATGAGGGTGAGGCTGTACTGAGCACTGCCTGGACTGCACTCAAGTTTGCAGAGAACACGATGCTTTTTACGCTGTGTCTAGAAGCACGTTTCCATTAAGCAACCCGCAGCAAGGCAGGAAGGGGATGGAGAACGTGGTGGGAGAACAGCAGCGCCTTTTGATCTCAGGTCTCTGGCTGCAGTTCGGTGGCCCTCCCTGGCTAGAAGGCCCTTGCTCCTCTGCAGGCTGGGTCCTGTCCCTACAGCCTGGTGCTGCCTTATCAGAAACAGAGCCACCTCCCAAGGAGGTGCCATAGAGGCCAGAGAGGCAAGAGGGAGGGGGCCCAGATGGCAGCATCCAGGAGCCTGGAGCGTCTGGTGGCTGGGCAGACCTGGCCATCACCACACCTAGGCCCTGGCTCAGCTCCCAGGTGATGGCTGACATGGGTGATAGCAGAGGGCCCAGGTCCAGAAGACTCACCTGGTCCCGCTCCGGAGGCGTCCTGTGAGGACAAGGACAGAACACAGAGATGAGGGAAGGCTGCTCTTTGACTGTGGCCCATGCATCAACGCACCCCGCCCTCCCTGTCCCCACTAGTTCCTAGATAGAGGGGTCAAGGCAGGAGCAGGGGAGGAGAGGGACACTGTTCCCTATGGGACGCCCCCACCCTGGCAATATATTTCACCTCTGTGCACCTCCACTCCTGGAAGGTCTGTGCCCTTCTCTCTCCCACTCCTTACCACGGGCCCCCACCTCCTCCAGGAAGCCTGCCCTGACCACCTGCTCTGAGCCTGGGCTTTGTGGTGTCCATCTGGGACACACAGTGCCAAATACGACTAAGTTTCCATCCTCCATGGAGGCTGGTTCATGTGGACCCCATAGCTCGAGGGGCACACGAAGCCCCTGGAAGTGACTCCATCCCCACATCAGCTAAACAGAGGGCTCTGAGCCAACTGGGGGACTCGGGGGCAGGAGGGCTGGTGCAGGTCCCAGAGCTGTACCCATAGCCGCGAGCAGCCACTGGGCAAGGGAATGAGGCGGGCAGCTGGGATCGGAAGACACCGCTGGGGCCCCTAGGAGGACTCTAATGACACCCACCAAGGAAAGCAGAGGCATCTTGTGACCAAAAGTGGCTCATCCAAGCCGGTGTGGCCCCATGAGTGGTGAAAGGCAGACAATTGGGTCTTTCTGGCTCTGCGCACACAGGGATGTGGCGGGGGTGGGGCAGAGGGAGGGGAAACACTCTGGGGACTTACCAGATCTGCAGGAGAAGCTGGAAAGGAAGCAGGTCAGGTGTTAGAGGGGAGGCCACCGACGCCAAGGCCCCGTGCAGCTCTCACTCACACCGCCCCGAGCCTCTGGGCCGAGCTTAAGATGGTAAGTGAGCCAAGCTACAAAGTGGTCTGTTTTGGACATGGATCATGGACACACAGGTCCGAGCTCATGGCTGTGAAAGCCTCTCAGTTACTTCTGGCAGCAAATTCTGAGCTCTGGCTTTAGGGGGCCCATGGGAGAACTTGGACTGGGTAATAGACCTGAGCTGGCAAAAAGGTTATCCCGCCTGGGCCACCTCTTTTGAATGGCGGCAGCTGCCTGGATCATGGGGTGGTACCTGGCACTCAAAGGGGAGATTTCCACAATCGCTTAGTGATGCCTGCTGGGGCACGTGATGAGGAAGCATTGGTATGCATGCTACCTGCCACAACCGCTTAGTGATGCCTGCTGGGGCAAGTGATGAGGAGGCATTGGTACGCATGCTACCTGCTTGCCATCCTCAGCTCAGACACCCAGGTGCCAACACGCTCAAGGACACAAGACCTTAGGTGCCAGGAGAGCCAATGTTCCCAAGGCCCTTTAGGGCCCAGCCATCTGCCAAGGTGGCTGCCACCTACCACCAGAGGAGGCAAGGAGGAAAAGGAGCCCAACAGCTCACACACATCGCTGACGTGACCTCCACACCACCCAGCACTCACAGTGCAGACAGCTCTGGGCAGACAGAGGTATCCACAGACACCACAGAACAGGTTCCAGCTCAGTGGGCAGGGGTCAGGGGTGGGGGGCAGCTGGACGGCAGCAATGACTGTGCCTGATGGGGGCTTCCCACAGGAAAGGCTCTCAGGAGAGGCCAGCATCTCTCCGGGACATCTCGGCCCCCATGGGCAGCAAACAGCTAAACCAGCCTCGGCAGAGCCCAGGGGTGAAGGCTACAATGGTCAAAGGAGCACTTTCCAGAGCCAAACCCCAGAGCAAAGGTAGAAGCCTGGATCAGAGGGAAGGCAGCTTGGACACTGTTAAGGGAAAAATGGCTACAAGTGGCAAGGACGGCGTCCCCCAGCAGAGGGATGAGGAGGGGGGCAAGGACACAGGCCCCTGGGGAGAATGGAGCTGGTGCCAGCCAGGGCGCTGCCAGGACATGGGAGAATGCAGACAGCAATGCTGGCTTCCAAAAGACCTGCAGTTCCAACTACACATACTAAGAAAAATTCAAAACCATACAGAGATGGGGTGGGCGGGTGTGCGCGTCTGCAGAAAGCAGGACAGTGCTTGGGGCCTCGTGGCAGCTGGCTTTGCCTGGGGATAGGAGGAGTAGTTTTTCTCTCCTCCTTTACACTTCTCTACATTTTCCAAATTTTCTACGGAAAATCAGTAATTAATAATCCGGCGGGGGCGGGGCGGGGGAGGAACAGAAAGATTACAAAAAAAGAAAACTTGGAAGGAAATATACCGAAACATTGCCTTTCATCATTTCTAGGTAAGTTCACGGGTGATACTTTCTTTAAAATTTCATTTCTTTTTTTTTCCTCCAAATTTTTGATAAGTAAACATTACCTTTAGAATCAGAGAAAGCAAAAAAAGATTCTAAGTAGCTGCAGCCATCGTCTGGGGACATGCGACCACGAGAGGGCAGTATTGATGGGCACAGCTGAAAAGCTGCGTTCAGGCCACAGGCTGCCTGCGGAATCCTCCAGCACTAACTCCAGGGGCTGCGGGATCCTGTGCACAGCTAGGGGGCTGCATTGGGCCTGTGATGGGGACAAGGGGGTCTGGGCTGACCTTCTGGCCCTCTCCCCAGGTTAGGGTACTGGGCTGGCACTCACAGTAAATGGTGAATTAACCATTGATCTAAAATCACAGCTCAAAATGTATTCTGGGCAATGGCGTCTCTGGGTGACAATCTCTGGGTGACAAGCTGGCCTGACTTGTTTTTCTGCCTTAAGACACCTTCAGGAGGCTCAAGGAGACAAGACCCAGAGACTCGGCCTGGGGCCACCGGGGGCTCTTTGTTGAATAGAAGCTCTGCTAATAAGTGTAGACAAATTGCTGAAAGTTTCAAGCCTCAGTTTCTGGGGCTGATGATGGAGGTGACATCCTGATGTCTGAAACCTCTCAGGAGAGAACTGTCTCAGGCTTTGCACTGCTGTCCAGCTGCCCTGAGCAGGGCACAACCCCAAAGGTATGCCCCCGACCCAAGGTGCTTCAGAGGAGCCTCCAGGGCGCATCCCTGCCTCTGCCCACTGCCAGCCTGGCTCAATCCTCTCCCCTCCCTGAGCCTCAAGCTTCCCTAAATGGGCATGAACAGAAGGGAACCACTGTAAGTGCCATGTGTGTATGCGTGCATGTGTGTGTGTGTCTGAACCATTTACTAACATGGCTATAGCTACTGATGGCCAGGCCTCACCCGCCGGGAGAACCCAGGGTGACCGGTGTTTCTGTGATGAGAAACCTCCATGCACCTGTTGAGAATGTTCTGTGCCGTGTTTGGGGGTGGAGATTCTAGAAGCTTCCTCCTGGAGTGGGGCAGGGGATGCAGGAGATGGGGAGGGGTCCTCAAGTACCCATTAGGAGAGAGGGCTTGGAATGGAATTCATCCCGGCTGTGTCTCCTGTTAAGTGTGTGACGTGCGGCAGGCGTCTGGTGTCTGCTCTGGGGCACGTGAGCACTGGTGCCCTCATCTGGTCGCTGCCCCGTGGGAGATGGTGCCCGAGGCCCGTACCCAGGTGGTAGGGGGCAGAAGTGAGCAGGCGTGGCCAGGGACTGGGGTGGGGGGGTGAGGGGGGTACTCACTGAACTTGCAGGGAGGTATCACTTCCAGGCACTCCTTGTGTGCCCCGACGCCACACTTGGTACACATGTATCCCTGGTAGAAGGTGCCCCTGCACAGGGGAGGGCAGGAGGTGAGGTCGAGGCTGGGGTCGGCTCCTCATGCCTCTCTGCCAAGGTCAAGGCCCTTGTCCCCACCCAGGCTCACCTGGCTGGCTGTCTCCCAGCACACACATCCCTCATAGCCCTGAGTATCCAGGACCCTCCCTTACCAGGCAGCCTGACACCTGCTTTCCCCTACCTCCACCAGCCTGCCTCCCTGCCCCACACAGCATCCCGGGCACCCAGGAACAATCACCTCCCGGCTAGATCTGAAACTCTAAGGGCTTGGCTGGGCCGTTTTTTTTTTTTTTTTTTTTGGAGACAGGGTCTCACTCTGTCACCCAGGCTGGAGTGCAGTGGCGACATCACAGCTCACTGGAGGCTCAATCTCCAGGACTTATTCAATTCTCCCACATCAGCCTCCCGAGTAGCTGGGGCCACAGGAGCAGGCCAACACGCCTGGCTGACTTTGGTATTTTTTGTACAGACAGAGTTTTGCCACGTTGCCAGGCTGGTCCTGAACTACTGGGCTCAAGCGATTCGCCTGCCTCAGCCTCCCAAAGTGCTGAGACTTGAGCCACCATGCCTGGCACGGGCCTGACTCTTGTGGGGTATACTCCCTTAACCCCTCAGGGCCTCCCACAGGGAACATGGGACAGATAGAACACTAAGCTCTCTCAGGGGCCTGGGCTGGGCGTGGAGCGAGGTGAGGGCTGTAGCAGGGGGTTTCCCACACCTGAGGAACATTTTGCAGGCTTTGCAGTTGGTGGTCTTGTCAAACGTGTACATCTGGAAACTGTGGTGGTTGGCATTGGCTTTGTCTGGCTTGATGTTTGACCTGGCAGGAGGGAAAGAGAGCAGATGCTACACCCACTGGATTCCCCGAGCCCCACCATGTGGCCATCCTGGGAACCAGCTGGGCTCCGGACCCAGGCTGTGCAGAATCCGAGAGGGCCTGGACTCCAAGCCTGGCTCTGCCCGCAACATGGGGCAGACTCAGGGCCCAGACTCCCTGCTCGTAGAAGGCAGGTCAGAGAAGAAGCTTTAACACTGCTGCACTGGCCTGAGAGAACCTTCCAGGTGGGGACGGTGGTCTAAGGTCCTGACTGGGCTTGGATGTGGGCAGGTGTGGGTATTTGTTAAAACTCAGAAAACATATACTTAAGATTTGTTTGCCTCATTGGATATAAGCTTGAAATTTCAGAAGCTAAACAAATATTGGGCCCCCTGAGGTACTCAGGGGGGCTGCACTGGTGTGCAATTCACTTTGACACAGACCCGCTGTTGGATGGCTGGGGTGGGGTGGGGTGACGCGGATGGCGGCAGCGTGGTGAGAAGACGGCTATTCACCATCACGTCGCTTCAGCTTCCATGAACGCTTGAACTTTTGCACAATAGGATGTTGGGGAGAAAATTACAGGCCATGGAAAGCGAGTGGCCGAAGAGAAGATGCCCCAGGCCTCCCCCACAGAGCCTGGGTGCAAACCAGCTGGCTGCATCTATTCTCACGAGCCAGGCCCTGGCCCTGCTGTGTCCAATGGTTCCCTTTCGATCCTCCCAAAAAGGCCAGAACACAGGCCTTCCCCTCTCCATTTCACCAGAAGAAACGGTCAGAGAGGCGAGTGCACCTGCCTGCAGGCCCCAGCTCACCTGCCCGCAGAGCTCAAGCACAGACAACCCTGCTGGCCCTCCAGGGTCCGTGTTCCGGGAACCCGTTCATCATCTTTCTCTGTTTCACATATCTAGGATATGAGTCCTCTTGGATCTCATGGAAAAATAGTTCTGTGGCTTCAAAAACAGGTGACAAGCCGCCAGCCCGTAAGACCCTGAAGACTGGGGTCACCAGGAATCCTCTGGCATCATGGCCACTCCCAGCCGGTCACTGCTCTGTGGGCCGGGCGTGCCAGGCTCAGCCTCAAGGGTGGGATGGCTCATTCCAGCAGGACAGCGGAGCCTGCCTGGGACAGGCTGTGGCAGAGGGAGAGCCCTCTCACTCTGGACTGATTGTTAAAGAGGATGTCACTGCTTGAGGCTGGCGTCCCAGGGGTGATGGAGGTTGTCTGTGTCCCTGACGTTCCAACTTTGCCTCCCACCGCCCCTGGTCTGAGAGGAACCACAGACACAATCCACCTGGGCTTCCACCCCCCATACAACTCATCTGCCAGGGACCTGGGGGCTGCCGCCCTGGAACTCACATGGCCATCTCAAACTGCTCCATCCACTTCCTCTTCATATCTTCTGTTTTGCAGAAAAACTGGAAGCCCTGCTTTCCTTGAAGGTGAATTAGGTAGAAGCCGTAGGACCACTGCAGGGGGGAGAGGGGCCATGCTTGCAATAGACACGGCTTCAGACATCCTGGCACATGTCCACGTGTACTCTCGCCTGTGCAGCATGTGCACGTGTGTATATGCATATGTGCACAGGTGCCTGTGCCTGTGTGAACACATGTTCTCACGTGTGTACCTGCTCTCTTGCCCATGCTGTACGTGCACACGTGCCTCTGTATGCATGCATGTATAGCTGTGTGCCCATACCCTCACGTGAGAATACATATGCGCTTGTGCCTTCACCTCTGCATGCATACTAGTGTGCTCCTGCGTGCATGGGTGTGCATCTGTGCCTGCACGCGTGTCTATGCGTGTGCACCTGTGCATGAGTGTGCCCAGTGCTCCTGTGAGCATGTGCACACACACACTTGTATCTGTCCCTGCAGGTACACACATGTACTAACACGTATGATGCACATGCACCCATGCTGTGTGAGCTCTCCTGTGGGTGCTCTCCTGTGTGTGCTCTCCTGTGGGTGCTCTCCTGTGGGTGCACACACACATGCCTGGGCAGGTCTGCACTCCTGCCTGCGCCCATGTGCGAGGATGCTCCACCGAGTGCATATGTAGATGCATGTTAAGCGGGGGCAGGATCCCAGGAAGGATGAGCGCAGGGCCCCACCCAGGGCCCCTCCACGAGGCCTGACCACCCACTTTCACTTCCTAAATGTGATGCTAAAAAAACCTCACTTCTCTGAAGTAGAACAGTAACAACAAAAAGGCAGGGAACAGCCATGGGCCTGGGGCACCCCCCGTGAAGCCATCCCCGACTGAGCAACCCACAACTGCCCCCTTCCCTGCCTCCCCTTCGGCCACCCCACAGGCCTCGCCATCTCTCCGAGCTCTCGGACAAAGGGCTTTCAAAGTGGTCCAGAAAAAAGAGTTTGGCAAATAGGAGCCTACTGGGTTAGAAAAGATGGCGGGAAAGAGGAACGAAGGGAGGGATGGAGAGGGGAAGCGTGGAGCGGGGATGGGAGGAGGAAAGAAACAAGGAAAGAGAGAGGAAAAGGGGAGAAAGAGGGAGGGAGGAGGGAGAGAACACAGAAAAACAAAAAGGATGATGGAGAGCTGAAGAGAGACCAAGAAACCCCAGCCTCTGACCCCGAGCTCCAGGGACTGAGGATCACGGAGTTTTCCTTTCACACTGTCTTAGCGGGCAAGCCTTTCATCATGAATACAAATCATTTCATCATCGGGAAAGGGAGTGGAGGACGAAGGACCAAGAAAACCCTGAGCCCAGCCCCTCAGGCCCCTGGGTCCCCTGGCTCCGGGCAGAAGTGCCAGCACCAGGCTGGGATGATTGAGGCAGGTGGGAGGACCTGGGCGCTAGGTGCTTACCATTTTCCCGTGAGACTAGGAAGCATGGAGAGGAGAGGAAGGGGAAGACGGTCAGTGAGAGGCTAAGCCCGGCCCTGTGGTGGGTGCCGCAGTGTGGAGGCGCCAGGAGCCCTGGCAGGTGGAACACCCCCCAGTGCCCAGGCTGGGGGTGGGGTGATCAGTGGGGAAAGGAATTTCTTCCCAGAGTGTTGGGTGCTGGTGGCAGGACTGCCTCATGGGCCCCAGTTACTTGTTTTGGGCATGAGGGCAGGGAGGGTCACCCTCAACAGCTCATCCAGTCTGCACTTGCTGGGTCTGGACGAGGGCTACACTGCCAGCCCTGGAGGCCAGGGACTGGACTTTCAGAACAAGGGCTCCTGACCCCCGCCCCCCACCCCACCAGGGCTGCACACGGTAGCTGCTCAAGTGCCATGGGCAGAAGCCTCAGCTGAAGCAGGACTGAACCAGACAGCCAGCCAGCAATAGCCCTATAGCCATGGTCCTGCCCCACAGCAGCTTCGGCCCCGTCCCTGTAGCCCTGGCCCCACCCGCTGGCAGCCACAGGCCCACCTCTGCAGTCCTGGCCCCGCCCCAGCAGCCACAGGCCCCACCCCTGCAGCCCTGGCCCCACCCCAGCAGCCACAGGCCCCAGCCAGCTACATGTAGAGTCTCGGACAAGCCACAGCCAGACCTACCCACAGCCCTCCTCCAAGCACCGCAGGGTGGGACGGGAGAGGAAAGCCTGCTTGCTACAAGGGACAACATGGGCTAGAGTCAGGCTGGCCAGATGGAAAGCCAAGGTTGAAAGTCCCACCCTCACTAGAGGCCTTGGGGTGGCCTCTCCCCTCTGCCTCAGTCGCCTCACTGGGGAGTGGGATTCTGGTCTTGCCCACCTTTCTGGGGGGCGCTGGGCCCGGCGAGGAGCAGGCCTGCTATGAGCAGTGGTCACGACGGCGAGGCAGTGACTCAGAGAGGAGCCTTCCTGCAGAGCGGAGACGCCCACCCCAACCCACCCGGCCAGCATCAGCGGCTGACTTCGAGTCCCCTTCCCCTGGGGTCTGGAACCCAGTGCCTCTCTCCAGGCCACCCCCACGTTCCTGGGTAGCAGGGGGGACCCGGAAGGCCCCACCTTCTTGACGTCCTTGTTGTTCATGGGGTCGTCGGTCATCTTGTGGAACAGCAGCTCGATGATCTCCTTGAGCTCGTAGCTGTAGCCCTTCCGCTTGCAGACGATGACCACCTTGTCAAACAGGAACAAGTACCTGGGCCAGGCAGCGCAGCGGGGGATCAGCACCCCAGCACTGTGTGCTCTGCTCCGAGGAGGCGGCAGGAGCTGAGCCTGAGGCTCTGGCACGCGGCTCCCTCTCCGGGCGAGCCCTGCCCTCACCTGGCTCACCAGGCTAATGCTGAGCCTCGGTCAGGTCTCGGCTGTTCCCACACTGCTTCTCCAGGAAGCCTTCCTTGGCTCCCTACCCCCGTGACTGAGGCTGTGCCAGGAGCCCTTCAAGGGGCTCCTGCATCCCCCACGCTGGCCTCCCATGCAGCACTGACCCCCGACGGCTACTCCCAGTTGATCCCGCGCTGGACTGGGAGCCTCAAGAGGGTGGGACCCAGATCTGCTGTGACCCCTGCCCCAGCACACAGTAGGTGCACAAGGAGGGCCCTGGACAAGCCTGGGCCACCGTGCGCCTGGACACTCTCCGGCAGTCATTTGGCAAAGAGCCCATCCGACCACTCTGGGCCTGTCTTGGGTTCCTGGAGGCTGAGCATTGGCAGTGAGGGGCCTGGCCCTCATCTTTGGCTGCCCCAGCCCAGCCTGGTGCCCGCCACAGGCACAAAAGCCCCACTGCTGTGGCGCCCGCTCGCTGACGAGAAGGAAGGAAGCAATTAAAACTGAACAACACAAAGCCACCGCCAGGCAGCTCTTTCCACAGGAAGGCCTGGCTTCCAGAGCCACTTAGGAGTGGCTCCCTGGGAGGGAGAGCCAGACCCTGGCGGGACGCCACCCAGCCCACAACACGCGCCCTGCTCACCTGTCCTGCTTGGTGTGGTTGACTATGGACCGGACTTTCAGTTCCCCGTCAATCTTTGGTCTTCCAAATTCCTCCAGTTTCACTTGCTGGGAAGAAGGAGAGGGGCCGTCAGCCGGGGCTGGAGCAGCCCCAGTTCTCCTGACCGCACGGGCAGGGCAGACTGTCGTGCACCCAAGGGAACTCCCCACAGGCAGCAGAGGCGGGACGAAGGGAAACAGCCCCTGTGGCTCCCAGCTGGTGCTCAGGATGGACGAGGGAGGGTGCAGAAGACCGGGAAGGGACTGGGCCTGGCAGCTTCTCTCCCTTTCCTGGCCAGCCCTGCCAAGGGGCTCCCTTCAGCTCTGGGGACAAAGGGCGATTGACGGTGCCGGTTGTGTTCACAGAGGCCGCCGCTGTGTGGAGCCCCAAGCGGGACCCGGTCGGAAAAGCCAGAAGCCCAAGCCCCACGTTCAGGAGAGAACAAACAGCGCCTATCTGCTGCAGGGCGGGTGGGGCCGGGGTCCTGCCAAGGGTGAGGCTTCGACTCAGACCCCTGTGTGGTTCGCTGAGGTTCATTTTCGTTGTCTGTCTGGTTTTGTCTCTGTGACTCTTCTGATTCAGAGAGAGCTTCTCTTGACATGTTCCCTGCGTGGCTTTCAAAGTGTCCACACAGACAGGAAAAGGTGGAGGAAAATGCTTCAAGACACGAACAGGGCCCTGCCTGGGAGGTGCTCGAGGCACAGGCTCAGTGTCTCCTTCCAAGGTCTCAGCCCCAGAGGCTGCAAGGACAGCTTTGGTGTCACATAGTCCCAGTCAACTTGCTCCAGGCCTCTGATCTCAGCTCTCACCACCTTCCCTGTGGCAATGGGATTCAGAGCCAGGACTGGGTACAGGGCCTGGCTCATGGGGATGCTCGACGCCTGCTGGCCATGCTGTTTTATTCTTGTTGTTGTCGTTTTTGAGATAGTCTCACTACGTCACCCAGGCTGGAGTGCAGTGGCGCAATCGTGGCTCACTGCAACCTCTGCCTCCCGGGTTCAAGAGATTCTCCTGCCTCAGCCTCCCAAGTAGCTGCGATTATAGGCACCCGCCAGCACGCCTGGCTAATTTTTGTATTTTTAGTAGAGACAGGGTTTTACCACATTTGCCAGGTTGGTCTCGAACTCCTGACCTCAAGTGATCCTTCCACCTCAGCCTCCCAGAGTGCTGGGATTACAGGCATGACCACCGCGCCCAGCCTGTTCTTGCTGTTTAATGAACAAGTATTACTTCTATGTAAAAACTTAAAAAACAAAACAAAACGAACTTTTCTCCTCACGTCCTGCTCACTGTACGCATTTGTGACCGCCTCGCGCAGGAGCTCACGGCAGCACGGACCCGCCAGGTGCTGATGGTGCAGGGTGCGGCCGTCCTTGGCCTCCTCTGCACCCACACATTTTAATTTCTTTCTAAAATGAAAGATGAAGGGGGCAGTATCATAATGCCCTTCAGAAGCTTATTTTTTTTTTCTTTCATCGCCGACGTATCGCAGGTGCTTTTCCGTGCCCCACGTTCGCGGAGGGCATTCTCTTTGTGCTGCTGGCACCGGGTGGGTGTGGCCTGGCCATCGGGGACCTTCCCCTGCCAGCTTCATGTCAGTGAAATCACCAGGGTGAAAATGTTTGTGATTCACCACCAGGGGTAATTTTGCCACCCAAAGGACCCTCTGGTAATGTCCAGAGGCATATCTGGTTGGCATTACTTGAGGGGGTGGGGGTGCTACTGGTGTCTGGTGGGTGGCAGGCAGGTACACTGCTCCACATCCTGTAACGCACAGGGGCAGGTCCCACAACCAAGAATGATCCAGCCCCAGACGTCAGCAGTGCTGAGGTGGAGAAGCCCAGGTTAGAACCAGCAGATCCTCGGGAAGTCGGCTCCGGTCAGCACAGACCAGGGAGTTTGCTTCCTGGGGTGGCGCATCCCCTCTCCCCAGGCAGGACGAGGTGACTGACTCGGTAGCCCAAGCCTGGCCTCTGCAGGGCCAGACTCTGGGGAGCCCCAGGAGGTGGCAGCCCTGCCTGATGGGGTCCGAGGAGCAGAGGCGACTGCCGGCCCCACCGAGCCTGGGCCCAAACCCTGTCCATTGCCCCTGGAGGGGAGAGTCAAGGTGAGGGTGGGCCAGGGGTCCACGAACCAGGGGGCGTCTCCTGCCCCTGGGAGACACAGTTCTCCTCTTGGACTTGAAGGGGTCTTCTGTCTAGGCTTGGGGGAGAAGGGGGGCTGGGCAATGAATACAGTCCCTCCCCTGTCCCCTCCCCTCCCCGTCCCCCTCCCCCCGAGCACAGGCAGTCTTCAGTGCACAGGGCACTTGGGTTGGCTGTCGTGGGCAAGGAAGCGTGGATGCTGGGGGTCTGAGATCAAACTCAGAAGTTGCCGGGCACCAGCCTCTCAACAGGCAGCCATGGTGTGGCTGCCCATGGAGCTCACTCAATACTGGGGCTGTGAACGTGACTTTATAGGTACGTCCTCATCGACCTTCCCTAGCCTGAAGAGTCAGTCTCACTCACCAAATTTTCTATAGAACTCTGAAATTCGCTGATTTTCCTCAAGGTCTCCTTGTCCCGTTTAACTTCATTGATGTACATCGCCAAGTCCTTGAAAACAAGAGGCAGAGGTGAGCGGGCTGTGCTGGGTGGGGTGTGTGTGACTGTGTGTGTAAGCAGGCTGTACTGGGTGGGGTGTGTGTGCATGTGAGCGGGCTGTGCTGGGTGGGGGGTGTGTGACTGTGTGTGAATGAGCTGTGCTGGGTGGGGTGTGTGTGTGTGAGCATGTGTGAGCGGACTGTGCTGTGGTGTGTGTGTGTGAGACAGCATGTGTGTGTGAGCGGGCTGTACTGTGTGGGGTGTGTGTGAGCGGGTTGTGCTGGGTGGGGTGTGTGTGACTGTGTGTGTGTAAGCGGGCTGTACTGGGTGGGGTGTGTGTGACTGTGTGTGTGAGCTGGTTGTGCTGGTTGGGGTGTGTGTGACTGTGTGTATAAGCGGGCTGTACTGGGTGGGGTGTGTGGTATGTGAGCGAGCTGTGCTGGGTGGGGTATGTGTGTGTGATTGTGTGTATGTGTGAGTGAGCTGTGCTGGGTGGGGTGCATGTGTGTGTGTGTGTGAGCGGGCTGTGCTGTGGTGTGTATGTGTATGAGTGATTGTGTGAGAACATGTGTGTCTGAGTGGGCTGTACTGGGTAGGGTGTGTGTGATTGTGTGTGTGATTGTGTGAGCAGGTTATGCTGAGTGGGGTGCGTGTGATTGGGTGTGTGTTATTGTGTGTGTGTATGTGAGCAGGTTGTGCCGGGTGGGGTGTGTCTGACTGTGTGGTTGTGTGTGTGAGCAAGCTGTGCTGTGCAGGGTGTGTGTGTGTGAGCGTGTGTGTGCATGCACGCACATACATGCAGGAGCTCAGCCCCCAAGGGACCCCCCCCCCCACCCCCCACCCAGCATCCAGGCACCGGGCGTTTCTGGACCTTCTTCCTCCATCCTGCCGGGGAGGCCGCCCTCGAGACAGGAGGGCTGAAAAACATCACCTCTGCATGACAGATGAGGAAACTGAGGCAGGAAAGGGAACACACTGACCGAGAGCCACACCTCGTCAGTGATGATGCCAAGAGCCCCAAACTCCTGGCTGGTGCCACTTCTTTCTACCCCATCACGTGGTCCCTCTTAAACATCCTAATAGAGGGAAGCAGCCCTGTGTGTGGGAGCCACATCAGGCCACATAAGAGCCACCTAGACTTGGGCTGACCTATGTCCCTGTTCTTGGGAAGCTTCCCCCTCCCCAGCCTCTCTAAGCCACAGCCTCCCCTTGGAGCCTGGACAGAATGAGGGGTCAGGAAGTCCCTCTCTCCACGGGTCTGGCCACCCCCACTCCGGCGCCTGCCTGCCGTGCTGCAATCCTCGTGCTGGCCACCAGAGAGCAGTGCCCACTTCAGTCCAGAAAACGCAGTGTCCAGACCTGGCCCACAGCGGAACCCAAGGGAGCCGGCCACGTGGGCGGTCCTGGCCCTGCCCCCCGAGAGCAGCGGGTGGAATTCCCCAAAATGCAAGTGACCAGCCAGGGCCAGAGCCAGAGCCAGAGCCAGGTCTTCAGCAGGTTCCCATCCCTCCCGCCCTTCCTCGTTCCTAGAAGACCTCACCATTGGCTCCCCACCCACCCCGCAGGAGGGAACTTCCTGGGGAGGCTGCAGCACGCTGTCTGAAAGGGGTGTTCCGTTTTCTTGTCGTTGTCCACTTGCCTTTAAAATAAGGAATAAATTCCCAGAGACAAGGACCCCAGTAGCAAGTCTGGAGCTCAGGACCACCCCCCTCCCAAAGGCAGAAACATTACAACTGTGACCACCGCGGCCCCTGCGTGCACCTGGCCCAATGCCTGGCATGAAATAGGAACAGATGGAAGTTGCCCGAATGAATGAGCAGGTGAGGGAAATGTCTGTACTTTGATACAGAGGCAGGACTGCAGTCAGCTCATGGAGCTTGGACCTAAAACCGCAATTCCCTTGGAGACAAACCTCAGGCCCACAGCGGCACGGGGGCTGATTCTCAAAGACGCTGCCGTACAAGGAGTGAGCCCTCAGTCCCTAGGGGAAATCAAGCCCAGGTACAGCGACGACTCCCATAGTGGCTGCATGAATGACTTCCTATATAAATTGGGAATGGATCAAAAGACTTCTAAAATCCCCCCAGCCCTGAAGTTTCATGATGAGGTTCGGTGGCTCTCAGAAAGGCAGACGCACACCCGCAAGTCACCGAGTACTTTGTGCAGCACCGTGAGCTACACTCCTGGGAAACCATCCCGTCGAGGGGCTCAGAGCCACTCGCCAGCCAGACACCGAGTGCTGAGAGTATGAAACGCAAGACCACACTCAGGGCCCGGGTGCACGGCCCACTGCACCTGCTGTCACTGTCTCAGAGCCCCCGAGGACGCATCCACGCTGGCTCACACACCGTGGCTCACAGCAGACAGGCCAGAGCAGGTGTTGGAGAGGGGCGGCTTGGGGGCTGCAGAGCTGACACCGAGAAAGTTCTGTCAGCCCGTCATGGCAGGAGGCTTTCCTGGAGCATTCCTCAGGGTGCTCGCTGCCCAGTGCAGCCGAGCGGGAATCTGAAGGTCTCTGGGACCACCTCCCGTGCCCACACACGAGTGCCCACAGGATTTGGAGTAAATTTCTCCCCGAGCACAAGCCCTGCTCAGAGAACCTCTTAGCACCGGCGGCCAAGCACTGGCCCCACTCCCGTCCCAGCCCAACAGCAGCTATAGACAGAGACAGATTACAGCCCCTCCCCCACCCAGAGGGAGCTCCTTAAATGAGGTACCTGGGAAAGGAAAAGGGGGCCCAAAGCCCAGGGGGGCTGCCCAGAGGGCAGGGGCCAGGTGTCAGAGGGCAGGACTGCAGCCCTGAGGGGGGCTGGCAGAGGTGTCCTGTGCTCCCGACGAGGGAGATGTGGGGGGGGTCGTCATCCCTCCACCCAGATGCAGCTGGAGGGGACCTACCACATGCCAGGTGCTGTGCCTGGCCTGGGGACACAGGTGACTATGGCTGACACATGCCTGGCTGGGAAGGAGATGGCACGAACAAGTGTGTCCAGGAGGAAGAGTGCCACCCACGAGGAAGCCAGTTCCCTGAGGACAGAACCCAGTGGGGGGCGATCCTCCCTGGAAAACGTTCTGTCCACAGTGAAGGCAGGATGAGCAGGACGTGGCCAGGTGACGAGGAGGAGGGTGCACCTGAGCCAACACCCGGAGCCGGGGAAGTGCAGGGCACGTGCAGGAGCCTGGGAGGGATCAAACCTGCCTGGAACTGTGCTGAACACAGCTGCGACATCAGGGGCAAGTATCCTGCAGAAGGCCGGGAGTGCCAGAGTGAGGAGCCCATGCCTGCTTCATGGGCAGAGGGAGCCACGGAAGGTTTCTGAGCAAGGGAGTGGCATGAGCTGAGCTCACCCGGACAAGGGGAGAGAGGGAGGCATGGCTGGCTGGGGGCCCTCGAAACAGCCAGGAGCGAAGGAGCTCCCCAGGCAGGTAGCTGAGAGATGGCACCGGAGGTGGCATTTTAGAAGCAGAAGCCTCAGTGCTGGGAGTGAGAAGCACTGGGCCAGAAAGCCCAGAATGGAGGCCAATGCCTGGGGGAAAAGCAGGGGGAGGGGAGGCTCAAGGGAGGTCTTGTTGGACAGGTGAGGTTAGGACTCGGGACACCTGAGGGGGCACCTGACCTGCAGTGCCCTCCACCCGTCACCTCTACCTCCTGTGGGTCTCACCCACTGCCCTGCCCTGCCCTGCCCCAACTCCTGCTGTCCCAGGAAACTGTCCACAGTCAAAACTGAGGCTCGTTAATGAGCCCAATTCCAGTCCAAGAACACGGGCTAAGCCAGACGGTGGCTTCTCCCCTGCCTCAGTTTACCCACACACCTGCATGGCTTCCAGTGCTTCTTTGAGCTGCTGCCTCTCAGGCCGTTCCGCAGAATGGCTCAGAAGCTCCTGGAAGGGTGAGAAGAGTGTCATGTGTTACCACTCGGGGGTTCTGGCCTCTGCCCTGGCCCCTACCTGGGGCAGGAGGTGTGCACAGAACCAAGTCCTCAGAAGAAAGCCACCCCCACCCGCCAGCCAGGCTGGGTTTGGCTGCCCGACACCAAAGGACAGAGAGTGACTCCTCCACAGGGGATACCCCACTTCTTGGCAGGGGCGCTCCCAAACCTTGTGGATAAGGGAAGGGAGTGACCGTGAGAAGGGCCATGAAGGCAGCAAAAAGCAAGGCGCTGTGCCAGCATTCCACGGGAAAAGGGCCTCGCAAGGTGCCGGGCAGAAACCACCGCCTTCCCTCCCAGGTCTGGCTTTCCTGAAGCCCTTCCATGTCCATTTCTGCCATGGCCACCAGGAAGCTCAGAGACCAACCACAGTAGCTTTCTTATTCCTGGTGTGAGGACGCTTTTCTGTCTCTTTCAGTTTTCTGACCTCTTTAGTGATTGGACTCATCATTTTCCTCTGTGTATTTACTGTGATAATCGGCCATCACATGCATTGAGCGGTGATTATGAGCTAAGCATGAACTGACTTGTCTATATTCAACTTAATCTGTCTGTGGGCTGCAACCTATACCCCCTGGAAGCTGCCAGCCCTCATCTGACTCCAGCAGTGATGACCCCGCAGGCACCCGGGGCCCAGAGCCTCACCTTCAAGAGCAGGTGGTATTTGAGCACCCTCTGCATGGGGACCACCAGCAGGTCTTGCAGCTTAAATTTTCCATCCTGGACCTTCAGTGTGCACTCCTGGGAGGGCGACAGGGCGATGGGAGAGCCCTCCCCGAGGAAAGCCTGAACCCACCCACCTGTACCCCCGCCCACAGAGAGGGGAGACCTAAGCCCAGAACTCAGGCCCAGACGTTTGGCCCTTCTCTAGCCAGGCTCCCGGAACCAGTCCATGCACCAGGTGTGTGCA
Organism: Homo sapiens; assembly: GCF_000001405.40. NCBI lineage: Eukaryota > Metazoa > Chordata > Mammalia > Primates > Hominidae > Homo > Homo sapiens. The sequence goes on from NC_000009.12 coordinate 133,796,694, forward strand.
GAGGGGGGGGCTTCACAACACATGGCTCCCACCCTGCCGTGTCTGCACTGGCCACACTGGGACGCAGTGAGACACGTGCGATGCTACGGAAACCCTCTCGGGGCGCCTGCTGGGCCTGTCTGGATGTGGCCTTGACTCTTCCGCCAGGCCAGGTCCTTTGGAGAAGGTCCTTTGGAGAAGGGGCAGCAGGCCATCCCCCATTCACCAACCCCTCTCTGGTCTGGCCTCTGGGAGAAGCAAGGTGGGGCACCAACTTGCACTGAGCTGTGGGGCCACTCCCAGGAACCAGGGCATTCCCCCATTCATTGACTGGACTTGGGGGGCATCGTGCATCTCTACTGGGGGGCCACGCTGCCTCCACCACTGCTAGAGCCAGGGGGCTCTTCACCAGGCTCCACGCAGAAACCAGGGTGTACTAACCAGATGGAGCCTGGAAACTCCAGCTGGGAACAGGAGGGGCTGGGAGGGGCTCACGTGAGAAACACTAGATGTTGACAGAGACTTGCCCTGGGCCTGGGGTGAGGATGGATGAGGGGTGGGTGGCCCCACAGTTCCCAGCAAATGTTACCCGGGACTCCCTGGGGTCAGCGGAGGCCAGGATCAGGGGTCAGTCAGAGCCCCCAGTTGATAGAGACTCGCCCTGGGCCTGGGGTGAGGATGGATGAGGGGTGGGTGGTCCCACAGTTCCCAGCAAATGGCACCTGGGGCTCCCTGGAGTCAGCAGAGGCCAGGATCAGGGGTCAGCCAGAGCCCCCAGCTGAGTCAGATTCAGTCCCAAGGACGTTTCTCCATGGGGAGTCTCACTGTGTCCTGGCCTGGGATGGTGACCTCCACCCAACCCACTCCCCAACCCAACACAATGCAAAAAAGAAAAATCTACAAAAAACCATTACGTCATCACCCCCATCACCACCTTCCCAACAAATGGGCAAGAGAGAGGCTGGTACCTAACGAGCTCTGGCCTGCAAGCTGCAACCTTGGAGCCAGGGCCAGGGCCAACGCCTGGCAGGACTTACCTCGACTTTCTGCCTGAAGTCCTCCCGGCTGGCCAGGAGCTGGTTCAGTGTGTTCTGGGCGTGCTCCATGTGGCTGCAGTACTCCCCGTAGATCAGAAGCCTGGACGGTGCACACACACGCACACACGCACACAGATTTAATGAGCAGCTCGGGGCTGCAGTGAGCCCGTCCATTTTTCCCAGCAGGCTGTAGGTGCGCAACCAACAGGCCCCTCCCCTGACAGCTCCCTGCACGTGGACACATTCAACGGCCAGGAGGCTGCTCTCCCCTTCCCGAAGCTACCGGGCCGCAGGAGGGCTGCCGGCGTGCTGGGAGAGGGGGTGCCCCTGCTCTTCCTGAGTCCCAGGTGGTTCTAGGTCAGGTCCCGGCTGGGATGCAGGCTGGAGCTCTCAACCTCCCATCCCACCCCCAAAAAGGGCCAACACTGGAGGAAAGAGAAGCCCCTGACATCCCCCCAGGAAAGAAGACCCCAGGAGGGCTCAGAATCTTGCCCCCAGGCCCTGAGCACCGAGGCCTGCACTGGCTCAGGGCTCACCCTCATGCTGTGCCAGGTGGGGAACCCCTAAGGGTCACCCTTGTTGCTTCCACATGGTGTCTGGATTCCACAAGCAGGGGACAACAGCAGTGACAGCCCCGTCTTCAGGGATGCAGGCAGCCAGGTGGCCCCCGGACCTGGGAGGACGCCCAGGAAGCCAGCCCTCGTGTCCTGCCCACCGCCTCCTCCTGGCCCCAGCATCGCTCTCTCCCGGCCACTCTGATTCCCCCTTCAGTGCCTTGTGCTGGTCTCTTTAGCCACGACACCTTCTCCCTCTCCCTGCACTGGGCCCACATCTCTACAAACTGGAACCCAGGGTTCCCGGCCTCTGGAGCCTCAGGGTCTTAGGTTACCAGCCTGAAACTTCATCTTTAAAACCCCATAACCCCACCGACAGGGCAGTCCCAAAGAAGAACCACACCAGGTGACAATGTTGGTGACAACAAGGATGACAAGAGCCACCACTCGCTGAGGCAGCTGCTGCCAGGTGCTCTGCCGACAAGCCTTATGACTTTTTTGCCCATTTGTAAAGATGGGGGTGATTAGCCCCACTCTTCAGGCAGGGAGACTGAGGCCTCCGTGAACTTGCTAGGAGCTGACAGTCTGGCCTGCAAGGCTGGGCCGGACCCAGCGTCCTGGTGATATGCTCTCTGGCAGGGCTGTGTGTTGGTGTCTGGAGGCTCCCCTGGCCCGGGAAGCCCAGGGCAGGCTCTTGGGACCAGGTCACCATGGCCTCTGGGCCATTTCTCTTTCCATCATGAGAGCTGCTTTGCCGTAGGGCACCCGGCCTGGGGCTCGGGGCGGGCAGCTGGGCCTGTAGCCTGGCTTCTGCGGAGGGTGGCCCTCGGGGAGAAGCGTCCTGATGGTGGGGTCTTGATGCAGGGACAGGTTTCCATCCAAGTGGCTCTGCCACATGGGAGAACAGAACAGTGGCTGGGAACACATTTTCTGCCTAGGGAGCATGTCCCTTTGGAGCTGGCTCAGGCACAGGGACGGGCATCTTGACACACTTCCTACTCCCAACAAATGCTCATGAGGCTGTCCTCACCACGGCCAGGGCCGCCAGAGGCCCTGACACCCTCCCAGCGCTGCGCGTGGGGTCCAGTGACTGGTACTTCCTCAGGCCGCCCGAGAATCCTCCCTCACAAGCCTGCAGGGACACCTCTGGCATGCGAGGCTGACAGTCCACGACTCTGATAAAGGACCTGAATCTGCTCGAAGCTCACCTGACCCAGCCACAGTCAAGCAAAGCACCCATGGCCGGTCCCACATGGCCTGCAGGGGTGTGTCCCCATGGGGGGATCCCGTGTCCACAGACCTGGGAGGTCTGCATGGAGGCATCACCATCATTGCAAAGGGCCTGCCTCCTGCCTGGTGCTTGGGCTGTGTGTTGACTGGGAGCCACTTTAAATGGGAACCTGCCCCCTGGTTACCACCTAAATGAGTCTGTTATTACACTGATCATTTTCATATAAAAGTTGGTGAAAACCTATCATCTCTGGAAGCAATCGAGAAAAAGGGTTTTCCCCTTTTAAAAAAAAATGAACAAAAGCTTCAGAAGCCCCCGGTAGAGTAGGAGAGGAGAGAAGGAACAGAGGGACATTTAAGAGACCACCGGACAGCCCGAAAGTGAGCGGACAAGACACTGACTCCCGGCGGCCGCCTGCACCTGCCCCGCTCCGGATCGGTGTTTTCTCCACCCTGAGAGAATGGTCAGAGCCATGCGCAGAAGACACGCCACACACACTGGGCATCACTTGGTGCCAGGACCTGGGCTGGAAGCTCTGGGACCGTGACTGTCGCCGTTCTACCCATGGGGACACTGAGGCTCAGAGAGCCCCGTAGCTGAGAAGGGAATCACACCAACAGTCACCGACCCCAAAGCCCAGTTCCTGGGGCTGTCCTAGGGCTGCACTGCTCTGCCTCCTGGCTGTGCCTCCTATCTGATGATGACACCAGACCAGAAGCAAGGCAGGAGGTCCAGGGGCACCCCAAACCCTAAGGCCCCCAGCCCACCCCTGTGGCCCCTTTGAAAAGTGCCCCTGACCTGGCCTGAGGACTCTAGGTGGGGAAGCCAGGGCAGGTGGTGAACCTCAAGGCTTTCAGAGCTTCCCAAGACCGCCTGGAGGCGGGAGGACGAGTCTGGGCTGGGGAGAAGGAAAGACAGAGTCCCCAGCGAGGGGTCCTGCCCGCATGGAGCCATGTCTGCTGCTGCTGGGGCTGGGGCCACGCTCGGGCCCGAGGGACACCACACTGCCTGACTTCCCACCAGGCCCCGCACCACTGCGGACTCGGCTTCAAGCATTTCAGGTGAGCTGGGCCCAGTGATGGCCCCAGTCCCTCCCTGTCGAGGCAAGTCTTCATGTAGGTGGAAAAAGCTCCCAACTGAAGCCCAGCGGATAACATGCCTGGTGCCAGCAGCTCTAGTGTGGCCAAACCAGCTTTGTGAGCTCCGCCTTTCAATTTCACACCAAGTCACCTTGGCCCGAGGTTTAGGTGGACGAGGGGCTGGAGTGCAGATCCCAGCCTTACTCTCCTCACACCATGCTCTACCGGGAACACCCACATCAGCCACAGCACAGCTGAGCTGGCAGCCTTCTCCACCTGGCAAACTTCTACTCGTCTGTCAAAACTCTTCCCTATCATTGCCCCTTCTTCACTTCAACCCCTGCACCAGCAGGGCCAGAGGGAAAAGCAAGGAGATAGGTCAAAGGGCAGCAGGTAGAGGCCTGTCCAAGGTCAGTGGGAGCCCAAAGAGGAGACTGCCCCGGGTGACCCCCACCCACCAGCTCTGAGCTCCTGCAATGGGTCTCACTCATCCCCATACCCCAGCACCCAGCCCGGAGCCTGCCTGCACCAGGCACTCACACACGGCTGTGAGTGGCCACAGCCACAAGCCTGGACACAGGTCCTTCTATCCATTTGATAAGAGGATGCAGGAGGTTGGGGGTGGGGGGAATGGCAGGCACTTGAAGCAAACAGGAGAACTCTGGGGAAAGACAGACCTCCATGAAGAGCCTGAAAGGGCCCTGGCCGTGGGACGGGCTTCACACCCGGGCTCACTGCATCCTCACAGAAACACCACTGTCACCACAGGGGCCCTGAGGCTCAGAGACGTGACGTGACTTCTGAGGTCGCCCAAGAAGGGGAACAGGGCCAGATTCCAAAGCGAATGCACATGGCTCTCAACCCTGGCCCTCAGGGCCCCAGGGTGACGCCTCTGCAGAGGGACACTCTCTCTCCGTGGAGTCCAGAAGGACACTCGAGGGGCCCGCGCCCTCTCTCACCTGACCCAGGGGCAGAGCAGATGCCAGCACCTGCACACCCCTAGCCCCACTGAGCAAGGGCAGCTGGTGATGGAGAGGGCCTCGGACCAGAACTCGGCTGCAGTGGGTCCACTAGAGCCTCACACTGTGACCTTATTTGGTCATGATGCAGATGTAATGAAGGTAAGGACTGAGATGAGGCCATGCTGAAGGAAGGTGGCCCTGACTCCAATGAGAGTGGCCTCAGAAAAGGACACAGAGACGCGGGGAGGCCATGTGGAGATGGGGACAGAGAACGAAGCAGCCCCAGCCAGGAACACCCGGGGCCTCCAGCAGCTGCAGGACGTAGGAAGGATCCCCCTGAAGCCTCTGCAGGAAGCATGACCCGGGCACACCTGGACTTTGGCTCAGTGAGACTAGGAGTCTGGCCTCCAGAACAGAGACATCTCTGTTGTTTCAAGCCACCATGTTTGCGGTCATTGTTACAGCCAAGCCAGGTCACTCACACAGACGCCTTCACCCTCCGTCCACACCACAGGACTCTGAGCACCTGCCACATACCAGGCAGCATGGGCCACAGAGTCCCCAGGGGGCACAGTTTGACTTTTCCCCGAAAAATGGAGAGAAAATGACAGTGACTCCAAGCCTATTGGAGGAAGTCAGTTAAGGAGGCAAAAGTTTACAGGCCTTAATTCTAACCACATTTACTACTGTTAAGAAAAAGGAGCCAAAACTTGGAATAACACACACGGGCACACATGTATGCACACACACACACATGCATGTGCACACAAACACACAAGCACGCGTGTACACACACACACACACACACACACACACACACGACTTCATGCATTCCTGGTCTGGTTGGAGCACCTCCCAGGGGCAGCCTCCCCCTCCCCCGCCCCACTCCGGCTGACTCCTCCCCTGGAGAAAGTTGTTCAGGCGCAAATGATTTCTGTCCTGATAGAGGACATGGCCCCAAAGGTCTCAGTGTGGTCACCTTGCAAGGCACGGCCCGCCGTGTCCAGCATCCTGCCCGACCTCCCCTCTCTGCTGACAAGGTATGTGGTTCCCTTGCTCGTGAGTTGACAGACCCGTGGCCCGAGCTCCGTGGGTATTTGTGTGAGGATCATGTTTTTTAACTTTCTGAGTACGTCAAATTCTGAACCCACCACACGGTGCACAAATGCCTCCTCCAGAGATGCCTCTCCTCTGCCCATTTTCCTCATGGTATCACCTCTGCCTCCAGTCCACACAGCCCCAACCTCTCAAGATGCCCAGGGACAGGCCAGCGTGGATTGAGGACCACAGGCCATGGGCTCAGGTATGGACCAAGGATGCAGGAACAAGCAAGGTGCACGGCTGAGCTGCCAGCTCTGGCCTCCGTTTCCCCATCTGGGAAATGGGGGTTAGACAGAGCGGGAGCTGAGGCTTCTTGACTTCAGAGGTTCCCAAAGGCAGCCCTGCCAGAGCAGGTGGCCAAGCCAACCCCTACTGGGGTTTTTGAGGTGGACCATGACCGGGGACTCTCCCTGCAGGCCGTACCCTGGAACCACCCAGCCTTGGGCTTCGGGTAGGAACCATCCACAGGGCAGCCTCACTCGTTCCAGGATTCCGAGTGGAAGTCTCGGTGCACCAAAGCGCTCACCTGTCTCGGATCCTTCATCTCCACATACGCAGGGAGATCCCACCCAGCCCTGGGGGAGGAGGGCGTGGCCTTCGTCTCGTTCTGTTCTGCATTCCTCCCAAAAGCGCTCGTGCAAAGCTCCACAGAGAGCTCCTCTTGAAAGCCAGTTCGTGGCCTTCCTGCAGGGCTGCCAGCTCCCCGAGGTCGTTCCCTTTCTAGCTCTCCTGCCCCCACGTCCCCGTATGCCCCCACTCCCCGCAGCATGACTCACTGCCCCACTCAAGGAAGCCACCAGGAGCTGGACTCCAGGCCCAGCCTGGCCAGACCCAGCCACAGAGAAAAACCACACGGCTTTGTCTTATGTCCACAGCTGCAGAATGCAAGCTCCTTCCCAAGGCCCAGTGTCCCTCTGGGTGGGAGATGCCCCCTTTTAGGCCCACAGGGCAAGGCTAAGAGGAGCTCCTGCCTTGTCTGAGGACGAAGGCTGCATTCATGAAAGTATAACCTCAAAAAGAGGGAGGTGACTGTCTCCTGCCACTCAGTGCCGATCATGCCACACCGGAATGCTACTCCACCCTTCACCCCCGACGAGCTGCCAGGACCCTGTCACAAAGCCCTTCAGCAGCTTCCTCGTGCCCTCGCTTAATAAAAGAAAAATTCTAAATCCTTCCTTTGGCCTGGAAGCCCCTGCAGGACCCTCCAGCCCTTCCCTGGAGAACCGCCCCTTTTCTACTGGGCTCATGCCTCTCACCTTCCCCTAAGCTTCTGCTCCCCAACCCGCCTCGCCCCACCCCTGCAGGACTGTGCTCAGGGGGACACGTCCTCCGCTGTGCAGCCCTCACGGGTCTCCTGGGCTCTCCAGCAACGCCGCAGCTCCCCCCGGAGCTTCTCTATCTTGTCTTGGTTCTCATCCATCCCACCCAGCGAGAGGCCAGTAGCTCTGTTCACTGCGTGTCCTCAGTCCAGAGCTCAGGAGCCATACAGAGCAGGCACCCTATAAAAGCTTCAGGACTCAGCCAGCAAGCAAGAACCAGGACCTTGGGGCCGAATCCGAAATGAGAGGAAAGGGGCAAAAAAGCTGGATGCTGGGACAGAACCACGATGATTTGGTGATGAGCTCTGATGAAACGCTGACAGCCCCTTCCCCAAACAGACCCCGACTGACGGATCTCGCCACACGCCTCGCTGCCAGGGACGGAGCTGCCCGTCCACAGAGCTCTTGGGCTGGGCCTGTGACTGGACGTGCTGCCCGCACTGCAGTGGCGCTCCAAGGCAGAGATGCCCGCTGTTCCTCAGCGGGAACCACCCATGCAAGGTCCTGCTGGTGGGACAGGGCCAGGGGTGTCGCCGGGCAGCCTGACTGTGGAGGGAGGCTCCTGGGAGAGGACAGGTTATCCACCCTGTCACTCTACCACACAGCCAGCCATTCCTCCTCCAGGGCTTCAGCCTTTGACGGACCTCGAAGCAAACCACGCCTCATCCGTGGCTCCCTCCCTTCCTGGCCGAGGGACAGCATGAACAAGGCGCTGAAAAGGACCACTGTACCCCACACCTGCTGAGGACTGGGGCGACAGCCAGTGTGACCTGCCAGCCGGGCACTATCAGCTCACCCACAGATGAAGGGAACACCTTGCTGAGGGCAGGTTAGGGAGCTGTCCTCCCCCGATCCCTGCCCACTCTTAACCCTCTGGGGCTGGCCAGTGTGCTCACACCTGCTGGGCCTCGTCAGCTCTCCTGGTCCCCTCTGCCACTGGACCACAAGCACTGCCTGCTCCCTCGTGTCTCCGGGAACCCTCCAAGCCATGGCCCCTGGAGAGCAGGCTCCAGGACCCTCCTCACAGGGAAGGGGGGAGCGCCTTTCCTGAAGCTACAGAGCACACAGGGAAGCACCTGCAGGGCTTCCCAGGCAACGTGCCTGAGAATCCAGCCCTGGGCCTGTCCCCGGCTGCCTGGACAGGGAGGGGTGTGAGCTGTGCTGACGGCCACCTGGCGGGTGATGCAGGGGACCCTCCTAGAGATGAGGGAGAGATGGACCCGGGCGCCCAATGCCTAGGCTCAGGGCCGCGTGGTAAGATGCACCTGTGGGGTCTTCTACAACTCCCCAGGCCCCAGAGCAGACCCAGACCCTTCCAAGAGTGGACCCCGGACATGGTATTTGTAACAAGCTCCCCAGTGGCTCTAGTGAGCAGCCAAGTTCAGGAAGCATTAGCATAGACCCCTTCGGGCTCCTCCAAAGGATCCCCGAGGGACAGAGAGCTTGGCACCGTCCCCTGATGGGGCTCTCTCGAGACTTCCGTGGCTGGAAACGCCATCTCCCCAGCCTCTGACAGCCTGGGCATTGTCTAACCCCCAGAAACGCCATCTCCCCAGCCTCCGACAGCCTGGGCATTGTCTAACCCCCAGAAACGCCGCCTCCCCAACCTCCAACAGCCTGGGCATCGTCTAAGCTCCAGAAATGCCACCTCCCCAGCCTCCGGCAGCCTGGGCGTCATCTAAGCCCCAGAAACGCCACCTCCCCAGCCTCCGACAGCCTGGGCATCATTTAAGCTCCACGTGCCACCTCTTTTCATCCTTGTCCACATCCTAACTTTAAAGAACCGGCCACAAGGGTGCAGAAGGGAGAAGTGGGGGCCCGAGATCTCCGCTGGGACAGCCGAGCCACTTGGATGGCCACACCTCTCACAGCCAGTTAGAAACATCCAGAACCCCAATCCTGCCCCTGCCGAGCTCCCACAGGACAGGAGGCTCCACACCCTCTCCATCAACCAGGCTGCGGCTCGGGGTGGGTGGCATCCTCAACAAGGGAGGACGGGGTCCAGAGGGGGCGGCCCCTGCCTCGGGACACCCCAAGAGTCCCACTTACACAAGAGTTCCACTTGTGTAAACTCTCCCGCAGACAGGGAGGGGCCAAGGAGCCCCAGGAGCCGGCAGCCACTCACCTTTCCTTGAAATCGAGGAAGACCTTGGCCAGCGTGCTGCCCCCCACCATCACGGACACGTCGATGGCCCTCAGGAAGCTGTGATGCACCTTGATCAGGTCCTGGGTTGAAAACCAGCCGTGAGTGCCTGGCCAGGCCCACCCAAGGCTAGACGGGAGCGCCGCCCTTAAAGTGCCCTTGTTGTTCTGTAGTTCCCTCAAGGAGGGGAGGGGCCCGGGTGCTGGGCCTGCACCCCACATCTCTGTGCATGCCAGGGTGTGATTCAGGTAGAAGGTTCTATGGCGATGGTGCAACAGAAGAGCCAGTACGTGTGGGAGGGAAGCCGCCCACAGCCCGCACCAGCCCATCAGACACGCAGCGGCCGACTCGGGGCGGGCTCTGCAGACAGCGTGGGGCGGCACAGCGCAGTACTCCTGTGCTCAGGCCACACCCCGGGACCCCCATCCCCACCCCGGGACCCCCATCCCCGCCCCAGGCCTCTTTCTGTCTGTGCTCCTCCATCCTGGCCACAGCTCAAGGACAGATGAACTCTAGGTCAGAGGCACAGACTATAGGAAGCTCTGGGGTCCAAGCCAGCCTCATCCAGGGCAGCGTGACCAGAGCTCACCCTTGCAGCTAATGAGACGGCCAGGGAGGCAGGACACAGCCACCGCACGGGCTGCTGGCACCTGTGGCCGCCAGGCCAGGAGGAAGGGCCAGGAGCAGCATGTCCCCGGAGGAAGCCCACCCATGCACGGCTGCCGGAGCCTGGTGCCAGCGCCCTGCTCTGCTAACCACGTCTAGGTGACTCTTTGCATGGGGAACTGCCTTTCTATGACTGAGTTCAGACACCCGCAGGGCAGGCGAGGGGGTCCGCTCAAAGGGGTGGAGGGACACGTTTCTCTCTGGCCGCTGACAAAAACTTCATTTACATTCTCAGCGTCATCCGTGCCTCCAGCCACGCACGTCAGTGCTGCCCTCACCCGCAGACAAGCGGAGCCCAGAAACCTGCTACCCTGGCTCCTAAATCCAAAGACCCTGGAGAGAGCGGTGGGGGCTCCTCCTTCCGGCCAGCACGAGCCACCACGGAGCCACAGGGGTGCAGCTCTCCAAGGCCCTGAGGACAGCAGGACATGTGTGGCCAGTGCCGAGTTAGGGCCCCGAGCCTGGCATGAGCGATGGGGGCCGGGACCCTTACCTCCAGGTTAATGAAGACAGCTGCCATGTCCGCCGGGCTCAGCACCAGCCGCAGGGGGCTCATGTAGTTCTGGAAGAGAGAAGTCCACCTCTGCCACCCTGCTGCTGTTGCCCACCCTCTCAAGGTCACAGCTGCCAGGGGAGGGTCCCAGGGCAGCTCCGAGGCAGGCACTGGGGTGCTCCATGCTTACTGGGGTAGCCTGTGTTCTGGCCACATCGGGCTCCATTCTTTGGAGGTGAGTGCAGGGCAGGAAGGTGCGGGGGTAAAGATTCTAACGCTCCCAGCGTGACGGGGGCAGAGTCCTGTGGTGGCCACTCACACACAGGGTGGACTTGGGCACTATGGCTGCCCTGAGGTGGGCGTTGGGGTTGTGGCTTGCGGTGAGGGGCTGAGACCCAGGAGGCAGGGCCATCACCCGTGGGGACTCTCTGGATGGACAGGGCCATGGTCCCCACCCAGCACTCAAACACTGAGCTTGTGCTCCTGAGCATGACCCCAAAACTGTCATCAAAAGGGATGCTCTCCACCCCGAGGAGTGCCGGTGGTGGGGCAGGCTGTGGACGAGAGTCCTCCAGCTCCAGCCTCAGGCGGGATGTGAAGTGAACATGAGGACGTGTGAGGCTGCTGACCCTGCTCTGGAGGCCCGGCCACCCTCTCCTCTCCTGCTCCCCGAGTGGCTCCTGGTCAGGGCAGCCAGCCGCTCTGCAGGCATCCTCTGGGCCCAGCTGCTGCACCGCTCCTTGGTCACCACGTGGCACAGAGAGCATCGCCCAAGCAAACACGCCCGGGTGGCGGCCCCAGGCTGGGTGGAGACAGACCTCAGGAGCCCTCCTGCTTTCTGCAGCAGCATTTAGCCATGGAGGGATACAGAGGCCAGCAGGGCCCTGGCAGAGGCTGACCTCAGAGCCAGGATTCTCAGAAGCCAGGGCATGGGCAGGGCTTCGAGGGAACTGGAAGGACCTGGGCCAGGGTGTACAGATGTGCGTGCAGAAAGGCCGCTGGCCAAGGACCAGAGGGTGGGGCAGCAGGAGGGGGCCCGGCCGGAGCAAGGCCAGCCTGGGCCCAAGGGGGCAGCCCAGGTCTCCCGGCTGGAGGCATCACGGCCACCCTGGTTGGTTTTTCTCCCCAGTAAACACTGGCAGTTGGCAATGAAGACTCAGAAGTGCTAGGGAAATGTCCCAGGGCCAGGTTGACCAGGTGCCTACAGGAGGCCCAGGTGGGGTAGGGGAGGTGAAGGCTGATCCTCAGCACTCTAGGAGCTCAGCAGGCCAGCAGGAGAGAGGACTCAGATGCACAAGAGTGGAAGAGCTGGGCAAGGAGCTTGGAGTCTGCAGCTCTGGTCACTAGGCCGGGCCATGCCTTGTGCAGGACACTCCCAGCCCCCCATGGAAGCTTTGTTCCATTTTACAGATGGGGAGGCTGAGTGTGGAGAGGCTGGGGAGCAGCTCTAGGTGGGGTGGGGGGAATACGCGAGGAGCTAGCTCAGTGCCTGCCTTAGAGCAATGTTCAGGAGCTGAAGCCGTAATCCCACCCCGATTAAGCTCAGAGGAGGAGCAGGGACAGGCGCAGGCCGGGACTTCAGGGGCTTCAGAGGAAAGGAGAGGGCACCCTCCTTTTGGGTAGGGGGTACCTGGAGGCAGAGCTGGGAGGGCCACCAAGTCTCCTTCGCCTGTCAGAGAGGCCCTATGGCCCTGCCTCCGGAATGCACTCCCAGGAGATAGGTGGCCCTGCAGTGACCACAGTGGCCGCTGCCATTTTCCAGTGGCCGCCATCTGCCCTCACCTTCTCAATGTCCTCCAGGGTGCGGTAGTACTTGGCCTCGGTCTCCTGGATCTCCAGCAGGCAGCAGTTCCTCTTGTCATCTTCAGTCATGCCCATTTTCTAGAGGAGGGAAGGGGGAGTCAGCAGGACCCCATGGGCCCGGCCACCTGCCACCTGCACATCTGCACCGCGACACCCGGACACCTCCACAAAAGAGGACTCCTTGGGTTTGGCCACGAGGTCACTGAGTGTGCAGTGCTGCAGCCAGATGGGTGACAGAGAGGGCCAACCCCTTCCCATTCATTTTGCAGATGAAGAAACTGACGCACGGGGAGGGGATGTGACGTGGGGACAGTGCCAAGGAAGGCTTGGAGGCAGAGCCTTCTAGAATCCCAGGCTCCTACTCCTCTGATTCTGAATCTCGATTCTTCACCAGACTGGGGTGAGGGCCTCAGAAGCTACCCCCTCCAGCACAGGAGCAGGAGTGACTTGCTAAAACACCTACTGTGTGCATAAGTCCTCTCTACGTGGCAGACTGTGTGCTCGGCTCCATGCAGACCACATCCACCATTGCACATGTCAGTACAGCCACCTGCAGGCTGGACTCTTCCCCTGAGTGTCCACTGGTTTCTAGCCAGGGGGCCTGAGATGACCCCCCACCGCCAGCAGGGTCCCTGGAGCCTCCTCCAGAGCAGGGCCTGCCCCCACCTCTGGTGGAATGTGGCCGGGACAGGATTAGAGATTGCCTGGCCCATGGTCCAGGGTGAGGTGACAGGTGGGGTCACTGTGGGGCAGTGATGGATTTTCCCAACACTGTCTTTAAGGTTCTGTTAGGCTGGGTAAACCCCACCTGTCAGAAGGCTCTGGAGAAATGGTGCTGTGACCCACAGCGCTCGTGTCGGCCCTAAGACCATCATCATCCTCCAAGAAATCCCCAAGGGTCCGCTTGGGTCTGCCAGGCTGCAGGTCTCTAAGGCAACGTGCAAGATGGGGCTGTGGGTACAGGACCACGGGGGTGCCGAGGGTCTCTGATGCCTGAAGTCATGTGTGCCTGACCATGTCTTCCTGGGGGCAGGGTCCCGAGTTTTCTCAGAGAGGTCTGAGACCTCCCTGAAAGGTCAAGAAGACGGCGCAGGCAGGACGTCCCCAGCCTCCCCTTCCGGGCCACTCACCTGCATGTATCTAATCTGCAAGCGTGGAGAAAGAACCAGAAACAGCGCCGGTTAGCAGGGCCCACACTGTCCTGGCAAGCTGGGCCTGGGACATCAGGAACGCCACCCCACAACCAGCCAACAGACCCAAAGCCACATCACGGCCCCTCGTGCTGCCCAGCTGGGCAGGGCGATGGCTCATGGGCCAGAGCTCCCATAGCAGCCCCCTACCCAGGCTCAGGAAATGGCATCTGCCATCCTCTGGCTTCTTCTTCCTTTGGGGAAGTCACCATCTCTATTACCTTCCACTGGGGCTGTTCAGAGAGCTCCAGACATGACAGGGAAGGACATGGAGCAGCTGTTTTATCTCAGAGGACCCTGGCAGGAAGCAGGAACTGCCCCTTGCCCCCAGCCCCTGCCTGGATGGACTGGACAGCTCGAGACCAGCGGGACCAGCGCTGGGCATGAGGACACTGTGCAGAGCGGGACATAGGCAGCGCTGTTCCCCAGCCTGGCAGGTTCTGTGGACACTCCATGTCCTTTCACATGCGTTTTCTCAAAGAGGTCTGAGACCTTCAGAACCAGGGACAGCAGCGGGCTCCAGGGAGCACCCACTCTCACCAGGCATGGATGGGGGTCTCGAGAAAGAGAGCCTGCAGGATCCAGGGCCAGGATCCCCCACACAACCTCACAGGCAACGCAGCCACCTGCTGAAGTTTACCTGCAGGACGCCCAGCTTTCAAACAACTTGGGGAGTGAACTGGCCTTGACCAGTCAGAGCTCATTCCCAAGTCCAGACGGCTCGCCGGCCGCCTCGGGACCTCTCAGGCCAGCTCCGGGGAGGCGAGGGGAGCCCCCAGCAGCAGGGCCATGGCTCAGTCTTCCAGCCCTAACAGCTACCCAGCCAGGCTCCCCGGGAAGGCAAACTGGAGGCCCTGCTGCCTCCACAAAGGGCCACCATCCCTCGGGGGAGACCCCCCGGTTATGGCGGGGAACAAAACTCAGTCGAGACCCTTCGAGGACAAGCAGAGAAACCTGCTCTTAACAGTCAGTTTGGGGGCTGTGAGACCCCCAGCCCTGCACCTGCCTGTCTCTCCCAGCAGGATGCCAGCAGAGTGGGCAAGGCCTCTTTAGGGATTTGTTTCCCCAGCTTTCTGCTTCTCCACCACCAGCTGGTTACTCCCACACTAAAGGAAAACACTGAAATCAGCTTTCTGAGAAATTTCCTATTTCTTTGGGGGAAGCCAATGGCATCAAAAGCCTCCACGGTTGGCAAGTGGCATCTCACCCACTCTTGGGAGCCTGGGGGTCTGAGGGCCTGTGACCTGCCCTACCAGGTCCCTGTCTCCTCATTCCAGCTCCGCTGGATCCCCACCTTCCACATAGCAGCTGCTGGCAATAAACCCACGCGGAGCAAACTGGCGTCCGAGAGATTATTCGCCAGTGCCTGCTTGGAAATAAACATCCTCCAAACATAAAAGACGCACAGCTGGCTAATTGGGCCAATATTGGTCTCATCATTCTCCACACA
Source organism: Homo sapiens (assembly GCF_000001405.40). Lineage (NCBI taxonomy): Eukaryota > Metazoa > Chordata > Mammalia > Primates > Hominidae > Homo > Homo sapiens. Next base: position 133,811,701 of record NC_000009.12, read on the forward strand.
AAGGGGGAAAATGACGCGTGCTGTTAGACCATGCGCCAAGTTACTATCTTAAGGCTCCCTGGGCAGGAACAACTGAGGGGCCTGCAAGCCCTTGGAAGGAGAATCCCATGGCAACACGGGCGGGGGTCATGACCGTGGTGGTGTCATCTCTGGGCACCTGAGAACATCTCCATAGAGAGGAAGGGCACAGAGTGGACCAGGAGTCAGCCAGGGTTTCCAAGGATGCTCCTCAGAGGAGCTCCGTGGGGACTGGGAAGGACCAAGGGGTGCACCTCTGGACGTCCCCCTGCACCCAGAGCAGCTCCCCTTCGGTGGCTCAGACATGGGGACAGCTCGGTATTGTGTTAAGCAAGGGCCAGGCTGCTCTGCGAGGGAAGGGAGGGGAAGGGAGGGAGGAGCGGGGCAGGGCTCACCATGGGCTGCTGCACCTCCACCTTGATGATGTCCTCGTAGATGTCGTCCCCTCCATCCTCACACGGGACGCAGTCGTAGATGTCCTCCCCCAGGTCATGCTCGCTGCACAGGAGGAGGCGGGTTAGAGGGGAGGGGAGGCTCCCGCCACCCTGACCGGGGAGCCGCAGAGCACGAGGGTCCACGAGGGACGCAGGCGGCTGGGGCCACAGCGAGGTCACCTGCCCGGGCCTCAGTCTACAAAGTGGGGTGGGCCCCGCCTGCAGGGCGTCTGTGGGTGCGAACTGGGCAGCGTAAGGCGCATCCTCCAGTGCTCTGCCTGCTGCCTCCACTAGGTGCATTTCAGAGGGATCTGCCAGGACAAAGAACCCACTTCTCCAGCCCTTTGGTAAATGCTGGGGACGTAGGCCAGAGGTCCAGGGGCGGGACCCCTGCCTTCACCAGAATCTTCCCACCCCTACCTGACAGGAGCCCCCAGCTCCTGCCTCCAGAACAGAAGCCTCTCTCCCCTGGCCCAAGGCTGTGACCTGGAGACCTGAGTGCTTCCGGCTCAGCCCTGGCTCTTGCAGTCCTTGGATCCAAGGTGCAAAGTTTCCGGGTACATGGAGGGTGACCCGGAGTTTGTCATTTGCCTTCTGAAACCAGAGCCAAAGAAATTCCTACCAAAATCTAATACAATAAAGCTTTGTTTTAGCTCATGGTCCTACTCCAACAAGCCACCCCTCTGCCTGCAGGACTCAGCTCACGGGCCACCTCCTCCAAGACACCCACCAGGATCCCCACTTGGTCTGTGATCTGGACTCTTGCAGACGCTCGTGTACTCGATGCAGCTCCTTGGCTACATTTCCAGTGACTCTGTGAGTGGCAGCGGATGAGCCTGGCCCCTCCCCACACTGGGCTTCCTCAGCCCTCCTGATGCTCCACACCTGACCTGCTGGGGCTCAGCAAGTCTTTCACTGAATCAGCAACTGAGCCAATCCAACCACCCCCTGTTCCCACAGGCCCCGTTGGGGGCTCACTGCACCTGGGGGTGGAGGGGCAGGAGCTACCCCAGGCCCAGACAGGTTGTGTATTCAGTCCTGCAAGCCCTCACCCCTGCACAAGGACACATCTCACATCCCGGGCTCAAAGTGGGTGGCAAAGTTCACTGCTAGAAGGACGGAAATAAATGCAGAGCACCCCCTTCCATGGCCAGCACGCAGGGAGGCGAGGCAGGGACAGAAGCCGGGGCAGGAGCAATCCCTGCGGTACTCAGGAACGGGTTCCCCAGCCACGCTGTGTGCCACGGCCTCATCCCAAACCTCGCCTTTGAATATCAGCTGTCGCCTTTTAAGGCTTGGGTTGGGGAGGACCATTCAAGGTCTACTTGAGAGAGGGAGGGCCCGTGTGCATTCGAGGAAGGCCCTCAGCACCTTCCCTGGAGGACACGCTGCAATGCACAAGCCACACGGCGTCCGTCTGTGGGCAAAGCATCTGTGCCTCTCTAGAGGGGAAGCCGGGGGTGAGCCCAGCTCCTGCCTTGTGGAGCCTCCCGCAGGCAGGCGGGCAAAGGAGGCGGAGGAAGCTGTTGCTCCGGGTACTTCATTTTCTGCACCACTACAGTCGTGAGTGAGGTGGATGAAAGCCGGTCAGAGGAGCAAAGTTGGCAGAGGGCAGATGGCCCTGGGACAGACCAGACTGATCGAACCCTCCAACCAGCATTCAAAGAGCCACCGACCCATGGGCAAGCCCCTCTGTGTGCCAGCGCCTGTAGAAAAACAGTTATTCTCTTGGGCCTCACAGAATCCTTGGCGGTAACAGCACTGTGGCCATTGTGCAGATTAAAACAAACAAACTGAGGTTAAACAGCCAGCAAGGGGCAGGGCTGTGGCCCTCGCTCACTATCCTCTCCTCTCTCCCCACCCGCCCTCCACCATGAGAGGTCCATCTGGGTGTCGCTCAGCCGTGCGGGAGAACTGAAGCCGGGGTAAAGGCAGCCGTCAGACGGGTTGGGCCCACATTCTGGTGACAGAGGCTCCCCTGGGAACAGACATGAAGGCAGGAAGGGTGTTTGTGAGCTCACAGGTTTTCTTACTAACCCATCTCAAAGGTCCATCCCCAGCCAGGTCCGGCGACTGCCTTAGAAACTGCCACCAGCGATGACACAAATCACCTCCCCTGCCTCTCCAGATGCTGTCCCCAAGGACACAGCCCCCACCTCTCTGCCCGCCAGGCTACCAGGGATGCAGGCAAGTGACTGCAGGGGTTGTTCTCAGCGGCTGCCAGCCACCCCACGTTTCCGTCACGTGGCAGAGCGAGGCTGGCGGCAAAGCCTCTGTCGAAAACTCTTGACAGCTGGAGGCGAGGCGAGACAGGGAAGCTTCCAGGCTGCTGAACGAGACAACTCGAGGGCAGATGAGGCCACTCAGACTGTCTAGAGACAGACGTCAGCTTTTCTCCAACAGGCCAGGTGGAAGGAGGGGGGTTGGCCGTTAAATGCTGCAAGAGCTGATGACATGGATCAAAAACGGCTGCAAGCCGGACCTGGACAGGGGCCTGGAGATCGTCCCGTGCAGGGATGGCAAACGGCCACACTGTGGGGTGTCCCAACAGAGCCCAGGGCTCTCCCCCACCACTCAGGAGCCTGTTCATAAAGGCCCCCATGCCGCCCCCATCACAGGTCGACCAGAACCGGTTGCTGACGACATGCAACGTCTTTCCTCTCCCCCAGGAGCCCCAGGCTTGTCACAGTGCAGATGGGAAAGCCCAGCCCGGGCTGCTGCAGGTCTCTCAGATGCCATGGACACACATCCTTCACTCGTGCCTCCCACCGCAGTGGCCTTGCACTGCCATTTACTGAGGACTCTACGACGTGCCCGGCTCTGACAAGGCCTGAACGTATTCCGGGAAATACAGGATACGATCCACTGATCCCGGGATGGAAGAGGCACGAGCTCCATCTGGAGCCCAAACATATTAAGGAGGGAGAGAATAGGGAAGGCTGGGATGGTCAGAGTCTTCCTGAACAGATGAGACTCGAAGGATGCTTTGAAGCCCGGGTGGACCTAGAAAAGGGGTGTGGAAGGCAGAGTCCCCCGCCCGCCTCCCTCTTCCCTGGCCCCATCTTGAAGACAGAACTGTCACGCCCGGATCTAGGTACAAGTCCACGTCTGTGTAGCACCCGCTGCGTCTGAAGCTTGGTGAGAAATGCCAAGCATAGGGTTCTCATAATATTTTTGCTAAGCTTTTTAAGGATCAAAATACGCCCTTAGTGGTACCTTTCTGACAAGTGGCTACACCTGTGTCACTCATGCCCTCCCACACCATAGAGTATTTTCATCTCACCGGAGCTCCTGCCCTTCCCCATCAGTCTCCTTCCCGCCCCGAGCAACCACCCTTCTGACTGTTCTTCACCACAGACGAGCCTTGTCTGTAGAATGTCAACGGTGTTGTGCGTTAGATTTGTTTTTGTGCCTGGCTTCTTCCCCTCAACATTGGATCTTGTTTGAGACACATCCATTCTGACTTGCCCACATTTGCAGCTCATTCCTGTTTACTGCTGAGTACTAATCCACGGCATGAACAACAACGTGCTACCCATCTTCCTTCTTTATGGACATTTGGGTTGCCTCCAAGTTGTTGCTTATTGTGAATAAAAGCTGCTATATGAGCATTCAAGTTGTGTGTGTGCGTGTGTATGCACGCACGCCTGTGTGGTGGGTGGGGGGTTACACAGGCTTTCTTTTCCTTTGGAAACAAAATTCCACTAGGACTGGAACTCCTGGTCAAAGGGGAGGTCTAGACTCAACCTCATAAGCAGCTGACAAATGCTTTTCTAAAGTGGGTGCATTCTACACCCCCAGCCAGCAGCGCTCACCAGCCCCAGCTGCGCCACATCCTCATCAGCTTCTGCTGTTGCCGGTCTTTTTCCATTCAGCCCCCAGAGTGCGTGTGGAGTGAAACAGAACTGTGGTTCTATTTGGCACTTTCCTGATGGCTAACGCTGCTGAGGGGTCTCCTGCGTCCTTACTGTATACCTTCCTTTGTGAAGAGTCTGTTCAAGACTTTTGTCCATTTCTAAAAATTGGTTGTCTGTCTTCTTATTGAATTCGGTGAGTTCTTCACATATTCTGGATACTAGTCAGATATGTTTTGTGATTCTTCCCCCAGTCTCTAGCTTGGCTATTCACTTTCTTAATGATATTCAAGCATTCACCTTTAATTTAATAAAGCCTAATTTATCACCTTTCCTTAGTCGCATCCTGGCTCTGTCCTGTGTCCTAAGAAATCCTTGTGCCTTGTCTAAGAAATCTTTGCTGTCTTTCAATCACAATATATTTTCTTATCGGAACTTCATAGTTTTAGCCACTCTGTTTAGGTCTCTGATTTCATCTCAAGTTAATTTATGTGCGTGGTATGAAGTAGCAGGGTTCACTTTTTTCCCATAGGAATATCCACATGTTCCAGAACAATTTCTCAAAACGCCTCTTTTTCGAGCAGGGCATGGTGGCTCATGCCTGTCGTCCCAGCTACTAAGGAGGCTGAGGAAGGAGGATTGCTGGAGTCCAGGAGTTTGAGGCTGCAATAAGTTATGATCGTGCCACTGCACTCCAACCTGGGCGACAGAGTGAGACCCTGACTCTTAGAAAACAAACAAACAAACAAAAACCTTACCATTGGATTGCTTGGATCTCTGTCAGAAACCAATTGACCAAATAAGGGTGAGTCTATTTTGGAATAACTACTCTATTCCATCCATCTATTTGTCTATCTTTACACTAACACTTCTGTGTCTTGATACATTTCATAGAAACTCTTGAAATCACGTAATGTAAATCTAGCTTTGTTCTTCTACAAGACTGATTAAGCCATTCCAAGGTCCTCTGCATCTCCATGTAAACTTTACAACCGTCTTGTCAATTTTTTTAAAAATGTCTGCTGGGATCATGGTAGACACTGCATTGAGTCTACAGTGTAATTTGGGGAGAACTGCCATCTTAACGATAACATCTTCCAATCCATAAACATAGTATATACTTTATTTAAGTCTTCCTTAATTTCTCTCAGAAACATTTTGTAGTATTACGACAGAGGCTTTGGAATTTAGGAAGAATTGGGCCTTTTCTTTTTCAATGTTTATTCTGCTTCCTTCATTCTTCCTCTTCTGAGAGACTGCAATAATACCCGTGTTAGACGTCCTGACATCATCCCACACGTCTCAGGCTCTGTCCCTTCTTTCCAGGCTTCTTTCCTCCCTGTTATTTGAAGTGTGTAACTTCCAGCCTGGCGTGGTGGCGCACGCCTGTAATCCCAGCACTTTGGGAGGCCGAGGTGGGTGGATCACCTGAGGTCAGGAGTTCGAGGCCAGCCTGGCCAATATGGTGAAACCCCATCTCTACTAAAAATACTCGGGAGACTGAGACAGGAGAATTGTTTGAGCCTGGGAGGTGGAGCTTGCAGTGAGCTGAGATTGCACCACTGCACTCCAGCCTGGGAGACAAGAGTGAAACTCTGTCTCGAAAAAATAAAAAATAAAATAATAAAGTGCGTAACTTCCACCGTACTATCTTCAAGTTCAACGACTTTTCCCTCTGCCGTGTGCAACTTTTTAATCAAGCTGATCCAGCGAGTAGAGTGTTCATTTCAGATATCGTGCTTTTCAGTTTTAGCATTTCCATTTGCCACTTTTCAGTAGTTTCTATTTCCCTGCTGAGGCTCTTCATCCGCTCATTCATTTGTCGTACGTTTTCCTCTAAGTCCGTGACCGTATTTATAATAGCTGCTGTGATGGCTGATTTTGTATGTGAATTTGACTGGGCTAAGGACTACCCAGAGAGCTGGTGAAGCGTTATTTCTAGGTGTGTCTGTGAGGGGGTTTCCAGAAGAGATTGACATTTGAATCAGAAGACCAAGTAAAGATTTACCCTCACCAGTGCGGACAGGTGTCATCCAATCCATTGAGGGCCCACGTAGAACAAAAAAGGCAGAGGGCGGCCGGGCGCGGCGGCTCACGCCTGTAATCTCAGCACTTTGGGGGGCCGAGGTGGGCAGATCACGAGGTCAGGAGATCGAGACCATCCTGTCTAACATGATGAAAACCCGTCTCTACTAAAAAAATACAAAAAATTAGCCAGGCATGGTGGCGGGCACCTGAAGTCCCAGCTACTCAAGAGGCTGAGGCAGGAGAATGGCGTGAACCTGGGAGGCAGAGCTTGCAGTGAGGTGAGATCGCGCCACTGCACTCCAGCCTGGGTGACAAAGCAAGACTCCATCTCAAAAAAAAAAAAAAAAAAATGGGTGGACTTGCTCTCTTCTGAAGTTGAGACATCCACCGTCTCCTGCCCTCAGACATCGGAACTCCTCCTGGGTGTCAGATCTTCAGACTCCAGAACACACACCAGCACCTGCCCATCCCACACCAGGACTCAGGCCTTTGGCCTTGGGCTGACACATCACTGGCTCCCTGGTTCTCTGACCTTTGGACTCAGACTTAAGTTAAATCACTGGCTTTCCTGGGTCTCCAGCTTGCAGGCAGCATATGGCGGGACTTTCTGGCCTCCATAATTGCATAAGCCAATTCCCATAATAAATCCCCCCAGCCATCTACAGAGATCCCACTGGTTATGCTTCTTGGAAGCCACTAATTGCAACATCTGGGTCATCTGAGGGTTGGCTTCTATTGACTCTTCTTTTCTGAGCATGACTCACTTTCTCCTGTTTCTTGCGTTTGGTGATTTCTTTCTTGGACCCGAGATGCTATGAACGATACTCAGCCTCCCGAGTAGCTGGGATTACAGGCACTCACCATGATGCCCAGCTAATTGTTTTATTTTTCCTGGAGACGGGGTTTCACCATATTGGCCAGGCTGGTCTCGAACTCCTGGCCTCAAGCAATGTGCCTGCCTTGGCCTCCCAAAGTGCTGGGATTACAGGCATGAGCCACTGTGCCCAGCCACGCCTGTGTTGTTTTTCTTTCTTTAATCCATGACTACGAGGAACATTCCTTCACACGGGCTCATTCTTCATGCACCACTTCCCATTAACCTCTTGTCATTCGCCCGGGGCACCGAGGTTAAAAGTGAGCAACCTCACACCTGTAATCCCAGCACTTTGGGAGGCCGAGGTGGGCGGATCACGAGGTCAGGAGATCGAGACCATCCTGGCTAACACAGTGAAACCCCGTCTCTACTAAAAAATACAAAAAAAAAATTAGCCGGGCGTGGTGGCGGGTGCCTGTAGTCCCAGCTACTTGGGAGGCTGAGGCAGGAGAATGGCGTGAACCCAGGAGGTGGAGTTTGCAGAGAGCCGAGATCGCGTCACTGCACTCCAGCCTGGGCGACAGAGCGAGGCTCCGTCTCAAAAAAAAAAAAAGAGTGAGCAACCAAAAACACTAGAGGAGAAGCTGTGTTTGGGAATCTGTCTCTGGGACAGAATCATCTTAAACACGCAGACAACATCCCTTCTCTCCCTTCCATCCAATGTCAGTTATCCGAGCCTGTTGATACTGGGGGGGCGGAATCTGGGGTCACCCGGTTCTGCCTGCCACACCCTTAGGCTCCCTTCCTACCGGGCCCTCCTTGTGGAGCCCAGAGCACTGACCATCAGCCTGGCCACACGGATGGCACTTTTCATTCGTCCAAAGCGCTCTCCCAACCATCTGGATTCTGGTCAATGAACACTGGGAGAGATGGGTTCCTCTGTGTCATTTGAAATTCTAAAACAGTGGAACTGAAATTTCATGACACACATATTCTAAATGATGAGAGAGGGAGAAATAAAGGGAACGGTAAAGAAGTGGTTTTTCAAAAAATAAAATTAAATTAGGAAAATAAAATCAAACGTATTTGATAAAACAATGTTAATAATATAAACTTAGTAATTAAGATAAAAACCTACCAGATGTAATGGGTTTAACCAGTATTTCTCCTATGACCGATTCTGCATCAGAAATATGTTGGGTCCTTGGGACACAGGGGACAATGGCCATCTGTCCCAATGACCTCACAGTCCAAGTGGGGAGACTGACTAGGCAGCAGCTGCATCTGAATCCTGGCACCAGGAAATCTCCCAGGTACGGAACAGATCCTAGAGGCAGACACTACTGTGGTGTCACTTGGGGAAACAAGCTCTGCTCCCTAATAGCTCCTTTCCTTTGGCCATCACCGACGTGGAAATGCCACTGCTACCTGGCTTCTTGGCAAAGATGCCATCTCCATAAACAAGTTTCTTTTTCTTTTTCTTTTTTTTTTTTTTGAGACGGAGTCTCGCTGTCGCCCAGGCTGAAGTGCAGTGGCACTATCTCGGCTCACTGCAGGCTCTGCCTCCGGGGTTCACGCCTTTCTCCTGCCTCAGCCTCCCAAGTAGCTGGGACTACAGGTGCCCAGCACCACGCCCGGCTAATTTTTTTTGTATTTTTAGTAGAGACAGGGTTTCACTGTGTTAGCCAGGATGGTCTCAATCTCCTGACCTCGTGATCCGCCCGCCTCGGCCTCCCAAAGTGCTGGGATTACAGGCGTGAGCCACCGCGCCCGGCCTCCATAAACAAGTTTCTTGCACAGGGAGGTGACACACGGCCAGTCTCAGTCACCTGGAAGGCAGGTTCACTTACGTCATGACCAGCAGGCCCAGTGTACCTGAGGGCCACAGCTGTCCACTGGGAGGAAGAGGGAACCCTCAGGGGCTGGGCTGGAGGAGGGGTATACTATGAGACCCACTGAGGGGTCTGAAGTCTCCTGGGAGTACAGGGCAGTGACAGGGCAGGAGGGTCCCATTGTGCAAGGACCCTCACCTCAGCGTTCTCACTAGACATGAGCTTGACGAGAACTCAGCGAAGACGCGGCACACGGAACCAGAGCGCCAGCCCCACATGGCCCTCCACGCAATCCCACAGGGGAGGGGCCGGGCTGTCGTGCCTTCCCTCTGGACCCAGCCCACTCTCCCCCAGTCCTTGAAAAGCACCTCAAGGCCCTGCCACGTCTGCAAGTGGCTCTGGAATCTCCGTGGCACAATTACATCACTCTCCTGTGGCTCTGTGGCAGGCTGCTGTGTCACACACTGATCCTTTTCACATCAGTGTCTCGGCTAGAAAGAAGCGTGTGGAGGCTCCGTGTCATCAGAGGCTATACTTCGTGGAAAAACTCCACACCCATGCCACACCAGTGTCTGGTCCACAGAGCAGGCCAGTCCTCATCACTTCGGAACAGGCGGGCCGCAGTGGGTCTCTTGTTGGCAGGAACTTGACTGTCGCTCCTGAGCCCCTGGAGGGGAGGCAGCGAGGGAAACTAGGGTTGTCTTTGTAGCCCTTCCTGTTTCTAGCTCTGTAACTGCAACCAGGATAACCTAAGCTTCGGTTTCCCATCTGCAACAGGAGAGTGACAGTTCCAAGGATCAGCCATCATGTACAAGACCAGTAGAGGCTGAGCATACAGTAGGTGCTCAATAAGTGGGAGCATGGCCTATCACCCCAGAGGGCGAAAGGAGGGGCTCATTCAATGAGACGGCATTTAGCACAGGGGCCGGTCTCAACACATAGTGTGGTCAGCATTAAAAATGACAGATTTTTTAAAACCTAGGAGACTAAAAAGTTGGATGGGGGTTGGTGCTGCGTTAGTTCCTGCTCAGCTGTGTTGCTTTTGTGGGTTTCAGGGATCATTCTTCTCTGTCCAGTGGTCCATGAGGAGGCCCGAGATGGCCAGGCAGGAATGTGGAAGCCCAGACGTGAATGGGCCTCCACGGCCAGACCTGGGCCCCAGCCCAGCTCCCTCCACCCCAGGCCAGTGACCACCCCTCCTTCCTTCCTGCCCCGTCTCATCCTTTCACTCCTGCTGTTTTCTGGGAGTCAGCTGCGCTGACAGATGCTAAATCCCGACCATTATTTTTGTCCTCACAATAGCTTGAAATCTTCCAGGAGGGGCCCCGAGCACGGCTGTAGCTCTCCAGGGACGGCAAAACCTGCCACCTTCACCTTCTGCCCGAGACCCTGAGGCCCCAGCCCAACAACCTCGCCCACCTGCCCCGATTCTGTTACAGAAAGGCAGCTGCTCAGAGGCCATTGCCCCCGCCGCCCACAGAAAATCAAAAGAAAACCAACAAACTCTGCTTTCTGCCCCTGGTGAGCCTGTGTGTTTACGGCGGACATAAAATAGTGTTGCTGACAGGCTGGGATGCGCCGCACTGGCCCCGGGCTGTCTGATGCTGCCAAGCAGGGTACCAAGCTGCCATTAGTGTGTTACTAGGAAACCGAGTCGGATGTTTCCTGACCTCCGTCCACACCTCAGGGTGCTTCATCCCCAGGGGACTGGGGTGGGGGCAGCAGAGAGAAGGCGCATCGAGCCTCTGAAGAAGCCGGCTGGGAACTGGATGGTGTGCATGTGGGGAAGGACGGACGGAGAGATAGACAGACAGACAGACAAGAACCGCTTTACACATCAGGGAGCTTGTTCTCACACGCCCTGGCAGACCCTCACCACGACCCATGAGGGAGGGAGGCCTTGCTTTTTCTACAGGTGGGGAAACCAGGGCTCAGAGAGGGCATGAGAGTCACCCAGCTCGCCAAGCCACATAGGCGGGTACCTGCACAGGCCCCAGCTACCAGATTCCCGGAAGGAGACCCGTCCACCGGACTGTCCCTCCTGGCCGTAACTCCCTCTTTTTGGGGGCTTCTTTCTAAGCAGTAAAAGAGCCTCCCACCATCTAAAAATATTCAGGAACCAAAAAAGAACAGCCCCTGGGCCAGGTCACAAGGACTAGGCCCAGGGGAATGTCCCGGGCCACAGCACAGGGTTTCATTTCCCCCTCTGCTATGTGAGGCATGCTGTGTGACCTCCGGCAAGTCACCTACCCTCTCTGAGCCTTAATTTGTGCAACTGCAAAATGGGGGCTGGAGCACCCACCTTGCAGAGTTGTGAGGGCTGAGATGAAGCGGCAAAGCCCAGGGCCTGGCTCTCAGGGGACAGGAGCAGGGATTGTCGAACAGCGTATGGACCTATGGCTCAGATCCTCCAGTATGGGAATCGTGAATGCTCTCGGGACCTCATTATCCCCAGCCCTTCCTCCTACCACAGTGAACCAGGCCCAGGCCTAGTTAGGTGTCCTCTCTGTGCTCTGCTCCTTTATGAATGACCCTTATGGAGCGTTTATCTCAGCAGTGAGAAACAGAAGCAGGAAGACAAGGGAAAGTTGGTGGCAGAGACTGTCCTGCTGTCCTTTCTAAGCATCTGGTGAAGGTGAACTTCAATTCAGCCTGGTAGGGTTGGGGGCTGCCTCTTAGAGAAGGTGACCTGTGGGTTGGGTTTTGTAGAATGAATAGGAGTTGGGCAATCGATATAGGAGATACTACGTACGTGATGGGACTTCTACAATAAAACCCAGCATGTGACGCTTGTTCATTTTAGAGCAATATTTCTTAAGTGCCACTGTGTGTCAGTCAGATCTACGCTGAATACAAGGGAAATAACGTCAAAAGGGAGAAGTCTTCCTCTTCCTGGAGTTCCAGAACAGCACGAGGAGGGCGATTTAGAGGGGGAGGGACCTTCATCAGACACAGCACAGCCCTCTCATTCGGGCCGAAGCCCAGCTGCCTACTCCTTCCTGGAAAATGGCAAGATGAATGCGTATGTCTTTAAAGCTGCCCTTCTGCGCCGGTCCCCTCCCTCTGCAGAGACTGCATTAAATGAGACCAGAGAGTTGCTGTGACCGAATCAGTCCTGAAAGCACTCGAGTTTAACGAGGTATTAAAAATGAAAACCCCTGGAAGTCCCAGGCCATACCTGCTCACACACACACGGGAATGCGGAGCGGGCAGGGTGGTCACGCGCACCTGCTCTGCGTGCGTCAGAGGGTTCCCCTGCGATCTCCCACTGAGAAGGAACAAACGGCCTCTCCCTCAGTGGTGGGGGTGGGGGAGCAGGGTTTCGAGGTCACTGAAGCCCCCAGCCACGTGGCAGCAGGGCCTCTGGAGACAGCTGGGGCCCACTGTGGTGCCAGAGTACCAAGGGGCCCACAAGATGTCCGAGGGGGGCAGGGAGGGTCCCTGAAAGTGTGGGGCTCTCATCCCAACGAGCTGCGGTCTCCACAGCCAGCCCCACAGGGAAGTGCTGATGGCTCTGTTAACAGGGAAGGTGCGGACAGGGAGCTCCCGCCCAGCAGTCCCACAGCCACCTCCCGACGGGGACTGGGCTTGTCTAGACCACAGGAGCGAGAAAGGCTGGACTGCCTACAGAGGATCCCCACCGAGCCAGGTCCACCAGCCCTCAGTTCCCGAGAACAGACACAGCAGAGACCAGGACCCTCCTAAAACCCCAGCCCAAAACGGCCCTCAGTTCCCGAGAACAGACATAGAAGAGACCCAGCCAGGACACTCTTAAAACCCCAGCCCAAAACAAGGTAGTGACTGGCCTGGCACAGGGGGTAAGAGCAGGTTTCCTAAATCACACTTTGGCAAATCCTACGCACTCTTCAAAATGAACACCTCCTCCAGGAAGGCTTCCTGCCCTCCTGGCTTGTCAGGGTCTGCCCCCAGAGGCTGCTGCCTGGACAGCACATGTGGGAGGTAGAGGAACCTCGAGTGAGAAGTGCAGGGGCCCACAACGGGGTCCCAGGTCCCAGGTCTGTGGGGCAGGGAGGGCTCCTTTAGCCACCCCTGGGGTTAGGGAGGGGTGGTCTGACAATGACCCTTGGAGAGACAGAGCTGGGCTCAAATTGCAGCTCTGCCCCCTAGTTCTGTACGACTCTGACCAGGTGCCTTCCTCTCTCAGAGCCCCGTCTCCTTCCTGTCCAGCGAGAGGGCTCAGGGCCCGGCCTGCAGCGCTCAGGGAGATGCAACTGGAAGCGTCTTGACAGAGGGACCCTCCGGGGACGCTGGCTTCATTCACTCCATTCTGCCAGTCCCCACAGAGGCCTGGCCTCACAGAGTCACACCGAGGAGCAAGAGACCCTTGGCAGCATTTGAGGGAGCCACATGCGGCCAAGGAGAAGCCCAGGTGGGGCCGAGCACGCAGTCTTAAAGGGTCTGTTGTGCAAATGAGGCACCACGGCCAGTGGGGAGGCAGCTCCAAGGAGACAATGCCACGGTCCAGCCAGGTGTCCTTGTCGATGAAGGACCTGGGGTGGGGGGGCGGGGGACAAAGGCCTTTCTGTCCCGGCCATCACCCGCCTTAAGAAACGCCCCGTCTTCCGTCTCTCCAGTCTCCCCTCCATCCCCACACGAGCCTCGGGCCACCAGGGAGGGACGGGGGGATGCCTGTCAACACCTCCTCTGGGGAAGGGGGCTTCATTCCGGCCTCCTTCAGACCAGGGCAGGCTTTGCATGTGCCTGGGGCCGGGGGCTGTCTAACAGGGCTGGATTCATTTGCTTGTTTCTCGTGGGGCCGTTTTCGTGGAGTCTGCTTTCAAACTTGTCCCCTTTGGAAAAACAATCCTCTGGGGTGAACATAAGGTGTCCCAAACCCAGCCTCTCCCAGCTCAACTCGGGCTCCACACTCAGGCGTCCTCCACAACGCGGACCTCCCAGAGTGAAGATGAACATACATGAGCTCAGGAGATGGTATCTAAACAAACTTCCTCTGGGAGAGGTGGGCAGGGTGAGGACAACGGCGGGGAGGGTGGGCCATAGAGGACAGCGGTTTGTTCCTCACTCCTTGTACCCCTGCAGACAAAGGGCACAGCACAGAGTGGCCAAGGCCCCAGGGCAGGATCCAATGGGAGAAGCACGGCCTCTCCCCTCCCAGGTCGCCGCCAGCAGGCAGCTCCCACTCACTCCCCATGTAGAAAGAAGACGTCCAAACCTCCTCGACACCAGAAACTCCTTCTACATTTTATGCACCCTAAAAAATTATCCCAATGATGCTAACATGACACATTTAAAGCTGCACAGTCATTTTATGATGCAATAAAGCATGCAGCTCTACATTCGCGGATACATTACATTCCCTGCCGTGTCACGATCACATTTGTTTAAGCCTGAAAATCACTTCAACTCCCAGGAAAGTGAAACCAGTGTTATGCAAAGCAGGCTCCTAAATCATAAAATTGTGGATTCCTCAAGCTCAGTGGGATTCACAGACCATCTGGGCAGATGCTTTCGTTTCAGAGACTGGGAAACTGAGGCCCTGTGTGGCATTTAACTTGCCCAGAGAAGCAGCCCCTTGAAAGGAAAGGAAAGGCCAGCTAGACCTTGGGCCCTGGTGACCCGCCACACTAAAGCAGCCAGCAGCTGCAGCCTCACATCCAAGCCCTCGCCCAGAGCCCTGGCCCCAGAATCTCCCTCCCCGCTCGCACTCAGGGGCAGCTCTCCCTTCAAGGATGCTCCTGCTCAGATGCTCTCTGGGGAGAAGCCAGGAGGACACGCGGTTCCTGACAGAGCCTGGCTGTGTCTAGGATCACTCCCTCCTCATGCAGCCACCGGAGTGGCGGGGTGCCTTCCCACAGCAGCCTGTGAGGTTGCAGGACCCTGCTCTGCAGACAAGGATGCTCCTGGTGGGGCATGTTTACCAGCTGGCTGTCAGACATCTAGCAGCACACTCTGGGAAGAGGCTCCAGGTCCAACCACCCCTCCCCCAGCCACCTAGGATGAAGCGGTGGCTAAATAAAGCTTGGTCTCATGTCCATGTCCTTCCTTTGGCCTCTCTTCTGCCCTGAGTGGGAGCTTTCAAATTTCTCCCGTGTCCCTTCAATTCCCCTAAGAATTCTCGGGGACCTCTGACCTGCCGGCACCACGGGAGGGAGGGCAGAGGCAGGCGGCCTGGCCCTGCTGGGGACTGGGGTGTGCAGCCTACTTCACAGACAGGCAAGGGCAACCCTGCCACAGCGGCACCAGTGTCCTCGCAAGACGCACTCATCACGGCGCTCTGTGGCACCCAATCCGGGTGCCCTTTCCAAATCCTCCTCCATCAAGGCCTGGAAGCATTCCCAGGGCCCCCCACAGACTGCAGCGGACCACGCCCAGCCTCAGTGAACAGAAAATGGGAACTAGGAACGCTGGCTGCAGTGCCAGGAGGGGGACAGAGGGCCCCAGGACTCCAGGCCAGAGCAATCAGAGAGATGCTTCTTGAAGCTGGAAGGAAGAAGCCAATGTGCCACCTACCGCTGCGCCCACTGGGGCTGACCACTGAGCATGGGCATCGCCAGCTACTGCTGTGCCCACTGGGGCTGACCACTGAGCGGGGGCATCACCACCTACCGCTGCGCCCACTGAGGCTGACCACTGAGTGGGGGCATCGCCAGCTACTGCTGTGCCCACTGGGGCTGACCACTGAGCGGGGGCATCACCACCTACCGCTGCGCCCACTGGGGCTGACCACTGAGCACGGGCATCGCCAGCTACTGCTGTGCCCACTGAGGCTGACCACTGAGTGGGGGCATCACCACCTACCGCTGCGCCCACTGAGGCTGACCACTGAGTGGGGGCATCGCCAGCTACTGCTGTGCCCACTGGGGCTGACCACTGAGCACGGGCATCGCCAGCTACCGCTGCGCCCACTGGGGCTGACCACTGAGCACGGGCATCGCCAGCTACTGCTGTGCCCACTGAGGCTGACCACTGAGTGGGGGCATCACCACCTACCGCTGCGCCCACTGGGGCTGACCACTGAGCACGGGCATCGCCAGCTACCGCTGCGCCCACTGGGGCTGACCACTGAGCACGGGCATCACCACCTACCGCTGCGCCCACTGGGGCTGACCACTGAGCACGGGCATCACCACCTACCGCTGCGCCCACTGGGGCTGACCACTGAGTGGGGGCATCACCACCTACCGCTGCGCCCACTGAGGCTGACCACTGAGTGGGGGCATCGCCAGCTACTGCTGTGCCCACTGGGGCTGACCACTGAGCGGGGGCATCACCACCTACCGCTGCGCCCACTGGGGCTGACCACTGAGCACGGGCATCACCACCTACCGCTGCGCCCACTGGGGCTGACCACTGAGTGGGGGCATCACCACCTACCGCTGCGCCCACTGAGGCTGACCACTGAGTGGGGGCATCGCCAGCTACTGCTGTGCCCACTGGGGCTGACCACTGAGCGGGGGCATCACCACCTACCGCTGCGCCCACTGAGGCTGACCACTGAGCACGGGCATCGCCAGCTACTGCTGTGCCCACTGAGGCTGACCACTGAGTGGGGGCATCACCACCTACCGCTGCGCCCACTGGGGCTGACCACTGAGCACGGGCATCGCCAGCTACCGCTGCGCCCACTGGGGCTGACCACTGAGTGGGGGCATCACCACCTACCGCTGCGCCCACTGGGGCTGACCACTGAGCACGGGCATCACCACCTACCGCTGCGCCCACTGGGGCTGACCACTGAGTGGGGGCATCACCACCTACCGCTGCGCCCACTGGGGCTGACCACTGACCACGGGCATCGCCAGCTACCGCTGCGCCCACTGGGGCTGACCACTGAGCACGGGCATCGCCGGCATGCGGCCACCTTCCTGGACACCCAGCAGTGCTGCCCCCTGCAGCCAGCACAGGCTGACCCAAGGTGTCCTTCTACCGTGCGGAGAAACACTGTCACTGCAGTGCCACCAAGTTGGGGTCACAGCAGGCATTTCGACGTGGGCCCTGTGCCTTCCTGAGGGAGAGGTGATCCTCCCTGTGAGTCCCCGGGGAACTTCCACAATTCTGATTCGTTACAAACACCAAGCCTTGTCCCACAATAGCACAATACGCTGGACTTGCGCTGGAACAACCCTCAGCCACACCTCCAGATGGGGAGCCCCACCTTGCCCTCCAGCCTCGCCTTCCACACCCTGCACAACTCCTCCTGCTGGGATAGTGCCCCGGTCTTCAGCAAACTCCTCCTTGGGTGCTGAGGCCCAGCTGTCACCTCTTCTGAGGAGGCCCGGCTGTCACCTCTTCTGAGAAGCTTTCCTTGCTTTCTGACCCAGCACTCCGCCAGCCCCACTCTGCTCCCACAGCCAACCATCTTGTGCATGTCACTCTTCTGTGTACAAACCTGCCTCTGGACCCCAGGCTGGGAGCCCCCCAGTGCAGGCATCTAGCCCTGGGCCCCCAAGAGTTGGGCAGGAACGAAAAGGGAAGCGCAGTGCCTGCCAAGGAAAAGCCATTATGCAAATGCAAGGTACTGATTATTAGAGCAATTTAAAAACAGGCCCTCCATTTGGGCTTATTTTGCTTGATAAAGCATTTTTAAGTGGCAATATTTTGTGTTAATTTTTTCAACCAGCTGCTCTTATTATTTGATTATGCATTATTCAAAGCTCTCAAAAGCGAGCTTAGAGCACTTGAGAAAATAACTTCAGTGTTATACGTGCCCACACAGGGGACTGGCTCCAGCTCCCAGAAAGATGTTCTGGATCTAAGACCTGTGCTACCCGGCACAGAGCCACTGGCCACGTGTGGCTGTCCGGCTCACAACATGACAAGCTGCAGTGACCTGCGCCCAAGTGCGAGCTCCATAAGCCAGATCAGAGGACTCAGCGCAAGCACCACAAAACGTAGGCTGCCCAAGGATGATCTGTGACACTGATCACAAGGTGACCCAGATAATATTTTGAATATGCTGGGTTAACTATAACATACATTTTTTTTTTTAAGAGATGAGGTCTTGCTCTGTCGCTCAGGCTGGAGTGCAGTGACAGGATCTATGTTGCCCAGGCTGGTCTCGAACTTCTGGCCTCAAGCAATCCCAAAGTGAAGTGCTGGGATTACAGGTGTAAGCCACTATGCCCAGCCTATAAAATACATTCTTATGATTAATTTCGTTTGTCCCTTCTTATTTTTTGACGTGGCTCCGCTGTAATCCCACCACACTGCCCTGAAACTGTCCTTCGGCTTCCACACTCCCCATGGGGCCTGGGTCTTGGGAGGCAGGAAATGTGTCTTCATCTTAATATGTTTCCAGCTCCTGGTTCCAAGCCTGACACACAGAGAGTGTTTAGGAACCAGCTGACGATGGAATGAACGATGATCGTGTGAATGAATGAAAGCACACAGGCACTCACACGGTGCCCCTCGCTGGTGTCCTAAAACCACATTTGCAGGTTCCCTGGGAGACAAGCTGCATCTGTGAGCCAGTCTTTGACTTTCCCCAAACAGCTGCAGAGTGTCTGGGGTCTGGGCAGTCAGCGGAGTCCTTTAGACATTCAAGGTGACCTTCATGTTGGGCATCTGGCTATGGGCCCAAAGCAAAGAACAGGTGCGTTCTGCTCCAAATGTCCCTTCCTTCTCCTCACTCCTGTGCCTGGTGATATGGTCTGGCTGTGTCCCCACCCAAATCTCATCTTGAACTGTAGTTCCCATAATCCCCATGTGCTGTGGGAGGGACCTGGAAGGAGGTCATTGAATCATGGAGGCGGTGACCCTCGTATCGCTCATACCATTCTCATGATAGTGAGTGAGTTCTCACGAGATCTGATGGTTTTATAAGGGGCTTTCCTCCTTTTGCTCTGCCCTTCTTGCTGCTGCCATGTGAAGAAAAGCGTGTTTGCTTCCCCTTCCACCATGACTATAAGTTTCCTGGGGCCTCCCCAGTCCGGTGGAACTGAGTCAACTAAACCTCTTTCCTTTACAATTCAAGCAATCTTTAAACTGTAATACTAATAGACCTGGCTTCTGATTAGACCATTTCCCCAGCTCCAGCTTTGAAAATTCACAACTACATTACCTCCCCAAGTAGGATCCAGGTAAGAAATGGCATGCGCTTGTGTCTTGTAAATTGCCATAATGGCTAAATATCCACACCAAGTCCACAGAGAAAGGATAGGAAATCTTGCCTTTCAGTGAAAGGAGGAGGGGGAAAAACAACATAAAAAATTTATTAAACTTGAGCCACTGGGACCAAATTGCAAGTTAAAGATTCAAATGCATTCCCCTTCCTTAGAACTGATGATTTACGTTTGCAATAACTGCAGTCATAAAGAGCTCGTTGGATTAAGGAGGCTCAGTCTTAATGTCAGGGAATAACATTATTGGACAGTGCAAAGCCACAGGTTCCCCAGAGCTGCTTTTCTGGGTGAGAGGAATTCCACCTTGCATTTTGGTTCAAGAGATCAGTCACAATCAGGACGGGCAGAGAAAGATGGAAAATGGGCAACTGGCCGGGCACGGTGGCTCACGCCTGTAATCTCAGCACTATGGGAGGCCGAGGCAGGTGGATCACCTGAGGTCAGGAGCCCAAGACCAGCCTGGCCAACACGGTGAAACCTTGTCTCTACTAAAAATACAAAAATTAGCCGGGCGTGGTGGTGCATGCCTGTAATCCCAGCTACTGGGGAGGCTGAGGCAGGAAAATCACTTGAACCCTGGAGGTGGAGGTTGCAGTGAGCTGAGATCGCGCCACTGCACTCCAGCCTGGGTGACAAGAGCAAAACTCCATCTCAAAAAAAGAAAAAAAAAAAATGAAAAAGAAAATGGGCAACCTGGGATCTAGCCTGACTCTCCAGGCAGAAATCCTCTAAACTGAATGTGCACTATAAACCAGCAGGGGCAGGCCTGGCCATGTGGGGGCTGTAGTTCAGGAAGTGTCCTGGGCTGAACACCCAGGAGGCTCCTACGGAGTGGGCATTTCATGTCAGTCCCTGGCCACATAAGGCCGATGTGGGCCCCATCGTCCCGGAGCCCTCCTGTGCTGACTGTCCAGAAACGCTGAGGCATGTTTCTGGAGAGCACAGAATCCCAACCTCAGGCTGGTAACTTAGGAGAAATAGCAGGTCAGAAACTTGCCCTCACACCGGCCAGGAGCTCCCCAGGCTCTGGGGGGCACAGGCTCTGTGTGGTGGGGGGCTAGGGTTAAATCATGGCTCTGCCACTTACTAGCTGGGTGACATGGGCCAGTGGTGTCCCCTCTCTGGACCTCAGTTTCCTTATCTGTAAAATGAGGACAACCACAGAACAGACCTCACAGAGCAATTGAGGGTGGGGGATTTGAGGGAATGAAGCCCAGCAGTGCCCAGCCCCAAAAAAGCTCGTAAGCACCGCCCACTGTTGCTGTCATTGTCCTGTGGGTACAGGCATCCTACCATGTGCAGAAGGCTTGCCCTGCTAGGGCTGGACCAGGAGAGGACAGGAAGAAGGTGCAGGGTCTGACCCTCTGATAGGCAGGGGACAGGCATTTAACCCCCTAATCACCGTGCACCCCTTGGGCAGCCCAGAGACCCAACAGAGGCATGGGTGCTGAGGGGGCGCTGGCCAGGATGGAGCAGCTTCACACAGTGGGAGACACCTTGGCCTGGATGTGGCAGAGAAGGATTTCCAAGGCAAGGAATGCCAGGAAGGGTACAGGGGGGTATGTTCCAACTCTGAGCATAGCAAGTAGGGTGGCTGCAGACTCTGCTGGGGGTTGGGGCCTTATCCCTAAGGGACTTCCCTCTGGCCATGCCACCAGCCAGAAGCCCTGCCCTCTCTGAGCCTCAGTTTCCTCCCCCCTTACAGGGTTGAGATGGACAGTCCCTCAGTCAGTCTCAGAAGCCTGCATGCTGGAGTGAGCTGTTTTTGGAATTTTCTTTTTTTTTTTTACCCCAGACGGAGTTTCACTCTTGTCGCCCAGGCTGGAGTGCAGTGGCGCAATCTTGGCTCACTGTAACCTCCGCCTCCTGAGTTCAAGTGATTCTCCTGCCTCAGCCTCCCAAGTAGCTGGGATTACAGGTGCCCACCATTACATCTGGCTAATTTTTGTATTTTTAGTAGAGACAGGGTTTCACCATGTTGGCCAGACTGGTCTCCGACTCCTGACCTCAGGTGATCCGCCCGCCTCAGCCTCCCCAAAAAATGCTGGGATTCCAGGAGTGAGCAGTTTTTTTTTGAATTTTTGAAGTCTCCCTCAGATTCCTGAGGCTGGTCAGGGTGGACAGTGGCCTCCAGGTGGGCGCCCCAGGCCTGGCTGTGACCTGCATGGCCCCTGTGCCCATCTCTCCCCTTTAAGATGCTCTACAACCCTCAGACCCACGTGGGGCCGACCGGATGTCCAGAGGAGCTCTGGGAGTCTGGCCAGTGGGATTTGCCAAGGACCCCGTGGCCAGCCCAGCATCAAAGGGATGGGCTGGTGGCAGCTACTCCAGCTGGTGGGTGAGGAATTTCTTTCACAGAAGTGCATGAGACTGGGCCGCCAGCGTGGTGCCACATGCTGATATGGGGATGACTTGAATTGTGTATATACACAGGGATCCTGCGGAAAGTATTTTCCTGGGCCCTGCAAGCTAAAGGCAGCCCTGGATGTGGGCTGAGCAGTAAGACAGGGACAGCCCCAGCATACACAGCAGGCACTCCCATACACGCAGCTCCCCCTCTTACTCCTCTCCCGGTTGTCATTCTCAGTCTGTGCTCTAAAACGAAGGGAGAGAGAAACACTAAGAGTCTTCCAGAAGAAACCGTAGTTGAGCTAAGAACACACAAGCTGCTGTCAAACAGCTCCAGAGGCCCCCAGGCAGCAAGGATGCCCGAAGGCACCATCTCCCGGTGGCCTGGGAGGGTGGTGGATGAGCCAGGCCGTGAGGCCCCAGCAAGGATGCTCGGTCTCAGCCCAGGTCCCTCACCTGCAGGTGAGGCCCCTTCCTCCTACCCTCCTACCTCCCTCCTCCTGGAGCGGGCCACGTGATCCCACCCTGGTCACAGATTCCCACGGTCCCGATGGGGCCCTGGTGCTGTGGCCAGGCTTGGGCAGCGCCTGGGTGGAGCAGAGGCCTCTCAGAGAGAGGAATGAGGTGGACACGGAGAAGAGCAGAGGCGGGTCCACCGAGGCAGGGCAGTGCCTGCCGGGCCACGTGTTAACCCCGAGCCCACACACTCCTGTGCCCTGAACCTGCGCTCCAGGCAGCACCGCTCCCTCCTCACAACACGGCATCCCAGGACCCGGCTTGGGGAGCATGGCCAGCCCCCTCTCTGCCCCACAGCTTCGCAGAGACAAGCCCTCATGGAGGACCCTGCTAGGGCAATGGGCCAACACCCGGGCCAGCCATTAGACTGGCTGGGCAGCCTTCTAGAATGTACAAGGGATATGAAGATCTGCTCATGTCTGAGGTCTCTCAGATGCATGCCTTCCCACTCAGCACGGAAGCCCACACCATGACCCATCATGAGGAGATGCCCCGGTGGGAAGGGCCAGGGCCAGCTCTGCCTGCACTGTGGCCGCCATGTTTCCTCCTGACTCCCTGGACACCACCAGGAACCTCCCTGCCCCTCCCTCCTCTCCATCCCTCCTCCCATCCCCCCGCCTTACTCGGCCAGCTCCTCCAGGCTGCGGTAGACGTCATCGTCATTCTCTGTGGTCTCCTCTGAGGGAAAAGGCCTGCGGAAGAGAAGGCGAGAGGGAGGTGAGCAGGTCCCGGCACTGCCGGCCAGTGGGACCCCAGCTGGACCCCACAGCAGAGCCCAGTGTGGCCCAGCCAGGAGCAAAGGGGCTCTTGTCCACTCTCTGGAAGGACACAGGGTGCGCGGACACTGATCGGAGTCACAGGACGAGCCAACTGGGCCATAGGGCAAGAGGAGACCCATGCCTACTTGCCAGGGGGCAAGGAATGTGTCACGCCCACTCCGGGCTCCGGGTGTCCAGTGGGAAGACGAGAGGCCCAGGTCAGGGCTGCAGAAAGCGTTCATCTGCTGGGCGACCTGCCTTCCCCTTTACCCACCCTCCCACTTCCAGGGGGTTCACAGTGGAGATGAGGCTCCTCGCACACCTCCTGGTGGGCAGGTGGGAGGGCTGCCAGCTCAGTCCACGCAGGAGAGGAAGCAGGAGGGGACTCCGGAAGGGAGGGGTGACTTCTGAGGCACTGAGGGTAGGGGCTCACCCACGCCACCCACCAGCCACTGGCTTGAGGTCAGGAAGAGAGTCCCGAAAATGAAAAGCCCTCGGACCTTCCGCCTGGATCCACAGCCTCCCCTCCTACAAAGGGAGCAGAAGCCCCATGGGGTCTCCCCAGAAGGAACGCGGCGGTGCTCCCCCACACTCCGCCCTCCAGATGCCCCAACCCTGGTGCCTTTCTGCAGTTCACGATGGTATAGAAATATATATATATATATAACACATAAACTTTAATCATCTGGGCTCTTCTTGAGTCTCATTTTTGTGGAACTGTCATGCATATGTACATAATTATAATTGTTTTTCTCCTGCTCATCTGTCTTATGTCAATTTAATTCATAAACCAGCTCAAGAACCTGGAGGGGTGGAAGGAAGCGCTTTTTCCTCCCCCAGGACCCAAAACATCACTCTGCTCCATCCTCTGCAGACAGACAGATGGGTGTGGCCCCGAGTCTACAGGCCTCCCTGCATAAGGCGAGCCCAGGCCAGCACAGGCCAACCACTCAGAGCTGAAATGTCAGGTCAGCCTCAGGAAGCGGGGAGAGGCGGAAGGGAGGGAGGGGTGGGGAGGGAGGAGAGGCAGGAGAGGCAGATCAAACACCCAGAAGAGGGGGCTGCAGCTGGCTCAACGCTATGGGCCAAATCCACTCATCTCTAGAGGAGACACGAAAGGCCCCTTAATTAAACCAAACAGCCCCCTGTAGCCCCAGGGTGCGTGTTCTGGTAGGAAACCTGTCACTAAGGATGGGACGGGAGATCCCAGCTGGAGGGGCTGCCCGGGCCCAGATGCCAGCTGGGATTGCTTCCTTGCCTGGGGTCAGGCTGACATTTGCTCAGCCCGAGATCCAGCAGGGACGCGCGGTCCGTCCCGGCAGCCCCGCCCCAACCGGAGGCCGGGGACCTGTGCTCCTGCGGGAGGGCAGGGGGGAGTCCGCTGATCTGTGAGCTGGAAACCTGGGTCCTACCTGGCTCTGTCACAGACCTGCAGGGACTGGGCCATTGGTCAGCGTGCCCCTGTGGCTTCCTGGTAAAAGCCCGTGTCCAAGGGCGCAGCACGGCCAGGCCTGACCTCTGCATGGGTGAGCTCAGCTCTCTCCTCCCAGCCACTCTCCCTCCTTCCACCCATCACCATACAGCAGCATCCCCCAGTTGAGGTGTGTGTCCCTGGGTCACAGGCAGAGCTGAGGCTGCCACGACATCCTCACCATCAGGGCTCCGTTGCTGAGACAGTGCCATTTACGGCCAAGAAGCCCCTCAAGGAATCCATCTCCTCCCATGATATGCAGAGCCCCATGCCGACACAGATCCCGCCCAGGTGATGGGGGTGGGGCTGAGGAGCCACAACCTGGAGGGGACTGGCCCACACGCAGGTGACCCCAGAAAGCACAGGAGCACGTGGGGGGCCAGGAGCCAGGGAGGCTCTGCCAGGCTGAGATGTGACTTCAGGACCCAGAGATGGAGGCTTGAAACCCCGCTGCCAGGACCAGCCCTGGGCTGTCCCCGCTCCCGCACCAGCCCCTCGCTTACATGCAGCCATCCCTGTCTCCAACCTCGTCAGTCATTTCTGCTTTTTCTAAATTTTCAGTGATGATTGGTATGACTTCCATAATAAAGAAAAATAGAATCAAAATTCTCATTATGAAAATGTGTCCTCATCAAAAGTAAAAAAATTTTAAACCCCACTCATCTCCTATAAAAGTATGTTACATATAAAATGACATCATGGCAAAGTATTAATGTGCTTTCTCACGTAGAATGTAGAGAGGGAAGAGAAAATACCAAACTCCTGAGGTTGTGATCTTGTTCAAATCTGATCACAGAGTGTGGGCGACAGTTTAGGGAAACAGGGCATCCCATCGAACCCTGGATTATCAACAGGACGGCCATTCGGGGACTGTACTTCTAGAACCCGCCCTGCTAAGCCGATCAAGAGATGCATTCACACTTTGTAAGGAAACCCACCCTAATGGTGAGTGAGCACACACGCGTGCCTCTCACTCTTCCTGTGCCCAGGCAGACATCACTCACCAATCAAAGCTCTCCTATCCCTGAAGCCCAGCGCAGGGTTCTTAACACAGGGCTCTACTCCTCCATCAGTCCTGGGACTCAGACAGAACCCACCTGCCCTGCCAGGAGAGCTGAGCCCGGGGCAGCGAAGGAGAGGAAAGGCTTTGGAGTTGGGCAAACCCAGGTGTGAACCCTAGGCCCACAGCCTGCTCCCTGTGACTTTGGACAACCTACTTAACCTCTCTGAGTGTCAGCCTTCTCCTCCTGGAAAATGGAAGTAATAGTGCCTTCTCAGAGGTCTGCTGGGAAGAGCAGCTGTAGGATAGCAGAATGCTCTGTACTTAGGGGGGCCCAACAGTGGCAGCTGCGATTTAGTATTTCTAGTATCATTCTCACTCAGGGCACTTTCCACTGCCCAAGAAAACTGCCTTCTGATGCCTCGTTAGGGCCTAAGAGCCCCACTCGCCATGATGATTTTGGAATCTTGTTTCCTAACACAGAAAGTGAGTGCCCACTAAAATAAGGCACAACAGTCATTTCAAAACCTTTTGTCGGCCAGGCGCGGTGGCTCACACCTGTAATCCCAGGACTTTGGGAGGCCCGAGGCGGGCGGATCACCTGAGGTCAGAAGTTCGAGACCAACCTGACCAATACGGTGAAACCCCGTCTCTACTAAAAATACAAAAAAATTAGCCGGGCGCGGTGGTGGGCGCCTGTAATCCCAGCTACTCGGGAAGCTGAGGCAGGAGAATTGCTTGAACCCGGGAGGCGGAGGTTGCTGTGAGCCAAGATCGTGCCATTTCACTCCAGCCTGGGTCACAGAGTGAGACTCCATCTCAAAAAAAATAAATTAAAAAAAAAAAAAAAACCTTTTTAAAAACCTGACCTTGAGCTATGATTGTCGTAATTTTCCCTTTCCTGCATCTCATTTGGTGTCTTGTTCAACCCCTACTGTCATTTCCTTTACCTGCCCAACCCAGAGGAGATAAAGCAGGAATGTTAAAGTCCAAAGAATTATACTGCTGCCCGTAAAATCTTTACTACTTTTATTCTAAGATCCCTATTTGAGGCCACAAATCCCCTTGAGAATGGAGCTGCAAATCCAATTAATTTCTGCCACAGCCCAACAAAAGCTCTGCCAGAAGGGGAAGAGCAGGAGAGGGAGGCAGCCTGTCAGGGACCGTGCACGGCCTCAGCGCCTGGCCGCTGGCGCAGGAATATGCAGGAGAATAGAGGAGGCTTCACCAGGCCCCAGTCCCCTTTCACTCCGCTCCCCCCACAGCCCTCCATGCCCATGCTACCTCTGGCCTTTGTACCTGCTCTGCTCTCTGCCTTTAGTCCCCCACCCTCCCACCATTCACCCAAGTGCTAGCATCCTTCAGGGCTGAATCCAAGCCCTACTGCATGTGGGAAGACTTGATCAGTCTCTCAGCTTGGGTCTGCCTCTGCCTAGCACAGTGCCTGGCGCTAGAAAGGCATGGATGAGTACATGGATGGATGAGTAGGTGGAGGATAGATGGCGGGGGGTGGATGGTTGGCTGGCTGGCTGAGTGGGTGCATGGATGTGTGGATGGATGAATGGATGGGTGGGTAAGTAGGTGGGTGGGTGGGTGGGTGGATGGGTGGATGGATGGATGGGTGGGTAAGTGGGTGGGTGGGTGGGTAGATGGATGGATGCATGCATGCATGCATGGGTGGGCGGGTGGGTGGGTGGCTAGATGGATGAATGGGTGGGTGGATGGATGGATGTATGGGTGTATGGGTAAGTGGGTAGGTGA
This sequence comes from Homo sapiens, assembly GCF_000001405.40. Lineage (NCBI taxonomy): Eukaryota > Metazoa > Chordata > Mammalia > Primates > Hominidae > Homo > Homo sapiens. The sequence goes on from NC_000009.12 coordinate 133,838,639, forward strand.
ATGTATAGATGGATGGATGGGTGGATGGAAGGACGAATGGATGGCTGAGTGGCTAGCTGGGTGGGTGGGTGGATTGATGGATGGGTGGGTGGATGAATGGGTGGGTGGATGAATGGATGGGTGGATGGAGGGATAAATGGATGGCTGAGTGCATGAGTGGGTGGGTAGATGGATGAATGGATAGGTTGGTGAGTGGGTTGGTGGATGGATGAATGGGTGGGTGGGTGGGTGGATGGATAGATGGGTGGGTGGGTGGATGGATGAATGAATGGATGTATGGATGGGTGGGTGGATGAATGGATGGATGGGGTGGGTGGGTAGGTGGGTGGGTGGATGGATGGATGAATGGATGGATGGGTGGGTAGATGGATGGATGGGTGGGTAGGTGGGTGGATGGATGAAAAGATGCATGAATGGATGGATGGGCGAGTGGTTGGATGAATGGCTAGGTGGGTGCATGGATGGATGGATGGATGGGTAGCTAGATGGGTAAATGGCTGGGTTGGTGGGATGGGTGGATGAGTGGTAGATGGGTGGGTGGGTAAGTAGGTAAGTGGAAGGATAGATAAATGGGTTGTCGGGTGGCTGGATTCATGGGTGCATGGATGCATGTCTGGAAGGACAGATGGATGAGAGAGTAGTTGGACTTTGTGGGCTGACAGACAGATGGATGAGTGGATGGATGAACAAATGAGTGGGTTGGTGGGTGGGATTAGTGGGTGCATGGATAAGTGGACAGAAAGGTGGGTGTCAGATATTCTCAGGCTGCTCTTAATCCCCTGAAATGGCAGCCTCAAATTAGATACGAGGAAGTTTTTTTTTTTTTTTTTGAGACGGAGTCTCACACTGTCACCCGGGCTGGAGTGCAATGGCATGATCTCGGCTCACTGCAACCTCTGCCTCCCGGGTTCAAGTGATTCCCCTGTCTCAGCCTCCAAGTAGCTGGGATTACAGGCGCCCACCCCGACGTCCAGCTAATTTTTTGTATTTTTAGTAGAGACAGGGTTTCACTATGGTGGCCATGCTGGTCTCAAACTCCTGACCTCGTGATCCGCCCGCCTCAGCCTCCCAAAGTGCTGGGATTACAGGCGTGAGCCACCATGCCCAGCCTACACGAGGAGGCATTTTCAAGGAGAGCTTGTAAGAGATCACACAGAGGTATTTAAGTCACCCCTCAGTAGGGACTTTGTAAACACTGACCTCGATTAAACAGTGTGACACACATTTGCACAGAGAATGTCTGAGCAGAGTTCCTGGGGCCACATCCCAGCTGTAACTTAAAGCCCAGTGGGGGTGGGTTGGGTGGAGACTCTGGTCATTTTGCAACAAGGCCTAGCTCCACCCCCCACTCCCCGCCCCCGAGGCCATCTTCAGGCACCAGCTGATTTTCCTTCCCGCACTTACCCCTAGCGTCCCCTACCCACACCTTGCCCTGTGGCGTTGCCTTGCTCGTTAAGAGCAGGGAATGAGAAGCAGAGAAGGCCAACCACAGCCTATCCAGAAGTTGTCCTGAGAGCAGTCATCCTGGCTCCCCAGGGGCGGCTGCATCCCTCTCCTCCCACCAGAGCCTTCCTGAGCATGCATTTCCTCGTGCCCGGCTTCGGGAAGCAGAGTTTCCCACTGCACCGCCGAGGGGACGAAGCAGATGTCCGCACAGGAAGCAGAGAAGCCCCAAGTGCTGAGTGCAGAGAAATCCCCAGCAGAGCCCGCGTTGGGCAGCAGCCCCTCCTCCCAAACGACCCATCCAATCCCACTCCCCAAGCTTCCTCAGCACCCACTCCCCACTCCTGCCCCTGAGCCACTGCTTGCTCAAGGAGCTCCCCCAGCCCCCAACAGGCCTTCCCCATGAGCTCAATTCTGGGCAGGACAATCACAGTCCCAGTGCTACAGCCAAATAAGTCACCAGCCAGAGGACACAGACCAGAAAACAGAACACCCTACAGGGGTGCCCAAACCCAAACCCCGAAGGAAGAGCAGAGGAAACACAGCTCCTGCTTCCAAAGAGCTCCTTCACTCTCCTCCCGTCCTTCCCCGGGGAATTACGGGGCACCTGCGTGGGGCTGGCATGGGCGGCCATTTGTCACTGATTCAGGGAGAAGGAACAGCTTGAATCTCGCTTTGGGATAATAAATCAGGCTCCTATCCTTGCCCTCAGGACTTCTGTGAAAATCTGCTAGAAACGATGGCGTCTGCAGGGCACCACCTGTGCCACTCACTGTGCCTACAGCTGCATGGTGGCCCCACAGTCCAGAGGGAGGGGCACATTGGACGCGCAGGGGTCTCCAAGCTGAGGGTAGCAAGCACAGGTCTGTCAGTGCAGACCCTCAGGATCTCAGCTAGAGGGACGACAGCTTGGGTTTGCTTTCTTGGAGGGCCCTGAGGAGCCGGCAGCCAGATTTGGTTTTTAAGACAAAGACCAGAGTAGCAAAGAGAGGACCCTAAACACAGCTGCCCTCCTTCCCAGGCAGGTAGCAGGTGCCTGGGTTCTAGGGGACGAGCCCGGACAGCTCACGCCTTACTGTGCTTCCATGAGGACTGTGGGGCCTCAAACGTGGGGTTCAATGGGGAGCACGACCGCTTGTTGGTGCTGATCTAAGATTTCACAACAGCAGCAGCTACAGGGAGAGAAGGCTGGGCCCCCACACCACCACCGCCCCAGGATCTGGCCAAGTGCTTCAAAACCATCTCGGATGCAGCACTGGGCCTGGTGACCCCATGTGGCAGCGAACTCCTCTGCATATTGAGTGGACTCCAGGGCTCCATCATGCAGAGCTCGTGGCCACTCCTGCAGCCCTGGAGTCCTGGCCCTGTTTCCCTGGGGACAACCACCACCTCAGAGCAGGGAAGCCCCTCTTGCCTCTTAAAGAGTGAATCCACCCAGCAGGTATGCAGCTCGTCCTGGAGTGAGTGTCCACAAACAGCCCTGCCCAGGGCCAACATGCAGCTCCCAGGCTCCGTCCCCAAACACCCAGAGATAACATCAGGGAGAAGCCACAGAACAGACCCCAGCACCTCAACTGTGCTCACTGGAGGGGAGACCTTGTGGGGAGAGCTAAGAGCAAGGCTTCTGCAGGTAATGGGTCTGGGTTCAAGCCCTGGCTCTGCCTGTCTCTGAGCCTCAGTTTCCCCAACTGCAGAATGGGGGCCGGTAGTAGCAATTGCTAAGACCAAGGGAGATGGTGCATAAGCCTCCTAGTGAGCATCCTGCATGTGCCAGCGTGGGTCTCTCCCCTTCCGCTTTCCACCAGCTCAGCCTGAGCCCACTCTGCCTCCAGAGCCAGCCGCAGTGGGACCAATTCCTGGATCACAATTGGAAAAGCGCCCCTCCCCACAGATGGTCCACCCGGCCCTGCCATGGCTCAGGCAGGGCACCCCACTGAGCACTTCCTCCCACAGTACATCTGAACAAGAACGCAGCCCTCAATGAACATTTGGATTCTGGAAGGTACTGACGATTGCAGAAGGTACAGAAATCAGTGCTTGGCTCATCCAGCCATCATGCACAGAGTCTAGGACAGTTTTTGTTTCCCACACTCTGCTGGCATCTCAGGTGAAGGATCCAGGGCTTGAGACAGTCCCTAATGCCTCCACTTGGCCGGTACAGAAAGAAAGTGGAACCCGACTCACAGAAGAGAAGGCCCCGCACGGTGACTGCCAAGGACCGTGTTCACCAGCAGTGTATCAGGGAGGCTGCTCCACGTGACCCTGGTGCTCCTCGCCCAGCCGGAGCACTCCGAGAGAACAGGCAGAGCCTCGAGTTACATCCTGGAGGGCGGGACTGGCTCACGGCCCTAAGGGAGCGCCCTCGGCCTCTGAGGCCAGGTGCGGCCAGCCCTGACATCTACTGTCCGGGTTTGCCCAGGACAGGGATTTCTTGGGATGCGGGACTTTTGATGCTGTAACTGGGACAAGTTGGCCACCCTAGTCTTGCAGATGGCAGACAACAGTGTTTCCATTTATGGTGCTGACACTATCGGGGGGTGGTGGGGGCCTGGCTAAGCCTCAGTTTCCAATTCTGAAACCAGCTTCAAAATCAGGCTTTGGGAGGGCCAGGTGCTGGCCTGGTACTGGAACACCACCAGGTGCAGTGGCATCTCACCCAGGCGGAGGCCATAGTGAGGAGAAAGAGAACAGCGCGGGCAGAGGGGTGGAGGGGCCATGGGACCCCACGCCCAGGGCATGGGAGCCGGGCCCTAGCCCTTTTGGCACTGTGTGCCGGGGAAACAGCAGCCAGGCAAACTTGAAAGGCACCATCAGGAAGCGCAGCGTGGAGGGCCCGCCAGACCCGTTTAATTATTGAGGGAGTCACCTGGGTGCCGCCTTCTAATTGGCAGGGAGGCCTTGAAGCACCAGGGCTTCGCTTATTAGAAACGGTTCTCCTGCTAAACAGCTCCAACTGTCAAAACAAGCCCAGGGATCACGTTTCTTTCCTCAGCGCGCCATCCCACCCAGCCCAGCAGGGCTATCACAATGGGAGGAGGCCAGGTCGAACCCGGCTTTCCACCCATGGCCACACCCGGCTCGGGGATGGCAGTGTCGGAGATGAGCCTGACACACCCAGCACGAAGGCAGCACAGGGCCGAGGGGTGCAGGGAGCACGCAGAGACAGCTCGGGGTGGCAGGGAGTCTGAACCTGGGGAAACCAGGAAGGGCTTCTCGCAGGTGGCGGCAAGGGAGCTGGTGTGAAGAGTAAAGTCTAATTTTGAGTTCAGAGCTCTGACTTTGTTTGGGTTTTTTTGGTATTTTTTTGTAGAGATGGGGTCTTGCTATACTGTCCAGGCTGGTCTCAAACTCTTGGCCTCACGCGATCCTCCCACCTTGGCCTCCCAGTGTTGGGATTACAGGTGGGAGGCACTGTACCTGGCCCAGAGTTCCAGCTTTGTATAAGACAGGCTAGAGTAGGAACCCTGGCCACAAACTCCTAGCTACAGGCTTGCTAAGGGCCCTACACCCCCTGGCCTCAGCTCACTCACTGTAATATTTGGACAAGCCACCTGCCTCAGATGTGGTATGTGAAGGAAGGAGGGGGAAGGTGATGATGGACATGGGCATGGTTTAGGGGCTGGAGCAGGCAGCCCGGGCAGGGGGTAGATGAAGACTCAAGTGCCAAGTGGGGCAGGAGTCTCACGGGGGTGGAGTCGAGAGTGACCAATGGGCTGGCCCGGTGTGGCCACCAGGGTCTGAAACCAAAGTCAGGATGGAAGTAGGAGGGTCTCTGTCCCATGGAGTGGCGGGTTGGAAGGTGGGGGCACTGAGGCACAACCACTGCCATAGCCCCGGCAGTGACCTTGACATCTGCCATGGCAGGTCCAGCGAGGTGGGGGTGTGGCCAGCTCCAAGGCCACCAGGGGAGATGGTGAATACACCAGAGCCCCAGAGGAGAGACCCCACGTGACCCCCAATCCAGCGAGGCTGTTTCTGCCCCTGTTTCCAGAACCTCGGCAAGGCAGAGGAAGACACGGATCTCACAGGCGGAAAGAAATGCTCGGTCCCCTGCCCCCTCTACTTTGTCTGGGAGAGGAAGGGGCCTGGCGTGGCTGCTGATTACAGAGGAATGTGACTTCTCAGCAGCTGTAAGGCATAATATATATTTTTATTTTCCAACACGCTTCTCGTAAGGGAACCTCGGCTGGCACCGGTTTGGAAGGAAATGGCCAGTGGTCCACAGGGTGTCCTTCCCCGGTGAGCATGCAGAGCCCCCGAAGCTACTCTGCCTTTCACTCCATGCCAGCCCTCTTCCCAGGGAACACCTGCCCAGGCTTGGCAGGAAACCCCCTGGACAAACACTTAGGATTTGTCCATCAGAGAACGGGGCTGAGGGAGGAGGCTCTAGGACAGGGGCGTTGCGGCCCACAGGCCAGCAGGGGCTTTCCAGGGCTGAGGCCTGCACCCCCAGTCCCTGGCACGGCTGCTCCACCCAGCTGCCAGGTCAGGCCTCTGTGCATCTCACTTCTGCAAACCCAAAGCTACACACACTCCCTGCAGACACAGGACAGGGATCAGGATGCTTCCAAACTGGGCACTGATGGGCCAGAGCCCCCAGCTGTCCTCTGGCCTTGGCCTGGGGACCCTCGGCCGAGCTCAGTCATGCTGGGCAGAGAAAGGTGGACAGAGTGACTAATGAGGACTATGGCACAGGAACGCAGACACGACAGGTCTGATTCACGAGGAGGAAACTGAGGCAAGGCTTGGGTCTGCCCAAGCTTCCAGACTCCAGGCCTGCAGGTCAGCACTCTCTGTGCCCGACGGTGCCCATGAGGGCCCCAGACAGCTCCCGGGTTCCTCAGCAGCCCCAACCAGGACAGCTCTGAGATCCTCCTGTGAACATGGAACGCTCTGTCAGCTACTGGAAACACCGTTCCTTTTTTTTACCTCTCCCTGAACACAGCAGTTTCCTTCCCTGGGCCAGTGGAGGTCTGTTGCAGGAGGGCAGCACACAAACGGCTTCCTGAGCTTCCCCCGCTCTCGCGTCTGGCACAGTCGCCGGATCACACAAGCCAGGCTGGGCAGTTTTGGGTGGGCGGACATGGGCCACAGCGGCTTGTCTGCACGTGTGTCCCACCCTGGCCAGAGGCAGAAGCGTGGACGCGCTGGGCCAGGCCGGGGACTGAATCCACGGGCTGGATGGCAGGGGCTCTGGTCTGAGACCCAGGAGGAACAGCCCGCATGGCACGCCCAAGGCAACAAGTTTAAAATGCAGACCTTCCTCCAGCAAACACTCGGAAGCTGGGAGCTGCAGGCAGGATCCCTACTCGGAGAGCTGGGGTGGGAGGGCCAGAATGGGGGGCCGCACTGGGGGTTCTCTGCAACCACCAATCTGCTGTGTCACCTCAGGCGAGATCTCTCTCCTCTCTAGGCTGCCAAGGGGGACTGGGTGACGCAGCAGCTGAAGGCCCTCTTCCCCCTCCCTGCACTTCCTGCCGACTTGTCTGCTGGGAAATGAAGGGTCAGCTGGGTGGCCGAGGCCTTGGCAGTCTCCCTAGTGTGACGGGGCCTCACGTTGGAGGATCGGCTGTGACAGGGACAGCAACCCCAGGGCCTGTCTAGGAGCAGCCACTACCCTTCCATCCCCTGCCCATGGCAGGCATCACTAGTCAATCACAGTATTCTCTCTGAGTCCACTGGGATGGACACACTCCAGGTGGCTGATGGATTTATCAGCCCTGGTGAGACAGGGATGCCAGTCCCAGCAGAGAGCAGGTTTCCAGGAGAGCCCTGGTCAACCCTCCATTGTGGCATCAATTGACCGAGGTGGGGCCAGTCTCAGGAGTCCCAGGACAGCCTGGTCAAGCTGCTCCACAGACACCAGCCTCTGTCCATTGGTGGAGTCTTGGAGCAGGGTTGGGGGCACACCCACCCAGCTGAAAGGGCACAGTGGGGCCCCAATCTTTCCTCTACATTCACAGAGCAGGGGAAAGGGAAGGCCTCACAGGACGGAAGCTGTGCTGAAGCTCCCGATAGCCCCACAAGATGGGGTTCCGTCTCCATCCCAAAGAAGACACTGAGGCCCAGAGAGGTGAAGAAAGCTGCCCAAGGAGGCCAGCCAGAAAGTGGCAGAGGTGGGCTGGGAGCCAGGACCTCACACCACCTGGCCATGCCTCGGAGAGCAGCCCTGGGTCATCGCAAGGGACTGACCACACCAAAGGGCCTGGGTGTCACCCCTGGCACCTCCTGTCGGCACCTCCTGTTGGCTACCAGCCCCGCTCACCCTCTTCCTGCTATCCCGACCCACAACCCTCCGCCACTCCCACCTGGGCGTCCACAGCAGCCCCTCGGTGGCCCTGGCCTCCACTCTGGAGCCCCTTGAGGCCAGGCAGGGCCAGAGGAAGGGTCTGGACAAAATCTCAGAGGCCACTGCCCTGCTGGAACCCCCAGGGCTCCCCTCACACGTTGCTCCCTCCCCTGTCCAGCCCTGTCCCTGGCTGCCCTGGCCCCGGCCGCTCTCTATCCAGGGCCGCCAAGCAGTTCCCCAGGGCTTCTGCCTGGGCCTCCCTGTCCCAGACCTCCCCATGGCCATCAGGGCCCAGCCAGGGCATGGCCTCCTCAGTGAGGCGCACAGACCACTGCATCTGAGGGTTCCCACCTCACCCCATCCCTCTGCTGCCACCCTGAGACCGTGTCCCGGGAACTCTGGGCCTTGGAGGGGCTGCACACAGTAGGTGAACATGACTGGCCGACGGGCGGCAGGGATGAGAGGGAGCGACTTGTCCGCCCCAGTGATCGGGTCACCAGGCCACTGGGCAGGGGCTCCCAGCAAGCGTGAAGATGAGGATGGAGCCCCACTCTCCCACAGTAACCCCGAGGGGATGGGCTTGGCTGGGCTCCTTTGCAGCAGAGAACTGGGCTTTGACCCTGTGGGTGGTGCCAGCCGTGGGCCTGAAGGCGGCCCTGGGTGGGATGGGGCTGGGCGAGGGCCAGCTGTCCAGGCCCCCAACTACCCACCTTGGAGCCTCAGGCCTACAGCCTTAAGTTCCAATCAGAACTGGCCATGCCTCACCTCTGCCTTCCTGGGATACCTGTTCCATCCAAACCCTCCCTGCTCCCAAAATGCCAGATCCCCAACCTGGAGCGACGTGCAGGGTTCCCATCCTGCAGCTGCCCCCTCCCACCAAGTGGGTGCTCAGGGAAGGGAGGATCCAAGAACAAAATTCTCCAAATAGCAGAAAACCCAGGACCCCGCAGCCACCAACCCTAGCCGGGACCTTGCACCGCGCCTCAGCGTGAGCAGCCCCACCTCCGGGAGGGCTGAAACCTCGGTGCTGGACAGGGGTTGAGGCCTGCCTCAGTCTCCCCACCAGCAACCCTAAAGGGGCAGTGGAGCCTCTCCTGTCCCCAGGGTCAGCAGATGACGCATGAGGCTGGTTTTCTCAGCTGTCAGAGGCCAGTCCTACCAAGAACCGAACGGGAAGAGCCCGGACACCCTGGGCCAGGGGCTCCATGCCTAGATGAATACTGGGCCCGGAACCCTGGCCCCCTGACTCCCAGGCAGACCCCACTTGAGGACGTCAGATAAAGTTCCAGCCCCACGCTGCCCAACGGGTTGGCCCTGGGCTACAGGTGACCTCTCTGAGCCTCAACTTCCTCCTCTGCAAAATGGGGGCGAAAATCTCTGACTCCCAGGATCAAGGGGAACATTTAATGAGCTGACGCCTGGGAGGTGCTCAGCCCTGTGCACGCCTGGTCGTGGCTGCTATGATGGTGGGTGGACGGGGCAGCTCCAGAAGGGCCACAGTGACAGATGGGACACAGAGTGGCTTGCCAAAAACCGTGCTGATCACTAACAGGGAGGGAAAGAAGCAAGTCCAAGAGTCCACTTCAACAGCAATGGGTCTCCTCATGTAAAGATCCAAAACAATGGGCCAGACGCGGTAGCTCACGCCTGTAATCCCAGCACTTTGGGAGGCCGAGACGGGCGGATCACGAGGTCAGGAGATCGAGACCATCCTGGCTACCACGGTGAAACCCCGTCTCTACTAAAAATACAAAAAAAAATCAGCTGGGTGTAGTGGCGGGCGCCTGTAGTTCCAGCTACTCGGGAGGCTGAGGCAGGAGAATGGCGTGAACCCAGGAGGCGGAGCTTGCAGTGAGCCGAGATCGCGCCATTGCACTCCAGCCTGGGCGACTGAGTGAGACTCCGTCTCAAAAAAAAAAAAAAAAAAAAAAAAATCCAAAGCAATGAAGATGAAACGAAACAGTATTTGAATTTTGATAAAAGGGTAAACCCCAAATTTAGGATGGTGGTTACTTCCTGGCAGGCGCTGGAGTAGACGCAGCTCCTTTGTGTCCTAAGAGTTAGAAACTTCCAAGTTTCTTGTTCTTGGGTTGACTGGCCAGCTTGTGAGTGTTCAAAGTAATTACAAGTTAAATTAATGCATCAATAAAGATAATAGGGAAAGAGCGGAACAAAAGGCTGGAGAAAGCAACCAGCAAGGGCACCAGATGGCCGATCCCAGGGTTCCTTCCTCTCTTGTCGAAACGCCGCTAAGCGCTGCCTTCAAAACCAGGCCATGTGCTGGCAGGCACGGGCCCCTGGGAACATGCCTCACGTGGAGCCGGGCATCTTTGGGGAAAGAAAGCCATGGGCTGGGGGTGAGGCAGACAGCTCTGGGCCCAGGCAGGCTCCTGCGTCGTTCAGGCTCCCCTGAACTCCTGGCAGCCCATCCCATGGCAGCCTGGCACCGGCTGTGCAGTCACCCAGGCCCGTGTTTGGGTTTGTTTCCACCACAACCTGAATGTATGACCACAGTCCCCCAAGACACCACCATGCCAAGACGTCATCTTCTGTTCCGGGACATTCTTAATGATCTCACGTCTCATCTGCTTATGTATAAATCCCACCACAAAACATGATGTGTCTTTTCTTCTCAGTCTCTGAAAATGAGCCGATAATGTTACCCAGCTGCGCAGATACATTTTTAATGCTGACAGTTGCTGAAGAGGCGGCCTTGGTTTGTTTTGCTTGTTACAGAGTAAAACCATCTTCGCTCCCTAAAGGGAAGGACAGGAGTTGGAAAGGGCTTCACCTCATGCCAATGAGCAGGCACGGGACATTCCTCCCGCCCCGAACGCACCATGCTATTATACTTGGGACAGGGCACTGGGAAGGAGGAGGCCACTGACCCCGAAGGCTCACCCCTCATCCCTGCTACCTGGAGGGGTGTCCTTGAACCCCAAACCTCCCCCACCAGCTGCGGGCCTCCTCCTGGGCCGGGAGTTCTCGTGGATGCCAGGGCTACGTTAAGAAGCACTGGTTAGGGCTCGTGAGGATGCTGGTCCGGCCTCCAGGGAGTGCAGGCCTCCACCCCACAGGCAGGCTAGGCTGAGGAGGCGTGGCTGAGGGACCCCCTCCTGGACCCTGCGTCCCAGAGCTGGCTGTGAAGTGAAACCCATGTCCCTGCTGTGTTTGTGTCCTGGGGCTGCGTAACCAAGCACCATCGAATGGGGGCTTAAAACAACAGAAATTTCTTCTCTCCAGTTCTCCCAGTTCTGGAGGCCAGAAGCCTGAGATCCAGGTGCTGCAGAGCTGTGCTCCCTCTGGAGGCACTGGGGGAGGGTCCTTCCTGCCTCTTCCAGCTCAGGTGGGCTCCATGTGTTTCCTGGCTTATGGCTACATCATTCTAACCTCTGCCTCCCTCTTCACACGATCCTCTCCTCTTCTCCCTGTGTCTCTCCTCTGCGTGGTTCTTATAAGGACACTTGTCATTGGATTTAGGGCCCAACCAGGTAATTCAGGATGATCTCATCTAGAGGACCCTACTTTAATTACATTTGCAAAGACTCCTTTATCCAATACAGTCCCATTCACAAGTTCGGAGGGATACAGCTTTTGGGGAACACCATTCACCCCATACACCCCCTTCTCTCAGGCTTGTCTGGGATCTAGATGGAAAGCCAGGGGACCCGGATGCATGGTCCTCAGGCCTTACTTTGAGAACCACCTCTTGCGGCTGTGCCTCACTGGTTGGGTCCCTCACCACCAGCTCTGCCCATCAGGCCCACATGGGCCTCCATTTGTAGATGAGGGAACAAGCTCAGGGCTAAGGAACCTGGTGAGGGTCACACCAGGAGCAAGGATCCCAGCCGGGCCTCGAACCCAAGTCTCTCAACCTCAGGCCAGGCCCTTAACCCTGAGCCTCCGGGTCTGGGACCCACCACGCCCTACCCTGCTCTGCCCTGACCCAGGTACAGCTGCAGTGTGTTCACCTGCACGTGACCAGTGGCCCGGTGTCCACTCCCCACATGACCAGGCACATCCCAAGGCTGGCCAGCTCCTGCTATGTCCCAGCACCTGGCCCCGGGCCCAGCAGAACAAGGCACCAATAGAATGAGGAACGAATGAGGGAATGAGGGAACAAACAAATAAAGAAACAAATGGACGGCTATGGACTCCTTGGGCTGAGTATCAACATCATGAGACCTCAGGAAAGTGATGCTTTCTGGGCCTCAGTTTCCCCATCTGTAACGGGAGGGAATGAAAGATCCTTCTGGTATGAATGTGCCAGGCTCTAGGAGCTGAACACAGCCTCTGAAATGTGAGCCAGCAGGGCCCCGTGAGCCCACTGGGGTCACCTGGAGACACCTGCCAGGTCCCAGGACTTGCCCTGAATCCCTTTGTCTTCCCATCTCACTGCCCTGATGTGCCTCAGCCCAGGAGGAAGCTCACACCCTCAGGCTCTTCCTCAAACAGAGGGTTCTCTCATCTTGACACAAGTGACATTTGTCCACGAGGATCAGCCAATGGTGGGCAGGGTACCACCCTGCTGTCGACTGGCACACCTAGGATGTCCTCCCCCATCATGGTGCCATGAAGAACAAGCCCAAATTCCAGGCATCTGAGCTGCCCGAGTAGGCCTAGGGCAGGTGTGATGCTCTGGAGCTGAAAACTGGAGCAGACACACAACTGCTGAGGCACATTTTTCTCCAGCATCTTCTAAAACCACTTTCATGGACAGTCATGCCCCTGGGGCTCTGCGGGCTTTAGGGGATTCCTGAGTTCCGCTGCAGATGGTGCCACATGGCCTCCACCACGCACTCAGGAGACAACTTTGCAGCCATGTGTCGCATGGAAAGTCTGGTCACACGACCTCCTTTAACCCTTGCAGCCTTCCAGGTGGGTGCCGGGAGATCCCCATTTGCAGAGGAGGAACCTGAGGCACAGAGTGGCAGCTCCTCCTCCTCCTCCTGACTCTCAGCTTTTGGACCCACTGTGTGCCAGGCACTATACTGAGAACTTTACAGACATCATCTTTTGAATCCTCATAACAATCCAGTAACTCCAAAGGGCCGGTGAGGACACTGAGGTTCAGGGTGTAAGAAATTGATCCAGCATCTCATCAGCACCCGAGTGAACCAAGTCAGCTCATTCATCCACCCACATCATATTGTTCTGTGCCTACTATGTGCCTGGGAGCAGATGGGTCCTAACCTCACAACAGAGGTTGCAGCCTTAATGATTCTAGAGTACCACACTGAGACCAATCGCGTTATATTCATGTGAAATAGGGCAGAGCGAAATGGACAGAAGGGTGGATGGATGGATGGATGGATGGATGGATGGATGAGTGGATAAATGAATGGATGAATAGATGGGTGAATGAATGGGTGGATGGGTATATTGGGTGGATGCATGGATGGGTGGGTAAATAAATGGATGGGTGAATAAATGGATGGATGGATGGATGGATGGATGGATGGATGCACAAATGGGTGGATGGATGGATGGATAGGTGGGTGAATAAATGGATGGATGCATGGATGGATGGATGGATGGGTGGATGGATGGATGGATGGATGGATGGATGGATGGATGGATACATGGATGTATGGATGGAAGGATGGATGAATGGATGGACAGATGGATACATGGATGGATGGATGTGTGGTGGAAGGATGTATGGATGGATGGATGTATGGATGGATGGATAAATGAGTGACAGACGGGCTGATGAGTGGACAGATGGACAAACTGAAGAATGGATGGGTGGATGGGTGGCTTGATGGGTTGTAGGGTGCTTGAATGATGGGTGGGTGGGTAGATGTAGCGATGAGGGGACGGATGGACAGACTGATGAATAGACAGGGAGATGGGTGGCTTGGTGGGTGCGTGGATGGGTTGTAGGGTACCTGGATGGGTGGAAGGATGAAAGAATGGACAGGCAGATGGGTAGATATATACGTGGATAGATGATGAATGAATGGTAGATGGGTAGATAAGTGAGTAGACAGAAGAATAAAAAGAAGGAAGGAAAGAAGGCAGAGCAGAAGGGTGGGGGGAGTGCGGGGATGGGAAGGAGGGAGTGAGAGGAGAAAAGCAATAATAAAATCCATTAGATGAGCCAGAGAAGTATTCTCAGTGGGCAAATTGGCAGCTCAGCAAGTTCATCTGACAATGGCTGTGATGATCCGGGAGTGGAGCAAAGAGAGAAACTCAGCTGCATTTTGTCTTTTAAAGACAGACACAGGCAGATCCCTGCCCCACTGCAGAAGCTCAGGCTGGCTGTTCACGCCCCCCTGCCAGGCTGCCAGCCCTGCTTCTCCTGACCGTCTCCAGCAAGAGGGAGCTCATCTACACCAGCCACGCAGTAAACAGCCAGTTACTGTATTTCTGAACAAATGTGTCTCCTTTACACCATCATCCTCATGGTGGCAGCCGCAAAGAGGACACACCAGTGTTCCCTAGCCCTGCCACTCGGCTAGGGGTGCAGGGTGGGGGCACAGCCCCTGCTGACCCATTGGGCCCCCCCTGCCATTTCTGTGCTACACATAGACTCACCCCAGGTTGCACTGGCCAATGTGCACCATGCACTTCCCGTGTGCCAGGCCCAGAGAGTCACCCGATTCTCTCACTCAGTCCTTATGAAAACCCCACACACAAGATGCCATAGTCACCCTATTCACAGACGACATCCCAGGTCTAGGAGGTGGCAAGACTGGATTCCAGCCGCCAGCCACTCGGCTGTCAGGTAAAAGCCGTGGCAGGCCCAGGACAGCAGGAAGAGGTTCAAAGCCTTCTCCGTGGGGCCAGGTGCACACTCCTGGTGGCCAGTGGGCCAGGTTGTGGCTTTAGCACAGCAAAGGTCAGTGTTCTGCTGCCCCTGCAGATGTGGCCTCCCTCTACCCCAGGGCCACTCATTCCTTCCCAAGTGTGGGTCTCCAGTCAGCAAGCATGGGGAGAGGGTCCTCGGCCAAGAGAGGGTGGAAGGCTTGGTACAGAGCTGCCCCCAGGCTGAGCAGCAGCACTGGACACTAGGCCAGGTCTAGTGCATGGAAAAGGAATCCCTCAGGCACTGGGGAGGCCCTGCCCCAGCGGCCTCTGCTGACGCTTGCTTGTCCCCTCTCTGCACCATGAGTCCCACCCACCAGTGGCAACTCCCACAGGTGTGGCAGGTTCCATCTGACAAGCACCCAAAAGGCTAGAGCGGGGCAGGGAACGGCCAAGCGGAGTCTGCATCACCCTGCACTACAGCCAACCCACACATGCCGCCCCCCTTTGCTGCACCAAAGCGCTTCCCCACCCAGGGCCAGCTCTGTCACTAGCCTTGGCTGCCACATCAGCATTGGCATCCCTAAACCAAAAGAAACCAAGCCAGGCCTGAGTGCCCTGGGCTCTCCCTCCCCATGCCAACACTGCCCAGACAGGACAGCCGAGCACCCTCCCTTCACCTGTCCTCACCATGAGGAGCACCAGCCCTTGAGAACCTGCAACCAAGCCCCAGGGAGGATCCAAAACACTCTGGGTGCCTGCTGCTCCCGCTGGCATGATCCCTACATTCAGACTCAACTGTGGGAGATACTGGGATACAGAATGAGCAAGATCCAGGCCTGCCGGGAGCTCCCAGTGCAGAGATGGGTGTGGGCACATGAGCATATATACACACACGTGTGCACACACACACACCCATCTGCACATACACACACACTCCATGAACCTGCACACCTGCACATACACCCCCATCTGCACATGCACACACATACCCCTTGCACCTGCACACACACACCCCTTGCACCTGCACACACACATCTGCATATGCACACACACCCCATGTACCTGCACACACACAAATCTGCAATGCACACACACACCCATGTGCACCTGCACACATACATGCACTCATCTGCACACACACACGCACATACCCATATGCACACACACACACCCATGTGCACCTGCACACACACCCCCATGTGCACATGTACATACACACACGCGCACACCCATACACACGCACCATCTAACACAGTTTGTTCTGCCTAAACTTGGAGGCCCCAGCCATGGCTGGACGAATGCAAAAGAGGAGCAGTGGTGCGAATGAGGCAGTGACCATGCCAGGCCAGAGAACTGGGGCTGCCCACTGCTACTCCTCACTGAGTTGCCCTTGGCTTGTGCTACTGACCAGGGCAACAGAGGCCTGGGGTGTGGAAGAGGTGCCAGACTGATGGAGCAAGCCAGCTGGTGACTCGAGCCTACCCTTCAGAGAGCTGGCCGCTGTGACCAGAAGCAGGCTGGAGGGGGCCAGACCCCAGCCTCAAAGCCCAGCAATCCAAAGGTGGCCTCTTCTGACCTCCCCTCCCCAGGAAGGAGTTTAATGTCTTCCAATTACTCCCCTCCCACTCCCTATGCAGAGGAGGTTGAATCCATTATTGTAACGAAAGGAAAGAAAAGGAAAAAAAAGACTCTCCAATTAGGCTGGCCCAGGGACTCACATGTCATCCTGTCCCCTCACAGCAGACCCACTGAGGACAGGTGGCCAGGATGTTTGATGTCACCAGGTGGGACAATTAAACCCATCTTGCTGGCGGGATGAGCTGCTAAGCATATAATGACTGCCACCTTCCGTCCCCATCTCCTCTCAGCCCAATTACCTGGAATTAAGCAGGCAACACCAGATGGGAAAAGGGACACCAGCCCAGATGGAAGAAAAAGGGACACCAGCCCGGATGGAAGAGAGTGGAGAGAGCAGGGGATGCTGTGCCCAAGAGAGAAGGCTACAGGAGCCACAGCAATGTCTTCAAACACAGCAAAGACTCAGGGGAGAAGAGGCCGGGACTCGTGGGGCAGGACAAGGTGTTGGCGTGCGGACCCTTCACCTTGGCTCACAGTGTGCAGAGAGGATAGCACATTCGTTCACGGAGGTGTGGGAACTGCAGAGTCTGCCAAGGCCCATTCACGGAGCCTCCGGCTGAGATGTCTCACATGAGAGGTATTTGGTACCTTGTAGGTGATTTGGGAAGGCAAAACCAGGTTTGGGAGTGGAAGTCAAGGACGCAGCCCTCACCACTGCACAAACAGACTTTCTCATTATCAGGGCCAGCCAGCAAGGCACGGGGTTCCAGTGCTCTCCCGGCCACTGCAGGAGCAGAGGCTAAAAGGAAAGAACTCAGCAAGAGGCTGTCTCTGCAAGCTGCCTCCGTATCCCGGGAGGGCACCCGGCCTCTCCCTGCACGAGCCGCATCTTAGGTCTCGTTGCCCAGTGCTCCGGGATAAAGCCTGCCACCCGCCACCAGCTCCCCCCGCACATGGGAAGACCAAAAGGTGGGTCCTTGAAGCCATAAGGAAATGCGAGGTCACTGCTTCCAGTTCCTAATGCTTTGTCGTGCTTAGATTCAATACGGGTATGTCTGATATTCTGAGAATTCACTTCAAATTGAAGCAGGAAGTTCCAGCTTACTTCCATTTCTCTCACTCCAACCTCAGCCTGACCCCTGTCCCCTGCCTTGCAGCCGTCACAGCAATGCTAGTCACAGGAGCCAAAAGGTGGAAACAGGCCAGAGTTCATCACGTGATAAACGGATACGCAAAATATGGCCTAGCCACACACTGGAATGTTCCACGGCCATAAAGAGGAATGACGCAATGACCGGCTACGGCTGGGTGAACCTTGAAAACAAGATGCGGGGTGGGAGAAGCCACGTGCGAAAGGCACGCACCGTATGATTCCATGGACATGAAACATCCAGAACAGGCAAACAGAAAGCAGGCTGGGGGCTGCCTGAGGCTGGGGAGGGCGGTGACTGCTCATGGCGACCGGTTTCTTCCTGGGGTGTGAAGATGTTGTGAAAGCAGATAGAGGTGGTGGTTGCACAACATGGTGAAAGTACTAAATGCCACTGAATTGCGTACTTTACAAGGGTTACATTTATGTGATATGAATGTATTTCAATTTTTACAAGTCAGAAAGCAGAAGAGAGGGTGGCAGGGCTGGGCCAGGATGAGACAATCAAAGCCAGGAGCCCAGCCCAGTGAGGAGCCAGGGTTGAGCCCCAACCGGGTCCCCATGCTGGTATGTGCCCCCCACCGGGACCCCATGCTGGTATGTGCCCCCCACCGGGACCCCATGCTGGTATGTGCCCCCCACTGGGACCCCATGCTGATATGTGCCCAGACACGCCACATAGCTGGGCCTTCAGACAGCCTCCCAGCCAATCCAGGGGGCTCTGCTCCTGCTCTAACAGGTCACCAGAGAGTTGGAGAGTTGGTGGCTTCAAGCAACACAGACTCTTACAGTTCAGGGGGTCAGAAGTCTGAAGCGGGTCTTAGGGGCTGGCGTCAAGGTATCGAGGGGCTGGTCCCTTTCAGGAGGTGCCGGGGAGAATTTGTCCCTTACCTTTTCCAGCTTCCGAAGCTGCCTGCATTCCTGGGCCCACAGCCCCATCGCTCTAACTCTGCCGTCACATCTCCTTTTTCTGACTCTGACCTTCCTGCGTCCCTCTTAAAATTATGTGTATTTACATCTGCGAAAACCCTTTTCCTCGTCACACTCTCAGGGTTTGGGGGTTAGGACATCCACCTAGCAGCCGCGGGCCTTCCACAAGGACCAGGTGCTGCGCTGCACGATGCACAGACACAGAGCAACCCCGCGAGGCAGAGTCATGCTCCCAGCCTACAGAAGAGACAAAGGTTCCAAGAGCATCCCTGCCCAAGGTCATTTGGCTGACAGAAGCTTCCTTCATGGGACCTGACCTCCCAGCCTGAGGACACCTTTCGGTTTCCTTCTCAGGAAGTCCTACCCTTCACCATCTCCTCCCTCCCAGCCGTTCAGAGCTGTGATGACCCCAAATTAGGGCACCCCCAATCTGGAGGGCTAGCTCTGGCCACAGCAAGACCCACATCCCCACACGCCTCGCTGGGTGCCTTCCACAAACCCCTCTCCCACTCTACAACCACAATCCTCCCCCTTGCCCCGCTTCCCCAACACGTTTGATCCCCCAGCCGGCACCAGGGCGGGATTCTTAGATTAAGTCTCCAATTCATCAGCCTCTGAGAAGTATAATTGGGGCTTTTATGGAAAATCAGCTCATTATGCAAAGTGCAAGGGTTGTGAAAATGATTTTTTGAAGGAGCACGTTGGGCTCCTACCCAGCCATGAAATGAGGGAGAGATTCTTCAGGGCTGTGGGCTTGGCTTGTGGGTTTTCAAGAAGGAAAGGGTTGTGTTAAACTAGAACCTTTTGCTAATCACTAACACTACAAAACGCTCGAAATGAAATAGTGTCTTGTGAAGTGCTGGTGGCTGCCCCCAGAAGGTTCAATTCCCCATGGAAATCCCAGCCCATCCGGAGCAAGGTGGGACATTGCTCAGACGCAGCCACCAAGTGGGGCTGCCTGGGAGGGTTGCCTGTCACCTGTCTCCTGAGCTCCCGGGTGAGCGTGTGAACCAGTGGAGGTCTGCGCTCAACCCCAAGGGCTGCAGAGGGAAAGGACCCAGGAAAAGTCCCAGAGTGGGGCTCAGAGGAGGGAGGGTGGAGGAGAAGGGCAGGAAAGCCAGGCCCCGGGGAGGAGGGCCTGCAGAGGTCTTCCTGCAAAGCCTCGCTCTGCGCCCAGGAGGCCCTTCCCTTTGGCCTGCAAACACCTCCCCTTCGTCTCTCATGTCTGCCTATCCTGTGTGCAGAAAGGGGTAACTGAGCAGGCTTGGGGTGCTCAACCCCTCCACATGCCGAAGACAAGACTGGCTCTTGCTCAGCTCCTAGGAGATGACCTCTAACCTCTAAGCCCCGTAGTGTCTGCCAGATAGGCCCTCCGGATAAGAGCGTCTTTGTATACCTGAGGCGTTGGGCCACGCAGCGTATGCTCACAATGTGGTTTATGGTGGGGCTGTGGGCATGCAGGATCAGTGTGGCCTCTGCAGGCGCTGGGGATGGAGTAACTAAGGTCAGCCTCACAGGCATGCCCAACCCCACCGGCCACCAGTGAGGACCCGCACTCCAGGGCTTGGGTGGCAATGTTCTGTGGCTGTTGCCACACATGCCGACTGTCACACACCATTGCTGGGAGAACTGAGCACTATGCAGAAGGCTCTATGGGGAGGGGATAAATGGAAACCCACGCCCGATGTATCCTGGCTCCACCCCGGGGCCTTTTCCATTTGTTGATTTGACTCTAGATCTTTCTCTGCAACCATAATGGCTTCTCCTGGTGAATCTGAGAACCTGAGGATGGTCTTGGGGACCCCACACACACCCTGCTACTGTCACTGAGTGTGTTTACTGAGCCCTTCTCTGGGCCGAGCCCTGAGCCCTGGGATTTACAGGTCTCATCTCAATAAATCCGAGACGCCCCCAGTGTTTATCCTCATCTTGCAGATGTAAAAAGGGAGGCTCGGGGAGACATCTCCGGCATGAGGTCCACAGCTAAGCAGGACACAGACTTCAGAGCTGGGTCCACCGACATGCAGCCCTGGCTCGTCACACCTCCACTCGGGTCTCCTGTGGGGTGGCAGCCTTCAGGGCTGGGGTCTACAGTCCCAGTCCAGGGGGCCACTGTGCCCACATGCTGCCTGGGCAGTTCCCCGACCTGAGAGGGAAGAGGGCAGGTTTCCCTGTACATCTGCCAGCCCCAGGACCAGGGCCAGCAAGCAGGGCCAACCGACTGCTCTGCCCATCCTGGGAGGAGCGGCAGCGTGAAGCACCAGCAGCATCCTCTTGGGTTGGCTGGGTGGAGGGGCCAGAGACGTGGGGGACGGAGGGGGTGGCCCGGAGGGAGGGTGCCCACCCCGGGCCTCAAAGGGCCTCCCCATTCATCAATCAGCAGGACACACATGCAGGACAGATGCAGGGCCAGCCCTTTCCATGGTCCTCACCACCCCCGAAGCCACCAATGGGCTCCCGTTGCCACCTGTAAACCCCAAGGGAAACAGGCCCTCAGAGCTGCAGATGGGGCACCTCAGCCTCAGGAGGGCAGCGGCATCGAGAGCCTGACACGGGCACAGCTGGGACCCAGGACTGTGATCAAGGACTGTCTGCGGCAGGAGAGGGGATAGGGCTGTGGGCACCTGTGGCAGGACCACGCCAATGCCAAGCCGGGCCAATTGCCTCCCCAGGAACAGAATCAGGTCACTCGTCTGACGTGGGGTCTGCGGCACCAGGCCTCCAGTTTGGAAGAATGTCTAATGGATTTGGAGAAGAGATCAAAAGTCTAGTATTTTGTGCAGGAGCAATTAAAATGACTGATTTTTTGTTGCATGAATCTCTTTCCTGCCTAATATGTAAAAAAAACAAAACAAAACAAAACAAAAAAAAAACAGGCTGGGGAGTATAACCACGCCACTGACAGTACTGTATTGTCATGGGCTGGTGGAAAGGAGAAGGAACCATCATTTCTGGAAACAAAAACAAACAAAAAACACATAGTCTTTGTATCCAGAAATGATACTTTTAAAAACAATTAAACATGTTTTAAACGGTGCCTATTACAGACTTTGCACCAGCTGGAAAATAGCCTATGCACCTGGCGGAGGGACTGGTGGGGCCTCAGAGGCATTAGTTATCCTCTAGAAAGTACTCAGGGTGCTGGGCACCGGGGTTTTGACTGCTATTCTTTATGCCCCAAATGTGTTCTAAATATTCTTTTGTATGTGCTTAATATTTAATTTTAAGAGTCTATCCATGGCCGGGCGAGGTGGCTCACACCTGTAATCCCAGCACTTTGGGAGGCTGAGGTGGGCAGATCACCAGCTCAGGAGATCGAGACCATCCTGGCTAACATGGTGAAACCCTTTCTCTACTGAAAATACAAAAAATTAGCCGGGCGTGGTGGTGCGTGCCTGTAATCCCAGCTACTCAGGAGGCTGAGGCAGGAGAATGGTGTGAACCCGGGAGACGGAGGTTGCAGTGAGCCGAGATCGCGCCACTGCACTCCAGCCTGAGTGACAGAGTGAGACTCCAGCTCAAAAAAAAAAAAAAGTCTATCCTATATTTCACATTTTTTAAAAACCTCAATTCAAAGGAATTTCTGTGTCCTCTGAGAATCCAACAACGGAAGTCCCCGTGGGTTTAGGAACATTTACCCCTGCCCAGTGCCTCTGTGAACCTGAGCAAATGGCCCCCACCAAGGGGCAACTGCGCCACCCAAAAGCTCCAGTACCATCGTCCTGGGACCCCTCAGCCTGTAGTCATACACAGCATCCCCCACGGATCACATCAGGGTAAGGCCCCTTCCCAAAGTCAGGGCACCCTCATGATGTCACCTGTGCCCAGATGTGACCCCATCCTCGCTGCTCTCAGGCCAGGCTCTCTCTGCCATTCCAGCCTCTCCTTCTCACCCTGCTGGCCCCTGTCCTCCCAAGGGTCTCCCAGACACACGTCCCCACCCAATCAGGAACCTGGTCTCCCTGACCTCAATCTGTGGGTCAGAATCCACAGTGACCAGTTCTCATCTGGGGCTGTTCTCTCCTCTCACAGACGCCCAAGTGCCCCATCCAAGTGTCAGAAGCAGGAGGCCAGATCACAGGGGTCATGGGACCCTCTGAGGCTGAATTTTGCAGTCCAAGCAGAATAAACGGAGAGTGGAGAAATTCCTTGGCTTGGCTTGTCCAGTGCCCTGCACAGGGACCTGCAGCCCCTAAGCCAGGCAAGTCCACCATGCTCCGGCGCCATCCCTGCAAACAGACCCCAGCTACCTCATTCTCGGCACAGCCCCCGGTTCTGATGTGTGGAGAGTGCATTTAGGTAGGCAATGATCTGTGAAAGGATTAATTTGCTGATCTTATTACCTAAATCGAAAGAGATTTTGCAGCCGTCAGTAACATGCTTGCAAGATTTCCCCGGTGTGAGCTGAAGCCTCCCGCCCCCCACACCCCTTCCTGCAGCCGCCAACGGGTTACGCGACAACACGCTGCAAATGCATGATAAAGACACAGGCAGAGGGCATCTGCTTCCAACCCCAGTATCTGTGACAAGGCACGCTGGTGTCGATGGAGATGAAAGGACCCGGCCTTGGCAGCGCACTCCGGAGAGCTCACCTGATCCCTTTGTTCTGCGCGATGCTGTGCAGGGAGAGCCTCGACACCGCGGAGATGACCTGGGGGAGACAAGAAGAGACGCTCCTGTAATTTCACAAGAAACCAGAAAGGCATCACAGAACTGGGGACGCTGCTTTGCAGGACGTCGAGAACTGTTAACTGAGCACATCGCATCTGGGTAAGAAACACGGCATAGCGTTTTGTAGGCTAGACACTTGTTTTGTATTTGCTGAGCAAAACTTGTCATTTGGATGTGCTGGTATTTGCGGGGCACTGCTGCACTCCCGGCTCCTGTGGCCATGCTGCTAACAACTCCCAAGCTGCTTCTCACCCAGAAAGGGTCTGTTTTGTCAGGGGCTGCCAGAGGGCTTCACCGAGGCCACCTTTAAAGGGCTCACTCATCCCATGCTGCTGTTCTGCAAGGTACCATATTACTAAGTACAGCTCGTGTTCACAGTAGGTGCCAACACATTTCAGAGATGAGGAAATGGGAGCCCAGAGAGGTCAAGTGACCTGCCCAAAGTCACCCAGCAGCCAGGGCACCACCCACATGCAAATATCCCAGGGTGCTGCTTGCTTCCCTTCAAGCCCTCCCTTGCATGACATTTAAACAGATGCCTGGCTCCATGGAGGGCTCGGGATGCAGAAGGTCAAGAGCTCCAGGTGCACAGTGGCATGACGGGATCTCTCCTTGTCTCCCCTGGCCGGCAGACTGGTCAAGAGGAAGGTTTGGTGAGAAGCAGTAGCCGCTCCTCCTCCCTCTGCTCCCCCTAACCGGCCTGCCCCGTGATGTGGGCCTCCTCTGGATAGGCAGGACCCACCTGTCTCCTGGCATTGAAAGCCCAACACAGCCACTCCACAGATCTCCAAAGGGACAGGTGGCTAGCAGGCCGGAGACAGAGCAAGAGGCTCTGCAGATGAATACGGGGAACCCGCGGTGGGGGACAGGGAGCTGGCTGGCCCAGGGGCACAGGTTGTCACACACATGAGATGGGCGGGAAGCTGTCACAACTCACGGGGTGAATGGAGCTCCTGAGCGACAGACTCAGTCCCTGAGGAGGCAGGTGCGGCCTCGACATTGAAATCGCACCAAGTACATCTGTGAGTCCATGTGTGTGACAGCTCGCGTGTGTGGTCGTGTGTGCATGTTGCTTGTGCGTGCTACAAGTCTGTGTGCACTGCACGGCTGCGCAGCTGTATGTGCATGTGTGTACGTGTGTGTCTGGGGGTGGGCAACAAGAAAAGGCCCACGACGGCCACGTGCCGAATTCATAGACACCCTCCACTGGGTGCTGGCGTCATAGGAACGGAGCCCAGAGGGCGCTCTGTGTGCCGGACACCACACCAGGGAACCCCACGAGGCCATCCTGCGCTGCACATTTGCTAGACAGGAAAACCGAGGATCGGTCACTTGCCCAAAGCTCCCCAGCCAGATGCACTCCCCAGGCTTCCCTTCAGCCTGTTCCGCTTCCAGCAGCAATTTTCAAAAGGGGAAGAGGAAAGAAAATGAACCATAGAGACGGCGGGTTCGACCAAGGAGGCGGCGGCTGAGTGCTGCCTTCCTGTACGTGCTCGTGATTCGGGACCGGCGCTCAGGGAAGCTGGGGTCATGGAAGGACAGGGTCCTTCTGTGCTTCCTCACACAAGACTCGATGGGCCCATTATGCGGCCAGCCCAGCCGCACTCCCATGCTGATGCTACAAGGGGCCTTTCACAAGTAATGAGGAACTTGGCTCTGGAGTGTTTTTGGCTTTTAAGAGCTCTAAGCATTTAGGGAAAACAAAAATGAAAGCAATATTGCTGTACGTCCTTACAGTTATTTGGAAGAATGTTAGATCCCAAAGGGTTTGGCAACTACAGGGCACCCAAGCCCCCTCTCACACACCTCCTGCGGCAGACGTGGCTGATCAATCCCTCCGAGGAGCCGGGCGCAGGCCCAGAGCCCTCCTCCGTGGAGTCTAAGGAGGCACCAGCATTCGGTCAGCGCTGACACACAAGAACCTGTTTGTCAACCTGGAGTCAGCGCAAAGGCCCCAGGTCGGGTCGTACAGATGGAACCGGGTCGTACAGATGGAACCGGAGACAGAGAGGAGGCGTGGCGGGCGAGCCAGCCAAGGCCAGAACATGGTTCTCCTGCGTCCATGCATCTGTGGCCCCTGTGGACAATTTCTACAGCTGCTATGACCACAGCAGCCTCAGCCCCAAGCTTGGGGCGCTTTGCCCCAGGATGAACGTGTCACGAGCAGCTGATGAAGGGCTCTGGAGGGCCTGCAGCATCGATGGGGCAGCCCCTTCCATGGGTTCAGCATGGCCAGCTATGCTGGAGGAGCCCTGGCCCTCCATCGGCCTGAATTTCAGGCTTCCTAGCTGGCACTGGGGATGGGGGGAAGCTCAGAAGTCCACCACGGGGAACCACACTCCAGTGACCCAAAACCCAGGGCAGGGGCTGCTGGAGCAGACACCGGACCCCTGAGATAGCCATGGGGTCAGATGGGGCAAAGCCGGCCCCATGTGAAACCCACTGGCCTGAAAGGTTAGGAGCAGAAGTACCTCCCTGCAGGAGGAGGGATGCCCTACAGTAGCTCCCCAGGGCACCTCTGGCTGTGCCCACCCCACTCCCAGGACAGACAGAGAGCTGGGTGTCCCCAGGGGCCCGGCTCTCAGGCAATGATCAAACACCTCTTAGCCCACAGCCCCAGCCGACTCTTCCGATATCGCAAATGTCAAAGGATGACATTTTCCCTACTTTTATTACCTCGTCTGTTCCGAGTCCCAGTTAACAAACGAATGAAGACGCACAGCTGCATTTCCCTTCCTGCCTCCCTCCCTCTCCCGCAGACAGCCGCGGGGCAGGAGGAAAGGAATGTGTGTGTGCTGGGGACGAGGAACAGGGAGGAAAGACAAGAGGAATGATGTGCCACTCAAAACGACCAGGCATGCTGGGGAGCCCACCTGCACCGCCAGCTCCCAAAGCTTCAGGCCTCTGTGCCATTCACCAACGTCCAGGCCTCACCAGGCCACGCTTGGTGAGACTCACTGAGGAACGAGGTGGGGACTGGAGAGCTCAGAGGACAGGCTGTGGTGGTTGAGTCTGGATCCTGGATGGCAGCCCTGGCTCCATCCCCACCCAACCATGGCCTGCTCTGACCTCAGGTTCCAAGACACCGGCAGCCCGTCAGCCTCCACACAGCCACAGCACAACCTTTTAAAGGCGGCACTTTAAAAGACAGACCCTAGGTCCTACCCCCGCCACCCCACAGGCTCTGGGGCCTGGGAATCTGCATTTATAGTTCAGGGCCCATGTGGCTGGATATGCAGCCCGCTGGGGCCCTCTGTCCCCTAAGGACTGGCCAGACGGGTAACGCCACAGACTGGGTCAAAGCCTGCGGGAAGCCAGGAGCACGTCCCAATTGTCCACTTGTGGACTCCTCGCAGAGCCAGGGTCCCTGAAGCCCCTCCACAATGGACAGGGAAGCAGAGGGTTCAGGAAGGACACAGGAAAGGGCATGCGGTCTGTGAGCTCCTCCGGGGTAGGAACAAAGTTGGCTTTGCTGAATGATTTATCTCCAATGTCTTCAGGTTGTAGGCCCATCAGCTGTAACTCCACCTGAGAAACCTTTAGATCACAGTGACTGTAAATGCAAAGCTCTATGCTGCAGGTTCAGCAGAGGATAGGAAGCCTCAGTGCTCCCAGAGCCCAGGCACCGAAAACTCCACGTGATGGGTCCTTCCGCAAAAACACTTCGGCATTTTTACTTTACTGCACCAAGTTTCCAAACTGAGGACAGAGGTGCTGTGCTCACAGTATTTGCAACTTAAACATCCACAATCAAAACTCAAGACAGGGCCAGGAAGAAAAAGGAAACGTAGACTGCGGATTCACTGTAGGACAATCACCCAATCTTGCATGGCCTTCTGGAAAGAACCCAGATGTCTAGCTATTCACATGTGACCTCATCCCAGTCTCCACTGCCCCTTCTGCACTTTCCCTCTGCATCTTCTGCCTCACTTCTTTTTCACACCTCCTGTAACTTCATTCCTCTGTGCTGTATTCTTAGTGACTTCCTCGGTTCTGTCTTCTGATTCATTAATTCTCCCTTCGGCTCCACCTAGACTACTGTTTAAGACACATACTGAGTTTTTCATTTCAACAATCTCAATTTTCATTTTGAGAATTTCTATTTAGTTCTTTTCTCAAATTCCATCTGTTCTTTTTGTCTTGCTTGTTTGCTCATCATTTTCTCTTCTTTTCTTTTGCATTCTGTTCCTTTTTTCCGAGAATAGAAATTCTCTCTCATCGACTGCATCTGCTAGCCCCCTCCCACATGCTGATTTGTTTCTTTTTGAGCACCAGCTGGCTAGTCTGGTAAACATACATATATTCACAGATTATATGTATTGTGTATAAACACACGTATATATTGTTCTATGCTGTAAGTGCATCCTCAGTGGGAATTGTTTTCCATGGGTGGAGGGAGCCCCCAGGCTCTGAGAGACATAACTATGAGGGCTCTCCTGGTTTCCCCTGGCTTTCAGGCCCCACTCCATGCCTGGTGCCAAAGCAGGGTGTATCCTGCCAGAGACTGTTTCCCTGCCCAGCCTGGGATGGTCAGCTGCTTCTGTGTGCCAGGGTACAGCTCTCTGGTCCCCATTCCATGGCTCTCTCAGCCTTCCTGGCTCAGCTCTCTGCACTGCCTCCATTCCATCTCCCTCACCTCCACCATGATGCAACCCCCGCTGTTAGGGCCCAAGCCCTAGGGTGGGCCTGGTTCCAGGCCCCCCAGGGGGTGGGTGGGGAGCCAAGCTGGCCTGGCTCCTCTTTCTGTCTTTGACATCCCTCTTGGTTTCTGACAATTGAGGATTTCCCTTTCTAGTTCTAAGCCTAGTAATCATGTTTTAGTTTGCATTATTTCATTTAAAGAGGGATTCTACGTGTTGGGGGGAGGGGAGGAGCCCACGCTCACTGGACCACTGTGTTTTGTAGAAATCCCTACGCCTTCTGCAGAGCAGGAACTCACAAGAACCTCCAAGCAAAACAGCCGTCAAATCACCATGAGCCTGCAGCCCATCGGTGGGAGTGAGGACACGCCTACTCAACATCAGTCAGTGTGGGGGCAACTGCGCTGCGATGATTTTAAAGAGGAGCCTGGCCAGGCGCGGTGGCTCACGCCTGTAATCCCAGCACTTTGGGAGACCAAGGTGGGCAGATCACTCGAGGTCAGGAGTTTGAGACCAGCCTGGCCAACATGGTGAAACCCCATCTCTATTAGGAATACAAAAAAATTAGCCGGGCGTGGTGGCACATGCCTGTAGTTCCAGCTACCTGGGAGGCTGAGGCAGGAGAATGGCTTGAACCCAGGACGTGGAGGTTCCAGTGGGCCGAGATTGCACCACTGCACTCCAACCTGGGCAACAGAGCAAGACTCCGTCTCAAAAAAAAAAAAAAAAAGAGGAGCCTGCCAATTTTGCCATTATGATGACAGATGATGGGGTGGTGTCTGTTTAGCACATGTCACAGGGTGGCAGCGTGGGGCAGTGACATGGAAGCGGGAACTCCGGGCCGCACAAGTTCAGGTTCGAATGTCAGCCTCCCCCTCGGAGCTGGGGCAAACTCTCAGCCTCCCTGAGCCTGTTTCCTCAACAGTAAAACACGGTCCTAACAGAGGTCTCGTCACAAGGCTGCTGGGGCCTGCAGGAGGACACGCCCCTGCAGGGGACACAACACCGCCCGTGAGTGCCGAGTGAGGACACGGCCATGGGTCTGCTGAGGGTCCCGGCGCTCCCTGCAGAGCCGGGGCAGGCGTCTGTCCACATAGGGTCCTCAGAGCAGGTCTGCAGCTGGGCAGGCCAAGGCCAGCATCAAGGCTCAACACCCAGTGCCCACCAGGCCTCCCTCCAGGAAGCCCATCTCGCCAGGTGGTGCGTGCGCAACTCTAGCTTTCTCTTTCTGGCGCCTTGGAGAGATGGAAGCCAAAAAAGTGACCCAATCACCCTGCACTTGAGCCAGTGAAGCCACTGAGTGCCCCCATGGTGGGGCCGCCTGGGGCCCTAGGGAAGGGTGCCACGTGCTCTGAAAAGGCTCACAAGTCCCCGGCACCCTGCAGGCCCCTCTCTGACCCTCGTCAAGCCTCCAGGAGTACTGGCTTTGCTTAGAGCCTCTGGAGGGAATCTCCCTTTCCAGGACCCCCTGGCAGGGCCAGCCACACCCTCCTGGCCACCACCTACAGACCCCAATGCACCAGGTGAAGACAAGAGTAGCAGCAGCCAATGGCTTTCAGTGCCCCGCAAGCCCTGTGCAGTGCTAGACCTGAGATGTCCCACCCAGCTCTCGCCACCTGGAGCTGGAAAGGACATGCACCTTCTCCCAGGAGGAGCAAGGCTCTGTCGCATCCAGCGACCCATCCATGGTCCTCTAGCTGGACGACTGAGGATGCTAACAACTGCCAGGAGAAATGGTCCAGTGTGGGGCGGTCCACCTGGCGCCGGCTCAGCTGAGTGCTGGGCTCACAGCAGCCTCCAGCATCGTTTCCTGAACCAATGGAAATGAGCCACTCCTCCCACACCGCCTACAGGAATTGCTCAGACAGGGATCTGAGGTCTCGGGAAGAGTCCCGGCTGTTCTCCACCCAAGGCCCCAAGTGCACCTCGGACAGACAGACCAGGAGACTTGGAGTGAGAGAGCCACTGGCTTCTCCAATGATTGTTAACTGTCTTGTTCCATGTTTAAAAGTCCCCTTCATCTTGAGGAAACTTCCCAAGGTGGCCACAGGAATCCTCGCTGCCCTCCATGCTTCTCGATCTGAAGTAACGGTTGGGTCCTGACTCAACCCAACTGCTGTGAGCTACCCGGGGCTCGGGTCTGTGTGGCAACACGAGGGGCAACCTGCCCACAGCACAGCAGGCACCGCATCCCCATGAGGTGGGGCGCGGTGGGGAGAAGGAAGAGAAATGAGTCTTCTGGTTCTGGCCAGGAGATGCTCTGCGAATGGGGAAGAGCCCAGACTGCCCTGGGTTCAAATCCGCCCTTCCCGGGCACCGTGCTGAGGCTCCCTGAGGCTCGGTTGGCTCATCTGTGAGATGGGGATAACAGTGTCTACCCGTGTGGCTGTAGGTGAATGAGACGGAGCCTGGCCCAAAGCAGGGACTCGCGCACAGCTTGCGGAAAGGGGACTGTGCCCGATCAGAAGGTCCACGGAGGGACTCATGGCTGCACTCCATCCTCCACTTGCTCGAATGAAGAAACAAAAACAGAGCAAAGTACTAGGCTCAGGGCCAGAAGCGTGCATGTTTGTTATGACTTTAGAAGACACTCAGAACCCCTGAAGGGTCCCGCCATCTCCTGGGAATGCCGCTCTGGCCCGTCCTATCCCTGCAGCCCCACAGCTTCCCCTGCTACTTGGGATGTGAACCTGAGCACGTGGTTCCTCCAGCCAAACCTCAGTCAAGACACTCAAGCCAGGCAATAGTGACCCAGAACAATGACCCAGGTGGATGCAGGTGTGCCTTACAAAGGGAAATCAAGCTGGGTGCAGTGGCTCATGCCTGTAATCCCAGCTACAGCCTCACTTGAGATGAGGAGTTCGAGACCAGCCTCGGCAATATGGTGAGTCCCCATCTATTTATTCTTTTTTTTTTTTTTTGAGACAGAGTTTCATTCTTGTCACCCAGGCTGGAGTGCAGTGGCACCATCTCCGCCCGCTGCAACCTCTGCCTCCCGGGCTCAAGCGATTCTCCCGCCTCAGCCGCCTGAGTAGCTGGGGATTACAGGCAAGTGTTACCACACCTGGCTAATCTTGTATTTTTAGTAGAGATGGGGTTTCAGCATGTTGGCCAGGCTAGTCTAACCTCAGGTGATCCGCCCACCTCGGCCTCCCAAAGTGCCGGGATTACAGGCAGGAGCC